>NC_000003.12:53040303-53343333 GCF_000001405.40 Homo sapiens
ACTTGTTGGCTAACACTTTAAATTGAATATCAGCAAGAAAAACTCCTGAGGCATTTTAGTAATTGCTAAATTTCTCATCCCAGCTCATGTTGTCATTCCAAATGTGTGACTGTCCCACACTTTCAACTGCCAACAAACCACCTTCCAACTCTCATCTAAGATCCTCTCCAAATACCATCTCAGACAGAACCCAAGTTTCCCAGATAAACAGATACTGACACTTAACAACCCTATCTGCCCCACATCAGTTTAATAATTAACCTTTCTCTAGACTAAGCAAAAACATCAAAAAAGAACCAATGCACCAGACCAGTATGCCAGTTAAAAAAAAAAAAAAAGACCCAATGCACACAGTACTGTGCATCATGTTGGAAATATCACCTTATAGCCTCTCTCTGCATAGTGACATGCTTGGCTCACTGAAGTTACTCAACTGTTCAAACCACAGAGTTCAACAGGTACTTAACACATCATTTAACACACAATATACAGACTACTTTTTTTTTTGTTTTTATTTATTTTTTTGAGACAGGGTCTCGCTATGTCACCAGGCTGAAGGGGTGTGATCACAGCCCACTGCAACGTCTGTCTCCCTGGCTCAAGAGATATACCTGCCTCAGCCTCCCGAGTAGCTGAGACTACAGGCATGCACCAAGACACCTGAATTTTTTTTTTTTTTTTTTTTTTTTTTTTTTTTTTTGTAGAGACAGGGCTTCCCTATGTTGTCCAGGCTGGTATCAAACTCCTGGACTCCAGAGATCTGCCTGCCTTGGTCTCCCAAAATGCTGGGATTACAGGTGTAAGTCACTGCGCCCGGCCTATTTTTTGTTTTTAAATAAATTCCTTGAGTGACTGCCTGAAGACAAAAGAGAACTAAATAAGGTTATAAACATCCTCTTGAATAAAAGAAAGAATAATTACATACACGTTTTCAGGTGTCTCTGAGTTAGAGGAAAAGGTTTACAATCAAATCATTAAGACTTATGCAGTGAAGTCATATGATTTTTCTATTAATAATGTGTCAGTGTTCTTATCCTTCCTCCCCCTTTTGAAAAGTTTAAACATGAATCTGCAACAACCTGACCACATTCTTTCTATTTTAAATCATTTTCCGCGAGGCGCGGGGGCTCATGCCTGTAATCCCAGCACTTTGGGAGGCCAAGGAGGGTGGATCACCTGAGATCAGGAGTTCAAGACTAGCCTGACCAACATGGTGAAACCCCATCTTTACTAAAAATACCAAAATTAGCCAGGAATGGTGGTGCATGCCCATAATCCCAGCTACTTGGGAGGCTGAGGCAGGAGAATTGCTTGAACCCAGGAGGCAGAGGTTGCAGTGAGCCATGATCGTGCCATTGCACTCCAGCCTGGGCAACAAGAGTAAAAGTCTGTCTCAAAAAAAAAAAAAAAAAAAAAAAAAAAAAAAAATTCTTTTCCAATGAGGTTAGTATCCCCTGAAGAATGGGAGACTCCTATCAAAATCCCACTCCCCAAACTCTAATGGTTTAAAATCTCGCAAGTAACCAAAATCCCCACACACTTTTATCCCATTTAATAACTATGTATATACAGAAATATTATTTTCAAATACAAAATATCCCAGTTAGGTAACGAATGCTATATACTAAAAGAAAAATACTCTGCCATAAGGAAGTTGTATCATTTACTCATTACAAGTTCTTTTATTTTATGTTATTCCAAAATATTGGTTATAAGCCAAATAATCCAAGAAAGCAAAATTTTGGAAAATTATAAGAGAAAAAATGTAACATTAAAAATATTAAAGATGTAAAATGTCTGCCTAAATAATGGCCTTTTGGTTTTTGGACTGTATCTATTTACTTAATGTGAACATAACATGACGCCAAAATAAAAAGCCAATGAAGTTTGTATAGTTCATCTTTTCTACAGACTTTAGAGTTAAATGATACCTGCTGCTACACCACCATTCCACAGCTAAACCCAGTCTAGGTATCACTGTGAAAGCAAAAGTATACTACAGAAGCAGGAAGATTATGGATAGGCAAATCATACTGGGTTGGTTGGTTTGTTTTTTGAGACAGTGTCACTCTGTTACCCAGGCTGGAGTGCAGCAGTGCAATCATAGCTCACTGCAGCCTCGAACTCCTGGGCTCAAAGGATCCTCCCACCTCAGCCTCCTGAAGAGCTGGGACTATAGGTGCCCACCACCGCGCCTGGCTAATTTTTTTATTTTTTTGGAGACACAGGGTCTCCCTTTTCTTTCATCCAGGCTGGCCTCGAACTCCTGGTCTCAAGCGATCCTCTTGCCTAGCCTCCCAAAGTGCTGGGATTATAGGCGTGAGCCACTGTGCCTAGCCAGCAATCATTTTTAAAAGGAAAAATCTGAGTTTACAACAAAACAGCAAAAAAAGGAAATTCCCTTTCATTGTGTATTTTGTTTCTCGTGTATCTCTTTAGTTGCTTCTCTTAAAAATGTAATAGATTTTAAATTAAACAATCTGATCACATAAAAGTCAAGAAATTTAAAAAGAGCCACAAAAAGAAACAATGTATCAATAATAGCTAAGTCATCAATTACTCTCTTGGCTAATGAGGCTGTGAATCTTGGGTGGAGTGACCAAATCCAGCTTAGTTGCTGGTCAGTCAGTTGGCTGGCTAGCTTAACACGGGAAAGACAGAATTATTCAGCGAAATCATTTCACAAAAGAAAACCTTTTAACTTTGTGGACTATTCCCCATGGATCCCTACACCACAGGCCTTAGAACATTCCCAACTTTTATCACACAGATATCTTTGCAGTAAAAAACACAAGCCTTTGTTAGGAACTAACAAAATAAGAATTCACTTACAACATCTAACCCATCTCCTTTACAGTAGGAACAAGAAAAGGCACAAGACGACATTGGTGAAGGAAATGCAAATTGTTGCAGCATTTGCTTCAGTGGAGAATATTTAAAAGTCCACCTTCCTAGAAAGAGGGTTAATAAAAAAAAAAAGGTATCTTAGTCATGCTGATTTTTTTAATCACACCTGACATAATTTTTAGTTAACCTTTTGTTTTTGCTTTCATTGTTGCACTTTAAATGATTTGATAAACCAGCTGACTATCCTGTATATATAAGTCAACTGCTGTCATTGAAAAGGTTGTTAAAGCTTTACGCACACATTCTTAATTCACTTAACTTTAAGAAACCAATTTTCATTCAATTTTCTCAGCAAATTCTAGGCATTAAGAAACTGATTCATCTACTGACACCTTAAACTCTAACTTGTTAGGAAAATTCATGATTCATTCTTCAAATCTGTTGTCTACAAATATATAGTACCTATATTCTAAAAATGGGAAGTCATAGATTAATACCATTGTCTGTGAACATAAGGACTCCCAAGAACTACCAATCGTAACCTGCAAAGTATTGCCCCCACTGAAAAGTGACCTTCTAAGAAGTTCCTCAGGACAGAATTTTAAGTTATTCTGGATTACAAAAACCCTAAGAATCATTATAAAAGCAAAGGGTCATGGCCAACACGGCCATAACTCCAAGTTTACATACAAGCTATCCTCAGTTTGTTAGTATTGCCCCTTTAACCCTCAAAAGGGTCCTGTTTTGAGGCAAAACTCATCTGTGGTGACAGAAGTCAGAATTGTGGTTGCCTTGGGGAGGGGGAATGTGTTTACTGAATGGAAAGGATACAAGGCCTGAAAATGTTCCATATCTTGATCTGAGTGTGGTTATCAGGGCATATACATATATAAAAAGTCATTGAATTGTACCCTTAAGATCTTTCGGTAGGTTATACATACCTCCATAAAAATACATTGTTAAAAATCTATTCAAATAATCATATAAAACCATTCTGGATCTAGCTACCAAGATGTTTTTTCCAAATGAATTTTAATAAAGACACACATTGCGAGCACTTTTATGTAGTACCTCTCAAAATATACACTGTGATTTCTAAGAATCTTTCAGTTAAGAAAGCCACCGAATTTTCGAACTGAAAGCACCCCCAAACATCATCTGTTTATCTTAATGTTGCAAATAAGGAAAATCAAAGCTACAATGGGTAAGAAATGTGCCCAAGATAAGGCAGTTAGTCAATGACAACGGTAATAACAGAACTGTTTCCTGATCTCTGGCCGTTTCTACCAGGCCGTAACTTTTCTGACATCGCAAACAAATCTTAACTCCGAATCTACCTACGGCCTAATTCAACAAATGCCTCAAAACGCTAGTCAACAGGCCTCAAAGTGTACACATGAAGACACATCTTCCTTCATCCTCTCGCCAGTTGACAAATTAATGATTACACGTTCAGGCATTTTACCCAGATGCAATAAAATTAAGAATGACATCTTAGAAAATGTGGTTCAAGAGAAGACATACGCAGGGATTGACAAAATCCATCTTACTTCCTTTCGAATCTCTTTGATGGTTACTTGGTTCTCAAACACAGATCACTGCTAACAGGACTCAAAAACACCACTTGGGACCATCAACCAGTGCTGCTTCGGGCGACCCGCTGGGAACACCCCCACCTGACCCAAGCGTCCACCACTCCTTGAGCACAAGCTCTGGGGGTGACCTGTGCCTGCCGGCTTAGTTTTAGACCCTACGGGAACAGCTGACATCTTGTGAAAAACTTAGCATAACGTACATCCTTTCCGCGGGAATTTATTTCTGTTCGCACAAGGCGTTTCTGCTCCGCACAGAGCAGGCCTTGCTTCCCAGGACGCCGCTCGCCCCTCCACAGCCTCCTTTTCAGCGTCCAAAATCGGACTTTAGGAACAGAAATCGAAACGGTCGCGGACCTCCCGAGCGGCAGGTCGGGGCGCTGCCGGGTCGGCGCGGGGTCCAGCGGCGGTGCCCGGCGGGCCGCGGCGCGGGAGAGGCCCGCTCACTTCACAACGGCGGCCCGGAGCCACCGGTTGCGGCGGCCACTAGACGCTCCGCCACCGCGCAGCGACCGCCCGGGCCCTCCGAAGTTCCGACCGGCCGCGCGCCCGGCCCCAGCTGCGGGTTCGCGCCCCGCCCGGAGCGAGCCCGGGGGGCGGGTCCGCGGGGGCTCGGCGGGCGGAGCGCGGGGCGCGCGCGGGGAGGGGCGCGCGGCGGGCCCGGCGCGCCGGGGAACTTGGGCGCCCGCCACTGCCGCCGCCCGGCCACTTTCCTTTCACGCCTCCCGCGGGCTGACGCGCGCCGCGCTGCCTGCCAGGGGCTGACGGCCGCCGCCGCTCTCCGCCGCGGCGAGGCGCCCAGGCGCGCCCCTGCAGCCGGCCGGCCGGCGCGCGGGACCGCGGGGCCGCGCGCGGGCGCCGCGCTCCCCCCGCCCCGCCCCCGCCCCCAACGTGCCGCCGCCGCCGCCCGTTGGCGCCTCAGCCCGCGCGCCCGCCGGCGCCCGGCGGTTTCCCGTTGGCAAAGTTGCGCGGCCGCTTCGAAGGGGACGCCGTACGGTCCCCCGCCCCGGCGCCGCCGCCGCCCCTCCAGGCCGCCGCGCGGGAAGGCCCAGCCGGTGGCCCCGCTTTTTTACCTGCCCGGAGTTTTCGCGCGCGCGCTCGCTCGATCGCTCGCTTTTCCCCCTCTCGCGCTCGTTTTCTTTCTTTCTTTCCGTCTTTTCGCTCCCCCGCGCGGAAGCTTTTTCCTCCCGTGCTGCCCGCGCTCGCCCGCTCGCGCCCTCCTTCCTGCTGGGTTCGGCGGAGCGGGGCGGCCGGCAGCTCTCCCCGCCCCCCTCCACCCGCGCTCCGGCGGAGGCGGCGGCGGCGCTCCGCGCTCCGACTCATTCCAATATGGCACGGACGCAGGGCGCATGCGCCCGCGCCCCCCCACCCCCAGCTCCGCGGTCCTCCAGGCAGCCTGCGCCCCTCGCGCCGCGCCCGTGGAGCTCCCGGGCCCGGCTGCCCCGCTCCCGCCCCAGCGCCATCCCTCCTGGCTGGGGCCGCGCGGGAGGCAAGGACTCCGCGGGCTGGTGTGCCGGGGGTCCGGCGCCGCGGGCCACCCACGCCCCCAGCCAGCAACTCGGCGCGGACGGCCCCGAGGCCGTGGCGCAGGACACGCGGCGGCGCCTCGGGCCCCCGACGGCGCTGTGGCCCCGAGCGGAACGGCCCGGAAGAGGAGACGCGTCCCCGGGAACCCAGTGCCCGCCCTGGCCCAGCCCCGATCCAGCCTGCGCCTCACCTCGGGTTGTAGACAGAGCGGCGGGGATCCCAGAGGGGTTCGCGGGTCGGACCTGGAGTACCGGCCCGGCGAAGCGCGCCGCTGTCGCCCGCACGTGACTGGCTCGGACAAGATGGCATGAGCGGAGAAGCGGCCGGATCCCAGATGCGCGCGTGCCGCCGCCGCGGGCACTGCGCCCGTTTGCCTGCCCCTCGTCGGGGATCGGGCGCTCCCTCTGAGACCTGAAAGGGCACCCAAGTGCCCCCTGTCTGCGAAGTCCGGCGCGGGCCCTTCGGCGCCCCCGATGTCTCTAGGCTTCCGCAGGAGGCGCCCTGTAAATCTTGAGTCTTCCTGCAGCGAGGGGGCACAGGACAGCTGCGAATTGGGACGAACGAGCCCAGAGCCCCGGGAAGGATCAGAACCTCGAAGGCGGCTTCAAGTCGGCCCCGCAGCCCGAGGTGACCGTGGGCGGTTACGTTGCCCGAGCTCGCCCCCTCCTCCTGAGCGCAGGTGCCCGTGGGACATACACCCGCCCACCTGCTCCGGAAAGTTCCCTCCAGAAGGGAGTTCCCGCGCCACCGAGACCCGGGAGCTCCCGATCAGACTCCCAGGCCGTGAAAGGCGTTATCGGACAGGGCCCAGAGGCGCCCCCACAGCAAGAAGAAAGTCTGGGGTTCTCACCGTGTGCCAGGTGCGAGCTCAAGCCACCTCCCTCAACCGCTCTGAGAAATATCCCACTTCACAAACTTGCTCAAAGTCACGCTGCTGGCTGGATTTGAATCCAGATTTTTTTTAGCACCACTGAAAAAACAATATGACAACCGGAGAAAGAAAAATCTAAAAAGAATACAGTAATCCATATTGTTACAAAGAAATGCAACTTTTCACGACATGAAACATATATATACTGTGTATAGTTGCAACCACACTTTTTTTGTTACTACTTTCACTACCATTTTTATTTGTTCACGATTCATTTTTAAGGTGTGCAGGTGTCCTTAACTATTCACTCAGCCCCCTAATGTTTTTGGTTCTTTACGGTTGTTTGCTAACGTATCCTTGAATTCTGCACTTGGGACAAATACCTGGGAGTGGAAAGGCTCCCAGGTAGAAGGCTATGAATGGCCAAGTGGTCTTGGCTTACAGCGTCATATTTTTCCCAAGAGCTGCCCCAATTATTCTACCGCCTCCAAGGAACAAGTGTAAGGAGTTTAACACACTTATAAACATTGAGTGCCATTTCCCCCCTACTTTAATAGTCTATTGCTAGTTCAAGGTTACTTAGCATTTCTTAGGTGACACAACATTCAAAAATGAATGTTTTTCCATGCATTTACTATATGCATTCCCTCTCCTGTGAATAATCTATTCATATCCATCTTCTGGGGACTTGAACCTCTTCTAACTTTGAACAAGCATTTTTTTATGTTACAGATATTACTTCTTTGTCGTCATTGATGCAAATATTTTCTAGCCTGTTGTTCTTTCTTGTTTTATTCTAATGTTCAGTGTGTCATTCTAATGTTTTAATTGCTTCAGTGCTGACAAAGTGAGCTTTCTGCTGCCCATCTGATAGTCTTTTTTCTGCTAGTTTTGTACAATTTCATTTCATATTTCATTCTCTGATGACTATCCCGATTTTATTTTGGCTTATTTATTTGGAGTAAAATATGGACATAACTCACTACCACTGTCATCGGTTGTTATTAATTCTGCAGTTACCATTTATTAAATAATTATTGACCAGACGTGGTGACTTACACCTGTAGTCCTAGCATTTTGGGAGGTTGAGGCAGGAGGATCACTTCAGGCCAGGAGTTTTAGGCTGCAGTGAGCCGTGATTGTGCCAGTGCACTCCACCTGGGTGACAGAGCAAGACTCCATCTCAAAAAAAAAAAAAAAGGCCGGGCGCCATGGCTCACGCCTATAATCCCAGCACTTTGGGAGGCCGAGACGGGTAGATCACGAGGTCAGGAGATTGAGACCATCCTGGCTAACACAGTGAAACCCCGTCTCTACTAAAAATACAAAAAAATTAGCCAGGCATGGTGGCGGGCGCCTGTAGTCCCAGCTACTCCGGAGGCTGAGGCAGGAGAATGGCGTGAATCTGGGAGGCCGAGCTTGCAGTGAGCTGAGATCGCGCCACTGCACTCCAGCCTGGGCGACAAAGCGAGACTCCAACTCAAAAAAAAAAAAAATTCCTTTGTTTAGTAAAATCTACTTTTACGCTAGACTTTCTATTTTGATTAATATATTTCTGAATTCTCCATTTCCTTCCTTAGACCTCAGTTTGAGCAAATACCATATGAATCTAAATATTGGTTCTTTGGAATAGGTTCTAACATATGAAAAGGCTTGATTCCCTCTCATGCCCTTATGAGGTCTTCTTTTTTCAGATTATCAGTTGATATCCACACTGGTTTATGTGTCTCTACACATCCTAGGATAATCATATAAGGGTTAAGAGGACTGGCTTTGAGGACGGACCATCCAGGTTCAACAACCAGCCCTGTGACCTTGGCAACTTATCTATCCCCTCTGGGCCTTCAGGTCTTGGTCTGTAAAATTAGGATAAGAGTAACAGCTGCCTCTGGCCTGGCGCAGTGGCTCACGCCTGTAATCCCAGCACTTTGGGAGGCCGAGGTGGGCAGATTACGAGGTCAGGAGATCGAGCCCATCCTGGCTAACATGGTGAAACTCTGTCTCTACTAAAAATACAAAAAAATTAGCCAGGTGTAGTGGTGGGCGCTTGTAGTCCCAGCTACTCGGGAGGCTGAGGCAGGAGAATGGCGTGAACCCGGGAGACGGAGCTTGCAGTGAGCCAAGATCGTGCCACTGCACTCCAGCCTGGGTGACAGCAAGACTCCAACTCAAAAAAAAAAAAAAAAAAAAGATTAACAGCTGCCTCACAAGCTCAACGCCTAGGACATAGTAAAAGTTTTGTAAATGTTAGCTATTGTTAATGATTTTTTTGAGACAGAGTCTCGCTCTGTCACCCAGGCTGGAGTGCAGTGGTGCAATCTTGGCTCACTGCAACCTCTGCCTCCTGGGTGCAAGCGATTCTCCAGCCTCAGCCTCCTCAGTAGCTGGGATTACAGGCGCACGCTACCACACCCGGCTAATTTTTGTATTTTTAGTAGAGACGGGGTTTCACCATGTTGGTCAGTCTGGTCTCGAACTCCTGACCTTATGATCCACCCGCCTCAGCCTCCCAAAGTGCTGGGATTACAGGTGTGAGCCACCGCACCCAGCCTTTTTAAAATTTTTTTTGAGAGAGGGTCTCACTCGGTCACCCAGGCTGCAGTGCAATGGTGCTATCATGGCTCACTGCAGCCTCTACCTCCCAGGCTCAAGCAGTCCTCCCGCCTCAGCCCCGAGTAGCTGGGACTACAGGTGTGCACCACCATGCTCAGCTAATTTTTGTATCTTTTGTAGAGACAGGATTTTGCCATGTTGCCCAGGCTGGTCTTGAACTCCTGGGCTCAAGTGATCCACCCGCCTCAGCCTCCCAAAGCGCTGGCCACCACGTCCGGTCCTATCTTTCAATTTATTCAAATATTGTAAAACTCTCTTGCCTTTCTCCAGTGCTCACCTTCATGACCCCTAAGGAAGAAGAACAGAGAACTCAAGGAACAGTTTAAAACTGTCTGCACATCTGACTTGTGTCAGACACTGTGTAGATGTGGGTGTGGGTATGCACATGTGCAGTTGGACAGAATCTCCTTTAACTCTTGCAACATCCTTTAGGACAGGCCGTAACATTCCCTACGGACAAAGAGCAAACTGAGAGCTTCCAGGTCATCCTTAAAGAGAAGCAAAACTTAGCCACAAACCTGGCATGCCAGCTTCTCAACCACGCTACTGGGAAATTCGAGTTGGGGATTGTTGACCGAAGATGCAGCCCCAGAGGCGCACGGAACGAGGGGTAACTTATGGAAAACTGACTTCTGGTCATGACTCACCCCAGTTGAAAGCCTTTCAAGGTTCTCTATTGCACTTTGCAGAAGTCCAAAAGCCTCACTTTGGCCTATAAGGCACCAGGGCCAGGTGCGGTGGCTCAAGCCTGTAAGCCCAAAAGTTTGGGAGCCCAAGGTGGGCGGATCATGAGGTCAGGAGTTCGAGACTAGCCTGGTCAACATGGCAAAACCCCATCTCTACTAAAGATACAAAAAATTAGCCGGGTGTGGTAGCACACACCTGTAATCCCAGCTACTCGGGAGGCTGAGGCAGGAGAATCACTTGAACCTGGGAGGCAGAGGTTGCAGTGAGCTGAGATGGCGCCATTGCGCTCCAGGCTGGGCGACAGGGTGAGACCCCCGTCTCAAAAAAAAAAAAAAAAAGGACTGGCCCTGGCCTGGCGCAGTAGCTGATACCTGTAATCCCAACACTTTGGGAGGCTGAGGTGGGCAGATCACGAGATCAGGAGTTCAAGACCAGCCTGGCCAACATGGCAAAACCCCATCTCTACTAAAAATACAAAAAATTAGCTGGGCGTGGTGGTGCGCGCCTGTAACCCCAGCTACATGGGAGGCTGAGGCAGGAGAATTGCTTGAAGCCGGGGGGGGCGGAGGTTGCAATGAGCCAAGATCGTGCCATTGCACACCAGCCTGGGTGACAAGAGCGAAACTGTGTCTCAAAAAAAAAAAAAAGACTGGCCTGGCCCACCTTCACCTGTCCCATTCAGCTGTCCTACTCACCTGCCTTGCTTGCTGTATTTTAGCTGCACCTGTCTCCTTTCCATTTCATGGGTATGTCACTGTCCTTCCCACTGGCACACTCCCCATCCCACTTCCTGCACCCACCTTTACATAGGTGACACCTTATTGTTCCAGTATCTGCTTAACAAGATGGTCTCCTCAGAGAGGCTTTCCCTGCCCACCCCATCTGAACAGGTTCTCTCTCTCCCCAGTGGTGATATTTCTAATTTATACCTGCATTTGTTTGTCATTTATTTGGGTTCTGTCCCCCCTGTAATCCCACAGATGGACATCAGTCCCCTTGAGCACAAAGACATGCCTGTCTCCATAACCATGAGGTCAGCCCTTTCCCCAAGAGGCAGTGGGAAGACAAGAGGGTGGCTAGTGGGTCATTTGGCAGCATCCAAGACCAGAGGCTGGCACACCCAGGAGGCATCCTGGGCATTCCCAACTTAGTCTCCACTTCCTGCTGGCTTCATGGGTTAGGGGTTGTAACCCTCTGTCATCATTGACCAAGGGGTCAGTGTTCAACCATTCTATATGAACCCCCTATGCCCTGAGGCCTTGCCTGCCCATGAAGCAGGCCTGTTTTCTGCAGGTGGGCATCAACCTGGGGCCTTGTACTGGATGAGAACCTGAGGGCCAGGCCTGGACCCTGGGGACTGGCAGAACCCTTGGCCAGGACATCATGCTGTTTTCAACCCATGAAGAACTGAATGAAATTCCACAAGCCAGCCAGGCCTGCTGTCAGTGATCAGCGGCCCTCCATTGCCACTGACCTGACCAGCCAGCTTCCTTCAGTCAATCCAAATGAGGCCAGTCACATAATGACTCCCTGTGGCTAATTACCCAAGCAATCAGGTGATCCCCACTGTAGAGTCACTGCTCACCCCATGCCATTCTTCACTGAGGTCCAACTGACTATGCTGGCCCTGCTGCCTCGGGAGCACAGACCATGACTCCACATTCTCTGTAACACCTGCCCTGCTTCCCTCCATGTCTTGGCTCCTGCAAACCCTGCTCCACCAGGTGTCCTTCTCACCTACGCTGTGTTGTCAGGGAAAAAACAATGGGTGTGGAGGCAGACAGCTGGAGTCAAGTTCAGAGTTAGTCACTGCTTCTCTATGAGACCTTCTATGGGACCCTTCACCACTCTGGGCTCAGTTTCCTCATCTTTGTAAAATGGGGAGGAAATCAGCTTCTTTGCTGGGTCATAGGAATCCAAGAACAAAATGTGTATAAACATTCTTTGCAAACTGTAAAGCACAACAGAATGATGAGAAATAGTTGTCCTGACCTCAAAGCCATCTCCTCCAGGAGGCCTCCCAAGATTGCTCCCCTTCTTTCTCTGTCTTCCTAAAGCACTTAGCTTGCTTTTCCTCAGTTGCTTACCACAGAACAGGCACTGGCCCTCTTGACCCCGTTTTCTATCCTTGAGTGCCACAAGCCCAGGATTATGTCCCCATTCATCCCCAAAGACCGCTTCTCTTGGAGAAAATATATTAATGGGCACAGTGTTCCAATTTTATGTTATTGAGCCATGCATTTTTCTTAAATTATTTTGCACCTTCAACTTCTTATCCGCTAATAAGAGGTCACAGGCACCAAATAAGTGACCAAGGACGCTCAGCAATACCGGAAAAAAGAGGGAGCAGTTCTTTGGGTTGGAGGTTGGAGTGTCTTTTTTTTTTTTTTTTTTTTTTTTGAGACGGAGTCTCGCTCTGTCTCCCTCTGTGGATCACTTGAGCTCATGAGTTTGAAACCAGCCTGGGCGACATGGTGAAACCCCACCTCTACAAAGAATACAAAAATTAGCCAGGTGTGGTGGTGCACACCTGTAGTCCCAGCTACTTGGGAGGCTGAGGTAGGAGGATGGCTTGAACCTGGGAGGTGGAGGTTGCAGTGAGCTGAGATGATGCCACTGCACTCCAGCCTGGGCAATAGAGCCAGACCTTGTCTAAGAAAAAGAAAAAAAAATTGTATGAGGAATGTATACAGTGACTGGGACAGAGGACACAAACTGGTAGGCCCTGTGTCAAATGTGGCCCAGATGGCGCTTTGCTGTTGTTGTTGTTGTTTTATTTTGTTTTGTTGCTTTTTTTGTGAGACAGGCTCTTGCTCTGTCACCCAGGCTGGAGTGCAGTGGCACAATCATGGCTCACTGCAGCCTTGATCTCCCAGGCTCTAGTGATCCCTCCACCTCAGACTCCCAAGTAGCTGAGACTACAGGTACGTGCCACCATGCCTGGCTAATTTTCGTATTTTTTTAGAGATGGGGGTCTCACTATGTTGCCTAGGCTGGTCTCAAACTCCTAAGCTCAAGTGATCTGCCCCGCATTGGCCTCCCAAAGTGCTAGGATTACAGGCATGAGTGTGGCCAAGATTTTTTTACAATACTTTTTTTTTTTAGGTATAATTTGCATACAATAAAATATACCCATTTTGGGCTGTGTGCGGTGGTTCACGCCTATAATCCCAACACTTTGGGAGGCTGAGGTGGGCAGATCACATGAGGTTGGGAGTTTGAGACCAGCCTGGCCAACATTGTGAAACCTCATCTCTACTAAAAATACAAAAATTAGCCAGGTGTGGTGGTACACGCCTGTAATCCCAGCTACTCGGGAGGCTGAGCCATGAGAATCCCTTGAACCCAGGAGATGGAGGTTGCAGTGAGCCAAGATCACCCCACTGGCCTCCAGCCTGGGCGATAGAACAAGACTCTGTCTCAAAAAAAAAAAAAAAAAAAAAAAAAAAAAAATATATATATATATATATATATATACATATACCTATTATATAAGTGTAGAGTTCTCTGAGTGCTCACAGAGGTGCAGCCCATGTAACCACCACCACGAAGACACAGAGACTTCTTTTTTTTTTTTAAGGGAGTCTCTCTCTGTCACCCAGGTTGGAGTGCAGTGTTGTAATCTCGGCTCACTGCAACCTCCGCCTCCCAGGTTCAAGCAGTTCTTCTGCCTCAGCCTCCTGGGTAGCTGGGATCACAGGCACGTGCCACAATGCCCGGCTAATTTTTGTATTTTTAGTAGACGGGGTTTCACCATGTTGGCCAGGCTGGTCTCGAACTCCTGATCTCAAGTGATTTGCCAGCCTCGGCCTCCCAAAGTGCTAGGATTACAGGCGTGAGCCACCGCTCCTGGCCAACACAGAGCCTTCTAATGACTCCCCTCACCCATAGGCAAACACTGATCTGATTTCTAGTTTCAAGATTACTTTTGCCTGTTTTTATAAACTTCATCATAGGCCGGGCACAGTGGCTCATGCCTGTAAACCCAGCACTTTAGGAGGCCGAGGGGGGAGGATTGATTGAGGCCAGGAATTCGAGACCAGCCTGGGCAACATAGCAAGACCCCATCTCTACAGAAAATTTAAAAATTAGCCAGATGTGGTGGCCCAAGCCTGTAGTCCTAGCTACTCTGGAGGCTAAGCTGCGAGGATCACTTGAGCCTGGAGGTCAAGACTGCAGTGAGCTGTGATTGTGCCACAGCACTCTAGCCTGGGTGACAGAGTGAGACTTTGACTCAAAAAAAAAAAAAAAGAAAAAGAAAAAAAGAAAAAAAAAGAAAAGAATAAAGAAAGAAAAGACAAGAAAAGACAAGAAAAAAATTTCATCATAGAGCAATACTCTCTGTCTGTTTTTTATTATTATTTTTTGTTCAGCTCCTCCAAGTAGCGATCCTGTCTGGTTGCTTTTTTCTTTGTTGTTGTTGTTGTTGTTGTTGTTGTTGTTGTTGTTTTCGAGACGGTGTCTCACTCTGTCGTCCAGGCTGGAATGCAGTGGTGCCATCTCAGCTCACTGCAGCCACTGCCTCCCAGTTCAAGCAGTTCTCCTGCCTCAGCCTCCCGAGTAGCTGTGATTACAGGTGTGAGTCACAGCACTCAGCTAATTTGTGTGTGTGTGTGTGTGTGTGTGTGTGTGTGTGTGTGTGTGTTTTCAGTAGAGACAGGGTTTCTCATGTTGGCCAGGCTGGTTTTGAACTACTGACCTCAAGCGATCCACCTATCTCAGCCTCTCAAAGTGCTTGCATTACAGGCGTGAGCCCCAGTCCCTGTCTACCTTTTTGTTTTGAGACAGGGTCTCACTTCATTGGTGCAATAATTGTGCACTGCAGCCTCTAACTCTTGGCTTCAAGTGATCCTCCTGCCTCAGCCTCCTGAGTAGCTGGGACTACAGGCATGTATCACTACATCTTTTCTTATTTTTCATAGAAATGGGGTCTCACCATGTTGCCCAAGCTGGCCTTGAACTCTAGTCTCAAGTGATTCTACCACCTCCGCCTCCCAAAGTGCTGAGTTTACAAGTGTGACCTGCTGTGTCAGGCGTCCTGTTTGTTTCTGAGATTCATCCATGTTTCTACATGTATCAGATTATTCCTTTTCTTTTTCCTTTTTCTTTCTTTCTTTTTTTTCTTTTTTTTTTTTTTTTTTTTGAGTTGGAGTTTCGCTCTGTCGCCCAGGCTGGAGTGCAGTGGCGCAGTCTCTGCTCACTGCAACCTCCACCTCTCGGTTTCAAGTGATTCCCCTGCTTCAGCCTCCCGAGTAACTAGGATTATAGGCGTGTGCCTGTCATTACCACGCCTGGCTAATTTTTGTATTTTTAGTAGAGATGGGGTTTCACCATGTTGGCCGGGTTGGTCTTGAACTCCTGACCTCAGGTGATCTGCCCACTTCAGCATCCCAAAGTGCTGAGATTACAGGTGTGAGCCACTGCACCCGGCCTCTTTTTTTCTTTAATGTTAAACTACTCCTTTATTGCAAGGTAAATCATATTATTTCAATCATATAGAATGCCCAGGGGATGGAGATTCAAGAGTTCCCTTTTGTACTGGCCTTCAAAATATTGTACCTACATGAATGTATGCCTTCCAAAATACTTAAATCATATTATTTAATATATTTATACTAGTCTAATAAAACATTACATATATTGTAAAACACAAAATATAGAAATGTTAAAAAGAAGAAGTAAAGAGGAGATAAATACTATTTTTAAATTATTTTGTTTGCCAAAGAAGTATAATCATTTTGCCCCTCATAAAATATTATATTAAATCATGTTATTATATTAAATGATATTAAAGACAATTATGATATTAAAATATTAATAGTATTTTAATGAAATGAATATGATTGAAAATGTTTCTGTTTTTCTATACTACTGAAGTATAGTTGAAGTACAAAAAGACACATATCTATAAAGTGATAGCCCCTCAACCCTACCTGACCCCCAGGCCTTGGAATTGACCTCTCTAGGGTGAAACCTGGGTGATAGCTTATTTTCAACATGGCATCCAGCGCAGGCAAGAGCATTCTTCATGACCCTCATGGCCCTTTTGGAGAAGCCAGGGCAGGAGGTTTGTGAAGAAGGCTGTTCATCTGGCCCTTGGAAGGGACTTGGCAAGGCAGGCCCAACCAGGAGAAGAGAGGATAAAGGGAGATACCACCATGGACCTTCCTATACTCTCTCTCCATAGCCACCTGCTGGGCTTAGGCAAGCACTGCCTGAATCCCTCTGCTGCCCAGAGTCCTTCACACCCCCACCTTTTCACCATGAGTGGAGACCACAGTTCCTGCCTGTCCGATGCCCTCTGTCACAGTCCCTGCCTCTCCCTACTCTGCCATTCTTTCTTTCATATTAAGGTATAGTCTACATATTTAGGTTGGTGCAAAAGCAATTGCAGTTTTTGCTATTACTTTTAATGGCAAAAACTGTGATTACTTTTGCACCAATGTAATACAATAACTGTCAGGATATTGCTGTGAAGCTACAAGATGTTCACAAGGACATTTCATGTGTTTGTTTGATGCCTGTTACAGCTACAGAGTAGTTTACTTTTTTATTTTTTATTTATTTTTTGAGCTGGAGTCTTGCTCTGTCACCCAGGCTGGAATGCAATGGCACCATCTCGGCTCACTGCAACCTCTGCCTCCCGGGTTCAAGCGATTCTCCTGCCTCAGCCTCCCAGTAGCTGGGACTGTAGGCATGCACCACCACACCTGGCTAATTTTTGCATTTTTAGTAGAGACGGGGTTTCACCACATTGGCCAGGCTGGTCTTGAACTCCTGACCTCAGGTGATCCACCCACCTCGGCCTCCCAAAATGCTGGGATTACAGATGTGAGCCACCATGCCCAGCCTGGAGCGGTTAAATCTCCCTGGTTGATAAGAGTCTCATAGTTTCCTGCCTGGGCTTACCAGCCAAATTGATGGTGCCACCTCTAGGCCCCCACTTGGTTCCCACGTGTTAGCACTAGATGGATTTGAGAAGAAAGAAATTTCTGCATAGTACAGACAAAATTGGGAAAATGCCCATAGATCTTGCTTTACCCAGTAGCTTTGTACAAAGTGAAGTGTGGCCAATTGAATCCTAATTTTCTCATTACTAATTTTATAATACCTGGAATATATGATCTTCATTCCTGATGGAGCTTGCTTGTAAGGCCACCGGTTTTCATTTTCCACTATCTTTATCTAGTCATTCTGTCAAGTCTGGAGTTAAAAACCTGAGGTAGTCGGCCGGGCGCAGTGGCTCACACCTGTAATCCCAGCACTTTGGGAGGCTGAGGTGGGCGGATCACTAGGTCAGGAGATCGAGACCATCCTGGCTAATATGGTGAAACCCTGTCTCTACTAAAAATACAAAAAAAAATTATCCAGGTGTGGTGGCGGGCGCCTGTAGTCCCAGCTACTCGGGAGGCTGAGGCAGGAGAATGGCGTGAACCCGGGAAGCGGAGCTTGCAGTGAGTTGAGATCGCGCCACTGCACTCCAGCCTGGGCGATAGAGCGAGACTCCATCTCAAAAAAAAAAAAAAAAAAAAAAAAAAACTGAGGTAGTCACTTTACCTCCTGATATAAATTATGTTCTTAAAATGCAGCTAGTACATGTGATCTATTGAAAGCGGAGCGCTGCACTCAAAGATGTCTAGAGGTTCTTTCAGCTGTAATATTTGGGCTTGAGCTGTGAACAAACTTGTGAATATTTCAGAGGAGTTTTTTTTGTGTGTGTTTTTTTTAAGTTACCACCAGGTATCTTTTATATAAACTTTCTTGCACATACAAGGCTCAGGAAGAGTAATGTCATACAAGTGCACTAGGAATTGCCACATACTCCCAAAATGGGCGGCAAAAGGAACAAACATTACTAATTTTAAATACTAAGTACATACATAATACCTCAAAAATATAATTTGGTAAATAATCTTCTAACTCGTGTGGGTAATTTTTTCCCTTCCATTTGGAAGTGAACACTTGACTACTAGTTTAGTACAGAAGTAATCAATAGCACAAAAGCTAAATTCTTTCCAAATGGGCATTCTAAGCTCTAAAAAAAAAAAAAAAAAAAAAAAAAAAAAGCAGTCTCCAGGAGCCATTGATTTCTGCCCCAGCTCAACCTATGGAGTTTACTTACCTACATAAAATGTTCATAATTCTTATCTTATGGAAAAACCTCTTTGTACAACACAAAGGACTTACACAAAGTGATCGGAAAAGTGTCACTAAATGTGAAATACTAAACTATAATCATGTTTTTTTGTTTTTGTTTTGTTTTGTTTTTTGTTTTTTTTGAAACAGAGTCTTGCTCTGTTGCCCAGGCTGGAGTGCAGTGGCTCAATCTCGGCTCACTGCAAGCTCTACCTCCCGGGTTCACGCCATTCTCCTGCCTCAGCCTCCCAAGTAGCTGGGACTACAGGCAGCCACCATCACACCCGGCTAATTTTTTGTATTTTTAATAGAGACAGGGTTTCACCATGCTAGCCAGGATGGTCTCGATCTCCTGACCTCGTGATCTGCCCACCTCAGCCTCCCAAAGTGCTGGGATTACAGGCGTGAGCCACTGCACCTGGCTGGTATTTTTTTTTTTTTTAGATGGAGCCTCGCTCTGTCACCCAGGCTGGAGTGCAGTGGCATGATCTCGGCTCACTGCAACCTCTGCCTCCTGGGTTCAAGCGATTCTCCTGCCTCAGCCTCCTGAGCAGCTGGGATTACAGGCGTGTGCAACCACACCCAGCTAATTTTTGTATTTTTAGTAGAGACAGAATTTCACCATGTTGCCCAGGATGGTATCCATCTCTTGACCTCATGATCCACCCACCTCGGCCTCCCAAAGTGCTGGGATTACAGGCCTGAGCCACCGCGCCTGGCCCCAATGTTCATATTTTCATCTGTGGCCAAAATCTTGATGGTTTTAACAATTTATATTCTAATCATTTCCTAAACTTAAGCTTCTCATGTTTAGATTACAAACTTGCTTTCTCTATAGTCTTGAAATTACCTAATTCCTCAGCCTGAAAGACTTATTTCAATCACTTCACATAACCTCCAAATTTGAACTTAAAAATCAAGGAAGATTTTAAGTTAGGAAACACGCCCAGAAGCATGCCTAAGGTAAAAGGCAATCCCAGGGCACAGCTAAGCCAAATGACAAGCTAGATTTCTGGGAAGCTGCCACTTACTATTAATCTCAACCTGACAATTGTCTTACAAATGATATTGATAAATCATTTAATTACTATGGTCCAGTTCAAATATGTATCATTTTACTGCCTTGTTACCAGTTATGGCATACAAAGCACAGTAAATGATGAAGTTTCTGGGCTTTTCTTAGTTAACCTGAAGACCTGGCTTGTCAGTGTTCAGACTTGCTAAAACTTATTTACATATTTATCTCAGTATAATCCAAATGTCTGGGTTAGAATCTATTTTCTAAGTGTTTACTTTCTTTAGAAAGTAGAATTGCATGCACCTGAGACCTCTGGAATTTGCTATAGCATTGGACTAGATGTCCACTAATATACCTGAACAATCTTACCTTTAAAGTCAACATCCGTTAGGTTCTAGCAACTTCCTATTTCTCATTCCTTTAAACCTTTTAATACCTATTGTTTCTTTCCACATACTAGTACTTTCCTAAAGACATATTAGGTTGGCGCAAAAGTAACTGCACCAATCTAGTATTTTCAAAATCCAGTACACATTTAGGCTTTGTATGCAACTCCCTGTAATGTGTTTCTATTTCAGTGCAACCATCTCTGGCAATTAGAAAAATAACAAAATTAGAATGAATGAATACTTAATATCCTCCATCCAAATCCATACCAAAAACAAGCCCCAAATATATTGACAGTCCTGGAAATGATGTATCCTACTTTCATTTAAAAAATAAAACAGAGTAAAGGAACTAACTAGATGTATAGTACCTGATGCCACATTTTTTTTTTGAGACGGAGTTTTGCTCTTGTTGCCCAGTCCGGAGTGTAATGGCGTGATCTCAGCTCACCGCAACCTCCGCCTCCCAGGTTCAAGGGATTCTCCTGCCTCAGCCTCCCGAGTAGGTGGGATTACAGGCATGCGCCACCACACCCCGCTAATTTTTTGTATTTTTAGTAGAGACGAGGTTTCACCACATTGTCCAGGCTGGTCTTGAACTCCTAACTTCAGGTGATCCGCCTGCCTTGGCCTCCCAAAGTGCTGGGATTACAAGCGTGAGCCACCACAACTGGCCCCCTGGTGCCACTTTTTAAAAATCTTGCATAACTCCACAGTTCTCAAAATAGCTAATGAAGAAACCATGTCTCCAATAATTTCGATACAAGCTGTAAGTGCCTTAAAAATTTCAGCTCTGGCATTACTTCTATTTAAAAGTGTCAAGATAAAAGTTCACTGAAACATCTGCTGCCACTATTACTTTAGGAATCTGTATCCATTTAGGGATTTTTTTCTTCTAGAGTATTATAGCCAGTTTGTCAATAAAAAGTAGCATTCAGTATGCTTAACTTTCACTATCAAAAAATGATCTGCTAAGAAGTGACAGTTGGATTTAATCCAAGAAGTCCTTGTTTTCTATTTTACAAGAACTCAACTTTCCCAATTAAGTTGTTAGTCATTAAGATAGGTACCCTTTCCAAAAGTGATTCAACAGCCTGGTTTTTAGCAAATAAAAACTCCATATAAAATTCAATTTAAAAAATTAAACATAAGCACACAGGAGGCCAGGCGCGGTGGCTCACGCCTGTAATCCTAGCACTTTGGGAGGCCAAGGTGGGTGGATCACCTGAGGTCAGGAGTTTGAGACCAGCCTGGCCAACATGGTGAAACTCCGTCTCTACTAAAAATACAAAAATTAGCTGGGTGTGATGGTGCACGCCTGTAATCCCAGCTAATCGGGAGGCTGAGGAAGAAGAATTGCTTGAACCTGGGAGGTGGAGGTTGCAGTGAGCCGAGATGGCACCATTGCACTCCAGCCTGGGCGACAGGAGCGAGACTCCATCACAAAAAAAAGCACACAAGGATGTGCACACAGTTCAGAAACCAGGAAACGCGTGACGATAAACAGGATCCTATTTGATTGTCTTTATGACTTTTAAGAAGTGAGCATGACGCTGGTGCAGTGGCTCACGCCTGTAATCCCAGCACTTTGGGAGGCCGAGGTGGGTGGATCACCTGAGGTCAGGAGTTCAAGACCAGTCTGGCCAAAATGGTGAAACCCCGTCTCTACTAAAAATACAAAAATTAGCTGGGCGTGGTGGCATGTACTCCCAGCTACTTGGGAGGCTGAGGCAAGAGAATTGCTTGAACCTGGGAGGCGGAGATTGCAGTGAGCTGAGATCGCACCACTGCACTCCAGCCTGGGTGACAGAGCGAGACTCCATCTCAAAAAAAAAAAAAAAAAGAAGTGAGCATGAAAATAAATCTTTATTTTCAGTTATTACCCACCAGTAAGAGAAAGGTTCACAATTTTAGCTCTTGATACAAAGTGAACTAGGAGGCAAATTTATATCCATCAGATACAACTAATGGACCAACTTTTTAAGTTCTGGCTATCTTGAAAACTTGCAACATACCAGGTATTGCTGTGTTGTCTCTCAAGATAGCAATGAGTGACACTGCGTAGAAGTTGTGAAGTGTTTTTAATAGCAGGTGTTTTCTATAATATGCTGCTGGAAATCAGAGGTTTATAAACATGGTACATGTTCAGAAATGAGTTAGATACTTGAAAAATCTAAACACACTGATTTAGGAGTGTGTATGTTGCAGTCTTAAGAGGGGTCAATAGTCCTTACGGACTAAATTAATCTCTGGGTAGCAGGTATATTAGACATTAGCATCAGTGCAGAACATGCTCAGCATAAGATCCAAAACACCAGCACAAGTTTATCCATCATTAAAAACAATTACCTCCTTCCTAAAATATCAGAATAGTAGGTAACTGAGATTAATAAATCTAATCCAAATAAGTAACTCTTGTAATGCACAATTTCCCTTTTAGAAGTATATGTGAGAACCAATCAGCTAAATAGAAATGTTTAAGATTGAAGATGTCCAATATTTTTAAAACTGGACATTACCATATACAGGTAGAACATTTCTAAAAATGAAGTGACGAACGATTCTTAAAACTTTTTTAAAAATTCCTTCCCTGTTTAACAATAAATGTGGCAGAATAAAAGACAATCCTAGAAAACTTTTCTTATTCATCATTCTCTCCATGGATGTTTTAATACGTGGTGATGCTCCCATTAAAGGAATCCATTATTAACCTAATTTTCTAATGGAGGAAGAGGGAGAAGATAATTATTACTTTCTGTGGAACAAATACTCAACTTAGGACCAAATAATAACAATCTAGGAAATTTAGAAACAGTAAAGATTTTCGGTTTATATTTAATGGATGGTGCTGCTGTTCTAACCTTATAAAGTAAAGCTGTCTGCTTCCCAAATTCCAAAAATTAAAATACTCCCCAACCTCATCCTACCAACCAGTGCCCTTTAGATTTTTTTGCTTGTTTTAGAACAAGGAAGGTTTAAATGGTTGCTGATTATGGATATACCATTTTGATTTTAGGATCTTTCACACACAGAAATCATACCAAATGGCCAGACACTTACTGTATAGAACACTTTAAATATTACACATTGGCCAAATCAACTTATTCCACCCACCCTGGTGGAGGCGGGGCGGGGAAACCCATACCTGTAAAGCTACTTCACTTGACAGGATGTGTCTACCAACAATAAGTAGCTTAAACAACTTTCACCAATAAGATGTCTAGTTTAGATTTTAAAATAGGAAAGTCATGCATTTAAAAAGTAAATATAGTTAAAAATGTAAATCAGTTATAATTTGAACCTGATGAACCATGCAAGGAGCAAGGAAAGGTTAATAAACCAATGTGCTTTGAATTTGTTCAAGTACTGATATTTCTGTATGTCAAGATTTAGCATATATATATATATATATATAAAACAGCTATCATGGGAAGTGAAAAAAGATTTTTCCCCAAAAATGAAAATATTAAAACTAAGTTAAAATACATATAGTTAGTATCCCACACAGCATAAAATTTGACAAATCAAAGTTTAACATGTCCCAGTTGACCATGTGTGAAAATGCAAAGCAGATATTAAAACCAATATGTCCAATATTTAAAACCAGTTTGTGATTGGGGAACTTCTAAATCCTTAATTAAAAAACACAAATGAAGTGAAAGCGTTAAACTGGTACACACTGTTCACATCTATATTTCAGGTTTGGAAATGCATATTTGCAAGCAGCAATACAAAAGTATTCATGAAGAATGCATAATCTCTGAAAATTATGAAAACATCCCTGCTACCATTACCTTTTTTTCTTTCTTTTTTTTTTTTTTTTTTTTTTTTTTTTTTTGAGACGGAGTCTCCTCTGTCACCCAGGCTGGAATAGAGTGGTGCAGTCTTGGCTCACTGCAACCTCCGCCTCCCAGGTTCAGTCGATTCTCTTGCCTCAGCCTCCCAAGTAGCTGGGACCACAGGCGAGTGCTGCCACACCTGGCTAATTTCTTGTATTATAACGGGGTTTCACCGTGTTAGCCTGGATGGTCTTGATCTCCTGACCTCGTGATCCACCTGCCTCGGCCTCCTAAGCGCCCGGCCACCAATACATTTCTAAATACAAAACTGACTATCATATTTGTTACTTCTGTGTAGCGAGAGATGTTCATTTTTAAAACAGATAAAACTCAGTCTTTAGGTGTGAATGGTATGAATGACAGTTTTTTTTTTTAATTTCTTAGTTGTTTGGAATCCTTAAGCGTGCAAAAGCTTTGAACAGAAGAGTTCACAAAGGAACCAGGGTTGTCTTATGGCATCAGTTACGCCAGAGCCTCTGGGTCATCCACATCAGGAGCAGAAGCACTTGTTGGTCCTGCTGCCACGGTTTGGGCGCCCAACACGCCCACGTCCACCTCGTCCTCCCCTGCCACCATGTTCTGGGCGGCCAAGGTCTCCAAAATTGATCTCCAGCTGAGATGTTATATCATCTGCTGGCTTCTGGAAATGATGGTCCATAACCGATTCTTCAGCATGAGCCGCTTCACTTTTTGATTTATGAAGAACAAATCCCTTCTTCCACTGCCCATCAGCACCTTCATTTGGTTTTCAGATATTAAATTTTACTTTTGCCCAGTCCTTATTTTGAATAGCCTTCCACTCATCTAAAGTCATCTCTTTCAGACCCTCCTCTTTTACCTCTTCCACTTCATTCTCCTTATTTTCAGTGCCTGCCACTGGATGATGTTCCTAACCTTCAGGTGTTTCCTCAGTCACATTTGATGGATCCAAGTCAGTTAATTCATCTTTGACAGTTCCCCAGTGGTAAGATCCGCTACCTCCATGTTTGTCCTCGTGCTTCAGGCCACTGTAATGTGAAAAAGAAGATCACTTCCACGATGCCTATCAAATTCACGTTTGCCATGAGAATCAGATCCATCTCCTCAGCCCATTCCACATCCACGACCTCGAATAGGTTGGTCAATAATCGGTCTATCTAGTGAAAATTCGCCTCCTTCACCCTTTTCTTCAAGTGTCTTTTCAAATCTTCGTTCATGAGGTGGTCGCCTTTCTGGTCTTCTATCAGTTATTTTCCCTTCACCCTGAAGTTGTTGATCAGGTCTTCTTCCAACGCCTTGTCTTATTCTTTTTCTTTCTTTCTTTCTCTTTCTTTCTTTCTTTCTTTCTTTCTTTCTTTCTTTCTTTCTTTCTTTCTTTCTTTCTCTTTCTCTTTCTTTCTTTCTTTTTCTTCTCTCTTTCTTTCTTTCTCTTTCTTTCCTTTCTTTCTTTCCTTCTCTCTCTTTCCTTCCTTCCTTCTTTCTCCCTCTCTCTCTCTTTTTTTTTTTTTTGATGGAGTCTTGCTCTGTCACCCAGGCTAGAGTGCAGTGGTGAGATATCGGCTTATTGTAAGCTCCGCCTCCTGGGTTCACACCATTCTCCTGTCTCAGCCTCCTGAGTAGCTGGGACTACAGATGCCCGCCACCACGCCCGACTAATTTTTTGTATTTTTAGTAGAGACAGGGTTTCACCGTGTTAGCCAGGATGGTCTCGATCTCCTGACCTTGTGATCCGCCCACCTCGGCCTCCCAAAGTGCTGGGATTACAGGCGTGAACCACCGCACCCGGCCTCTCTCTTTTTCCTTTATTTCCTTTCTTTCTTTCCTTTCCTTTCCTTTCCCTCCCTCCCTCCCTCCCTCTCTCTCTCTCTCTCTCTTTCTCTCTTTCTCTCTTTCTCTCTCTCTTTCTTTCACAGTCTTGCTCTGTAGCCCAGGCTGGAGTGCAATGGCGTGATCTTGGCTCACTAGAACCTCTGCCTCCCAGGTTCAAGCGATTCTCCTCCCTCAGCCTCCCGAGTAGATGGGACTCCAGATGCATGCCACCATGCCCAGCTAATTTTTTGTATTTTTAGTAGAGATGAAGTTTCGCCGTGTTGGCCAGGCTGGTCTCAAACTCCTGACCTCAAGTGATCTGACCCACCTTGGCCTCCCAAAGTGCTGGGATTATAAGCGTGAGCCACTGCGCCCGGCCTCTTCCTTCCTTTCACTGATGCCTGCTGTGTGCCTGCCCTGGCTGGGCTGGCTGCTACCACTAGGCAGGACTGTGACACACACCCCCCTAGCAGTGCTCCCAGCCGAGTGAAGCCCTCCCTAAGGTTGATTTGATGAGAAGGGAGCATAGGAAAGGCCTGTCTCTAAGAGAGGAGGCCTGATTTTCTCTCCTGAGCTGGGAGCAGAAAAGTGGAGTTGTTTCCCAGCTCTGCTTATAACCATGGGACCAAAGTCTCTTCTCTCCCTGGGCCTTGCTCTGGGCAGTGGGGTGATGGAGAGAAGCTCTACAGACCTTCTCAGTGCCTTTGTGCTGGGTCATGTGATAGATCTAATATGATGGCCAGGGAGGGGCTGCTGGGGATGGGCAGCCTTGGCAGGTGGAGGCAGGGCAGTCTGCAGGCACTAAATGTTTTGTCTGCCATCGCTGGCAAGACTCCAGCACCTAGAGGATTAAATAGGGCATACAAATAATAGCCTTACTGTGGTGCCTGACTCTTAACTGGTGCTTACCAAATGGAATTCTCTTCTCCCATGCTAGCTCCCTGAGGGTGTAACTGGCACCTGCACACATCAGCCAGATCCCTCCCTTGCAGCAAGATTTTGGGTTCCTGGAGGATGCCTGCCATCCCCTACAGCCAGGCCCACCTCCAGATGGGATGATGGGTGGGCTCTTTAAGGAAACTGAGGGTCTGGGGCAGAGAAACCTCAAAAGAAGAGGAGCAACTGGAATGCTCATCCATTGCCGTTGGCAGTTTCTTATGACATCATACGCTCTTACCTTCTGAGGCAGCTACTGCATTCTGAAGATTTACCCAACAGATATAAAAACACATTCTCACACAAACGTGCACAGGATTATTCATAGCATCTTTATTCATAGTAGCCAAAAACTGGAAACAACCCAAATATCCATCAATAGGAGAATAAATAAACCAGTGTGGCCTATCCATCCATACAATGGAGACAACTACTCAACGATAAAAAAGAAAGAACAACTGTTACACAGGGCAGCGTGGAGGAATCTGGAAAACATTATATTGGCTGGGCGCAGTGGCTCACGCCTGTAATCCCAGCACTTTGGGAGGCCGAGGCGGGCGGAGCGCTTGAGCCTAGGAGTTAGAGACCAGCCTGGGTAACATAGTGAAACCCTGTCTCTAAAAACAAACAAACAAACAAAAAAATAGAAAAAATCAGCCGGGCACGGTGGAGCATGTCTGTAGTCCCAGCTACAACTTGGGAGGCTGAGGTGGGAGAATCACTTGAGCCTGGGAGTTGGAGGCTGCAGCGAGCCGTGATGGCGCCCCACTGCACTACGGAAGGAGAACAGAGCAAGACCCTGTCTCAAAAAATATACAAAAATAAAAAACATTGTATTGATGAAAGGAGGCCACACACAGAAGAAAACACATGTATGACGACATTTGGGTGAAATTCTAGGCCAGCAAAACTGATCTCTGATGATGGAGGTGAGAACGGTGGTTACTTCTGGGCTAGGGGACATTGGCGGGGAAGGGGCACAAGGGAATCTCCTAGGGTGAGGAAGTTTGCTCGGGGTCACGGTTACACAGGTGTGCACCTATGTAAAATTCATTGAGCTGTATTATGCATTCATGATTGCTGTAGTGTACCGAATGTAAGTTACTCCTCAGTAAGAGAATAAGCCTCCAGGGTATGCTCGATAGGAGGAGTCTCTTGGGAGGGAGCAGCTGCAAGGAGGAGCAGGCAGTGGCCCTGGGCCTGCATATTAGTGCTTCCTTTTTTCAACTCACCCTGCAGGCCCCTGGCTGAGAATTGAGCCTCCTGGTCAGTGATAATGGGAATATCTAACCCACTGGCTGGGGAATAAGGTCATAAACATGTAAATGGCAGTTTACAGCAGGGCGATTTTGGTGGCTTTTATCACCAGTATGTCAGTGCCTTTTATGGCAACTCATAAATATACCTCCTATTTAGTTTCAGCAGATTACAGCCAAGGCCAAGTCATGCCCTCAAGTGGGCTGGACCACATGTCACCTCCAAAGGGCTTTTCTGAGGCCCCAGGACTGCCTGGCAGGAGTGGGACCAGAGGGTCAGCTGTAGCCAACCTGGCTGGAGGAAGTCAGCCCAACACTTTCCTTTGGGGATCCTGATGCAGGAGGGGACAGGGCTTGACCTTAGTAGACCCTCACAACTGCACCCAATATGAGCCAACCTTGTGGTGTCTTCTCCCTAAGCTCAGCCCATCCACTTCTCCCTTCCTCCAAGCACCAGCCCTGTCTCAGACTGCCCCCCATCCATGCTAAACTTCTGAGCACTGGCTCTGCAGGAGAGACCCCCCCCACCAAGGTACCCACATACACTCACTGGGCACAGAGACCACAGTCACCGTTTATTGGGCACCTACTCGACACGGTGCCTCCTGCCCAGCAGCTGTCCACCTCACATGTGTGTGGCACTCATCAGATGACCTGTCCATGGGTGGGTTCCTTTAATCCTCACCACAACCCTGCAAGGTAGGCAGTATTCTGTCCACTTTACAGGTGACAGAACAGAGGCTTTCAGAAAAGTCACCTGGCCATTGTGTCTCCACCTAGCCAGGGTTAGACATTTTCCAACATAACATCCAAGAGCTGCAGCCAGGCAGAAAGCCTGGTCCTGGCCCTGTCCCCTGCACTCCCTCTAGAGTCAACCTCTCCAGGTGGGGCAAAGGGAAGCGAGAAAATACAACAAAGGATTTAAATCCAGAATGTACAGATGGTCCCTGACTTATATGGCTCAACTTGGGATTTTTTTTTACTTTACAATGGTGCAAAAGTCATACACATTTAGTAGAAATCATACTTCAAGTATCCATACGACCATTCTGGTTTTCACTTTGAGCACAATATTTGATAATTACATGAGATATTCAACACTTTATTATAAAACAGGCTTTGTGTTCGGTGACATTTTGTTGTTTGTTTTTGTTTTTGAGATGGAGTTTCACTTTTGTTGCCCAGGCTGGAGTGCAATGGCACAATCTCAGCTCATTGCAACCTCCGCCTCCCAGGTTCATGCGATTCTCCTGCCTCAGCTTCCTGAGTAGCTGGGACTACAGGCATGTGCCACTACGCGTGGCTAATTTTTGTATTTTTAGTAGAAACGGGGTTTCACCATGTTGGCGAGACTGGTCTCGAACTTCTGACCTCAAGTGCTCCGCCCTCCTCAGCCTCCCAAAGTGCTGGGATTATAGGTGTGAGCCACTGTGCCCAGACTGTGTTAGGTGACTTTGACCAACTGTAGGCTAATGTCAGTGTTGTGGGCATGTTTAAGGCAGGCTGGGCTAAGCTATGATGTTCAGTAGGTTAGGCATATTAAATACATTTTCATTTTACAGTATTTTTAACTTGTAAAGGGTTTATTGGGATGAAACTCCACAGCAGGTTGAAGAGCATCTGTATAAAGATCTACAAATGAATAAGGAAAAGATAAAAACCATAGTGGAAAAATGGGGAAAGGATATAAGCAGATTCTTCATGGTAAAAGGAAATAAATAAAATTCAGAGAGGTGAGGGGGAAAAAGAAAAAAAAGGAAATAAAAATGATCACTCAGTAAGAAAAGATAAGCAAACTCATAAGCAATGAGACAAATTCCCATTGAAGAGAGAGGTTTTAGCAAAGTGTTAGTACAACAAGTGCCTATGCTGGGGGTGGGCACAGGCTTTTTGGAGGGTGACTTAGCCCCTGCCCCCCAGCTCAGCAATTCTACTTCCCAGCGCCTCCCCGTAGAGAGCCTGGCAGAGACCTGCACTGTGGCGGCCACTGCAGTGAGCTGTAACAGCACCGCTGAAAACAGCCTGGATGTCCAGCAATAGGGGATGAGGTAAACCCTGTGGGTTTCCCATATATGCACAGCCTAGTGGCAATTACAAGGACTGAGGAGGGAAATGTTTGGCTTTGGGATGCTGTGTGTCTATGGAGACAGACTACTCCCCACTGTGCCCTGCAGCAGAGCAGGCTCTCTGGGAGGCACCCTAGCTGTGGATTCAGGAAGATGGGGCTGGCTAGATGTTTCCTGCCCTGCTTGGAGGTTGGCTTCCCCCATCTCCCACCTGCCCCCATCCCAACCCAAACCTAACTGCAGTGGTTGGGGATAAAGGAGAAAATAAGTCTGGGTGTGATAGCTCATGCCTGAAAATCTAAAACTCTGGGAAGCACAAGCAGGAGGATAGCTTGAGCCCAGGAGTTCAAGACCAGTGTGGACAACATAGTGAGACCTCGTCTCTTGAAAAAAATCAAAACAGGCTGGGTGCGGTGGCTGACGCCTGTAATCCCAGCACTTTGGGAGGTCAAGGTGGGAGGATTGCCTGAGCCCAGAAGTATGCTGGGATTACAAGTGTGAGCCACCATGACCAGCCCTGTATTATGGTTTTTTTTTTTTTTTTTTTTTTTTTTGAGACGGAGTCTCACTCTGTCGCCCAGGCTGAAGTGCAGTGGCACGATCTCAGCTTATCGCAACCTCCGCCTCCCGAGTTCAAGCAATTCTCCTGCCTCAGCTTCCCGAGTAGCTGGGATTACAGGCATCCGCCACCACACCCAGCTAATTTTTGTATTTTTAGTTAGAGACAAGGTTCCACCATGTTGGCCAGGCTGGTCTCGAACTCCTGACCTCAGGTGATCCACCTGCCTCAGCCTCCCAAACTGCTGGGTGTATTATGTTTTTAAAGTAAAAATGCATTCATGTATTTCTTATATAATAAGCCACTAAATAATTTTAAAAGTTTTTTTTTGGCCAGGTGCGGTGGCTCACACCTGTAATCCCAGCACTTTGGGAGGCTGAGGTGGGCAGATCACCTGAGGTTAGGAATTCAAGACCAGCCCGGCTCAGCCTTCCAAGGAGCTGGGATTACAGGCACATGCCACCACGCCTGGCTAATTTGTATTTTTAGTAGAGACAGGGTTTCACCATGTTGGCCAGGCTGGTCTAGAACTCCTGATTCAGATGATCCGCCCACTTTGGCCTCCCAAAGTGCTGGGATTACAGGCATGAGCCACCAAGCCCAGCCAAAATGTTTAAATTAGTAAAGAAAGAAAATTCTGGAATTTTTTGTAGAGGTGGGGTCTCACTAAGTTGCCCAGGCTGGTCTCAAACCCCTAGGCTCAAGCAATCCACCCAAAGTGCTGGGATTACAGGCAGGAGACACTACACCCAGCCTAAAAATTTTTTTTGAAAGCTTAAAACAAGGAAGGAAAAGGGAAAACGGAAGCTAAGGAGACCAGTGAAGAAGCTGTTGGCAAAGGGTGGTAAGACCTGAGCCGGCGTGTCCCCATCTGTGAAATGGGTACACCGATCCCTATGGTCACTGAAGCTGTTGAGAGGACCCCTGCGCTAATGAGAGTGAACTCTGCAGTCTGTGAGGTTGGTGCCCCAGATACTTAGCTGGAGGACAGGACTCTGCCCAAGTCCCTTGTATGGGCCTACCTATGGGGCCACCCTCCTCGCTATGCCTGATCCTCACAGGTTTCAGCACACTGGCCCCAGGTCACAGGGGCCGACCTGGGACATAGAGAAAGATCCAGCCATGGGGCTACCTCCCAGAGCAGACACCAGCCCTTGACGGGCCCAGCAGCCATGTTGGGTCTCCATGCAATTTAGTCTTATGAGCCACAGCTCAGCTTAGACTCAGGCTCCAGGAATAGGTCCCCAAGACACTCTCATTCCCCAGTGGTTCCCAGCAGTATTGGGACAACCAAAATCAGCCTCAAACTGCTCAGGCCTTCCCCAGGGATATGACACTTAGCAGCTCCTGGGGCTGCCCAGGCTGAGAACTACCTATCCCCAGCCCCAGGTAGAGAGCCCCAAGTCTGGCTGTAAGAACAAGGTGAAGCCAAAGACTCAAAAGCAGGTCCTTGCCTCCCGTGACTGCAGGCACAGCCCAGTGAGGGGCAGCAGGGCTGCCAATGGTCCCCTGAATTGGCACCCACTTCCTGGGTTTAGCACCACTGTGGCCTCAAGAGGCCCTAAAGGAGGGTTGTCATGGCATGCACCATGGGTTCCTCACATAGTTCCTCTGGCCCAGGGGAACACGTGTCCTAGAGGCAGCTGCTCCTGGCGTCACTGTTGGTAGGTCCAGATGAAGGACAGGCCTCTGCCTGGGAGTGTCAGGATGCAGAGAGGCTGCCTCATTCCTGCTGCGGCAGCCAGGGTCCCCACACACTCACACTCATGTCAGCGAGGTCACAGGAGGTCGTCTCTACATGAGGCTGTGATAAGGCTGCGTGGGAGCCTGCATGCAGGCTCAGCATCATCCTGCCCGGGCGGGAACCCTGGTCCACCCTTGCTGTAGGACTTCAGTCAAATGACAGCCTCTCTTGACCCTCAGTTTCCCCAACTGCAAAAGTAGCACCCGACAACATGCACTGACCCCCCAGGGCTGCTGGGCGTGCTTGGCTGATGGTTCACTCTCAGAAGTATCTGTCCCTACCCACCTCGTAGGTGCGGTCAGGTGAGTTCTTCTCTGCCTCTGTTTCCACACTGCACCTGGAAGAAGCTGGAGGACCTGCTCTCCTAATTGCTCCTCTACCACTGATGTTGTAAGAAGGGGACACTGACTTGTCACTCTCTGCCAATGTAGGAGCCAGGCACTGTCTCTGTTGGCTCAGGGCTGGGCTCCCAGGAAGTAAAAGCCTAAAGGCTCAGGGAGGCCATTTAAGGTCTAGGGTCCAGTGGACTTTCGGACGCATCGCAGCCTCCGCTGAGCCCTTCTAGCAGGCTTGTGGTGACTGCACCCTGGGGCGGCTGCTCCATTGTTTCCTGTCAGTCCCGCTCATCTGCTCAACAACCCTTTGGAGGAAACACACAGGAGGGTCCTGCCCTCTAGTGGCTGCCGGCGGCCAGGTCTCTCCTCACAGGGCTCCGCCCGCGACCTCAGAGGAGCCCACCGCCCTCTCTGCCTGCTCTAGTGCCTGCCGCACAGCAACAAGCAGGCATTTCCTGGGGGTGAAGCCGAGGCTGGCCCCATGAGCTGACACCCAGCAATCTTCATCTCCGAGCACCTTTGAGTCCTGGGGGGCCCTGCTTCCAGATGTGAGCCCCCAGCCCGTGGGGCTGGGTGGTCCTGGGCTGTGCCACAGGGTTTCAGCCCACCGCGAAGGAGGCCTGACGGTGTCCAGGTCGAGGGCACCTGTGGGCAATGATTGACATAACACTGCAGAGAGAGAGCCTGGTGGGGCACCGGCCTCTGCCCAGGCTGGGTTCCGGGGCCTTCCCCCATGTGCCCACATCCCATGCTTCCCCCGTTACAGCCTCTGCCGTCAGACTGCGCACCAGCATCTGTGGGTGAGGAGAGAACCTGGGCTGGGGCTTGACACAAAAGGGGCTTTGCCTCTGGACACCCCCACCTGTGCCGCAAGTGGAGGGGGCGGGGAAACGGGGAGGAGGGAAAGTAAGCGGAAGTCCCGCCTCTGTGGAAGCGCCTCTGCACCCTTTGTCCCCCAAGGGAAGCACAAGTGTGTGGCCAGTCAGATAAAGCAGGCCTTTCCTTGCCTTTATGGAGCCACGGGCTGAGGCTGGACCAAGGGTCAGTGAGGGGTTCAGGAGGCCCCCTCTGCGCCTCTCTTCCAGGCCCTGAGCCCATCATTCCCTTCGTTGTTAGAGTGAAACTGTGAAGAGCCGCAGCTCTGTGCCGGGCGAAGAGGATTTGGCAGTGAAAAGGATGAGCTTGCCTTGCCCTGGGGGCAACTGGCACCTGGGGTAAGAGGTGGCCGGTGAGAGCCTGAGCCCTCTGGAGAGCAGAGGCCCCGTTGTGCACAGAGCCAGTATACCCAATGCTCGGGGAGCTCCCAACAACCCTACCCAGCCCTGCGGGAGACCACAAAGCTCTAGGGAAGAGCCTGTCCCAGGAAGCACAGGGCTTCGAAGTTCTGACAAGGACATCGGAGTTCCAGGCCCACCCCACACATGCACACACTTCCTGCTTCCAATTAGCACTAATTGGACGACTGGGAAAACCCACAGACCATGAAGCAGAAGCAGTTAGGTCTGCGGGGCCCCGGTGAGGCAGGCCCTGCGAGGGCCCAGGTGAGCCAGGCTCTGGGGGATGGGCCCTGGGGTCTCTGTCTCTCTGAGAGGGGATCAGGTGATCAGGGCCACATCTGCCAGGATCCCTACTGGCCCCTCTGGAAGACGGAAATTGTCCCAGGGCCAGGGCAGAAGCTGGGTGTGGGGGAGCCTGACAAACACCCCCTCTCAGCCTGGCATTTAAGGCTCCCCTAAACCTGGCCCTACCAGCATCCCCCCTCCCAACCTGGTCTCTTTCATTTCTTCTGCTCCTAGTTCTCACTGCCTAAGTCACCCACTGATTAATTCTTTATGTCACTCCATCTATTCATGTATTACGTGTCCAGGAGCCCTCCTGTGGCCAGATCCTGGGACCACAGAGATGGATGTGCCAGGCTTGGCTGGTCAGGTGGACCTTGGAGCCAGGACCTTTTCCAGGGTCCCCAGAGCACTGGATGGTCAGAATCAAAACAGGGCTAAGGCAGGTCCAGGGGAGGGGAGGGTCCTGATGCTCACCTCCTTCCTACTTGAGCAGCCCTCTCTCCTACCACCTATCCAGCTAGGCCTGGGCCCAGGTTGGCAGAGACCACATTGCAGGGCAACCCCTCTGCTGGCTCCACTTCATTCTTGGTGGGAAGAAGGAGGCCAGGCTGAGCACTGCATGCGTATGAATAGAAGTATCAGCTTTGCTTGGCACTCTCTGGGTGAGGCTTTGTGTCCCTTGATCCTTTAGACCGCACTCAGGGTATGTGCCAGGCTGTGTCCACATCCATGGCCAAGCTCAAGACAGAAGCTCTGCCAGGAACAGCTAGGACTAGGGGGCAAGAAGAGAAGCAGGCACCAAATCTGAGCTGCTCTGGGGTGGGTCTAGCCCGTGGGGAGAAGCAGGGACTGGCCCTTAGCAAGAGGCTGGCTCTGGAACTTGCATGCTGGAGTAGTCTGGGCCCCAGCCCCAGAGTGAGGGCCCCGAGTCAACCCTTTATATAATACTGCATGGCTCAGGCCCTCAGCCCTGAGCAGGGGTAGTGAGAACAAGGCCCCTTGCCCCACAGGTGTATGTCGGGCCTGACCCTTGGGCCCCGTTCTCCAGAACATCCCCACCACAGAGACAGAGGCTCAGCTCCACTCCCTTCCCTTCCCCTGCTTAGAGACCAACCTGGTCCTGGGCAATTTGGTGTTGCCATGACAACCACATACTTTCTTCTTCCCCACTTAGCCGATTGAATCTGAGTTGCAGATGAAATCCTGGTGAGTTGTGTGTTTAGAAAGCATGCGGCCATTTGGAGTGCTCCATGCATCTTTCATCTCCCAGACACCTCTGACACCCATCCCTTGTCTCTTGATGGCTGAGGGAGAGGATATGCGGCCTGTACCCTCTCCCTATGCCTGGGGTAGTCCTGGCCCAATGGCACAGCCTCCTTGAGGTACAGCCTCTGGCATGCAGGAACACATGGATGACATTCTCATGGGCAGCCTCTGTGGTGAGTGGGCCCTGTGAGCTGGATGGCAGTCACCAGGAGCCTCCGACAATGCATAGTCCTCTCCATCGTGAGGCATGTGGTGTCTGGGTAAGAGCTCTTGACTCAGGAGGCTCTCTCTGTCCCCTTCAGGAATGTGTGCTGCCCTTAAGGACTTGGGCCACCAAGACTGGGAGTTGCTGGCCAGGGGCCCCCAGCATCATCTTAACCTTCATGCATTCCCTAGGGCTGACCTTAGCCTCCTCTGACCAGCAATGAAGAGTCACCTGCAGCACAAAGCTGGCTGGGAGCAGGCTCAGAGCTCAGCCCCGAGATGGGGGAGACGAGACACAGGGAAGTAGTAAAAGTGGCCCCATCTGTGATGAGCAGGGTGCTGGTGGCCCTGGGAGGCAACCTCAGCTTGGCAGTTGGGTAGGGCTGGTTTAGCAAGTTTAAGGGGAAGTTAACATGGGGTGATCAGAGAAAAGTGGGGCTGGCTCTTTCTCCGATCTGCCTGGGTGGGGGATGGAAATCAGCATGGGGCATCTTACCAGGAATGGTCACCCAGGATGGACAGGGAGACCTGCCTCTGTCCTCTACACTCAGGGCCTGAGGCCCCTGCCCCACACTGCAGATGTTAAACCCACAAAGTGGTCCCATTTGTGTGGCTGCCGCCCCACTGGGCTGCAGCATCCTGGGCAGGCGGTTGGCCCTTGAGCATAACTGTACCTCCTTATCTAGGCCTGCATTTCCACCCGGATCTTACTACCTCTCTGAGCCTCAATGTCTTCCCTCTGGGGAAGGGAGGCAGGGGCAAACGGATAGGTTGGTAAGAGTGGAATAAGTAGTGAGGGGTTCCTGGAGCAATGTCTCCAGGGAAAGCACACCTGCTGGGTGTATTTGGTCAGATTTGTATGATTTTGTAGGGAAGAATATAAAGTACAAATATAAAAAAGCAAATAAAAAAGACAGATAATTATAGCTTGAGGAAAAACAAAGAATCATAGCAGAAAGGAAATAGAATACTACTTGGTTTAGCAGAAAACAATGTTTGCGTAGCGTTAAACATGTAAACACTGAATATCAACTTACGCCAAATCATAGCATTTGAAGGATGGGGAGGAAATGTATGGAGAGGTGGCTATCAGCTCATTTTCCATAGTAGGAAATCAATGTTCTAAAGGTGAAAGAGGCAGGGTGCAGTGGCTCATGCTTGTAATCCCAACAATTTGGGCCAAGGCAGGAGGATCGCTTGAGGCCAGGAGTTCAAGACCAGCCTGGGCAACATAGTGTGACCCCATCTCTACAAATCATTTTAAAATTAGGCATGGTAGCACACACTTGTAGTCCCAGCGACTCGGGAGGCTGAAGTGGGAGGATTGCTTGACCCCAGGAGTTTGAGGCTGCAGTGAGCTGTGATTGTGCCACTGCTCTCCAGCTCAGCCTGGGCAACAGAGGGAGACCTCATCTCAAAAAAAAAAAAAAAGAGTGAAAGAGTCAAAAGAACTGAAAGCAATGGGTCAAGAAGAGGGGAATCAGTATTTCCAGCCTTGCAGTATTGCTCAACCTTAAAACTATGGGTCAAGAAGAGGGGAATTAGTATTTCCAGCCTTGCAGTATTGTTCAACCTTTAAAACTATGTACCATACGTGTATTGTTTTGATCAAAAGAGAAATTAAATATAAAAGCAGGTAGGATTAATATAAAACCTCTTAAACACTGAGGCTTGAGAGGTTTAGTAAACTGCCCAAGATCATGGTGTAAAGGACACAGCAGAGCTGGAACCTACACTAGGGTCTGTCTGTGCCAGAGCCCACAGCAGGCATGAGCGTGGAGTGATCTTGTCAAAACCTTAGAATCCACCCTTGGACCAGGCAGCTCAAAGACCTTCCCCAAGCACCAATGCATGCTACAAAGATGAGCCTCCAGCATAAGGGGCTGCACCCCATGCCTGTGGGCAGGGAAACAAGGCCCTTGAGCAAACCCCTTCCAAAGCCACTAGCCCACAGAGGCCCTGTCGCCCACAGAAGGAGCCAGAGCAGTTGGCAGAGCCCCTTCCTCGGCTGTTCCGCTTCTGTTTACTGGGTGGCTTTTGTTCCCTAGCTTCCCATCCAGCTAGGCTGGTTAATCAGATTCTCTGAGGGGAGGGCTGGGGCATCAGTGACTTTACTGACACCCAGAGGAATTGCTTCTTGGGAAGCAATTACTTGTGACAGGTGCACACTCCCAGCGGCTGAGCTTGTCTGTGGCTGAGGATGCCGTGGAGCCTGGGGGGACAGGTCCTTGTTGCTGGCTTGTGCTCAGCAGGGACACCAAGGTCCACTGCTCCTCCATGGTTTTCTTGGCCTCTGCAGGAGGAAAGACTGTCAGCTGAATGACCAAGTGACAGGTTGCCACGATGTCACAATTAATACAGACCATTGACTGGGAGGCTGGCATCATGCAAAGCCCTTTTCAGATGTGGAACCCAGGCGATCTGAACGGTTTGGCCCACTGACCTACAGGTCCTGAGTCTCAGGCTCCAGGCTGGCTGGTCATCAACTCAATATGACCTGGGCAGGCTCCCTTCCATCCTAGGCTCTCTTAGGGGCGAGGCTGGGGCTGAGAGGCGGTGAAGTTCACTCTCAGGGTTCATCAGCAGGCAAAATGGAGAAGGAGACCAGGCTCTTGGAGGACTCTGTGTCAGGATATTCACTTAACAGTTTACAACATAGAAAGTGCTGGGAATAACCTGCAATGGCATATTATAGTAAAAAAGGATGCTGTGCAGGACAGTGTGAGCACGGCACAGGTGCGTACCACGGGCAAAGTCAGGACTGGCCTCGGGCAGGACATGGACCCAGTGTTTCTGTGACTTTCTGCAGGGCACTGGTTGCCCTCAGGATAATTTGTAATTAAATAGCAAGAAATACATAAAATACATAATATCAGGAGATAAAATCACTTATCAGGAAAAATAACACATGGTATAGAATATTTTAAACTTGGCCAGGCACAGTGGCTCACGCCTGTAATCCCAGTACTTTAGGAGGTCGAGGTGGGAGGATCAAGAGTGTGAGACTAGCCTGGGCAACATAGTGAGACCCCATCTCTACTAATAATTTTTAAAAAATTAGTCGGGTATGGTGGCTCATGCCTGTGGTCCCAGCTACTCCAGAGGCTGAGGCTAGAGGATCACTTGAGCCCTGGAGATTGAGGCTGCAGTAAGCTATGATTGCATCACTGCACTCCAGCCCAGGCAGCAGCTCCAGATCCTGTTTCAAAAAAAGGAATATTTTAATCTCCACCGTGACCTCTGTGCTGGACTAGCTCCCCTGCAGGACCCAGGCTCCAGCCTTGGTATGCACAGGCCCACTGGCTCTCCAACTCTCCATTCCACCCCAAAGAACTGCTGAACCCCAACTTTTCCTTGGCCCCACAATGGCCCTGGAGCAAGAGTGAGCAGGGATTATTAGAACCTTCTGCAGATGGAGAAAAGGCAAAGCTACCTGCTAGATCTCACAAGGAGTAAAAGGCAGGGCTGGGATCGGAATACAGTTCCGGGCTCTCCAGCTCTGTTGATTGTCTGGATCAACAGCAGGTCCTCTGGCCCAGTGGGCAGTGGGGATGTGGTAAAACATCATTTCCAAGCTTCAAAGGCAACCAGGACTCCTGCACAGTTGAAGGGAATGTCCCACAGACGCTGATAGAAATGAGGGAGGCCTTTAGCAGTGGGCTGTCGGATCAGAACCAGGTACACTCAGGTCACGGCTCTTTGACAATGAGAAGGAGGAAGAGGAAGGCCTGATGGATCCCCACTACTCAGATATGACCCACACCCCAAATGTCCATGGCCTCACACCTTCCCCAAGGATCAGCGCTGGGCCCAGACACATCTGGTGTCTCCCTGATGTCCACAAGTCTGTAGGCAGAACACTCTTCCCTTCCCAGGAAAACTCCACCTTATCAATAGTGTTCAGGACAGCACCCTAGGCTGGGCACAGTGGCTCACATGTGTAATCCCAGCACTTTGGGAGGCTGAGACGAGTGGATCACCTGAGGTCAGGAGTTCGAGACCAGTCTGGCCAACAGGGCAAAACCCTGTCTCTAGTAAAAATAGAAAAATTAGCTGGGCATGGTGGTGGGCGCCTGTAATCCCAGCTACTTGAGAGGCTGAGGCAGGAGAATCGCAGAGGTTGCAGTGAGCCTAGATCGCACTACTGCACACCAGCCTGGGCAACAGACCACGACTCTGTCAAAAGAAAAAGACAGCACCCTCTGGGCATCCTAAATTCAAAGCTGCTTCTGGCAGGAGAAACCAGTCCATCTTAACCTGGCATCCTACATCCCAGTGAAGTAAAAAAAACAACAAAGCAAATCAGTGTTTGCAACAAAACAAAACTCAGCAAGTTTCTGGATCAGCCTGTGATGAGTGGGTTCAAGGTGAGGACATTGGCAATTGGTGGGTGAGGCCATGTGGGGGTGCAGGGGTGTCCTCGTGGGCCACCGTGGCCCGGGCCTTGGAAAGCCGAGACCAGGAGAGCTCATGCCTGTGGCCACCCAACACATGGCAGGGCCCATTCATGCCTTTCCACTTTCTTCAGAAACTGCCACAGCAGCTGTCCCTCCCTGGACAAAGCCACCTTCTTTCCTGACGCCAGGGCCCCATTTTCTTTCTGTCTTAATCTAAGGCTGATGGGAAATATAAACAACTAGCTGAGGCAATTTCTGAAATTGGTGGAAATCATTTAACAAGCTTCTGGAGCATCCCTTCTTGTCCTGGGGAGGTGTGCGGAATGTGTGTCTGAAAGAGCATTTGCTGGCAGCCATGGCGTTTCTTCCCCGGGCCTAGTCACTGGGGTTTCCAAGGCTAAGGACACCTCAAATCCACATCCAGATGCCTGGCTCTGCACAGTCTCCCTGCCTGACACCCTTACCCGCCAAAGCTCCTGCAGGGCCAGCTGGGCCTAAAAGCAGTTTTCGTTTCTTCTTCACCTGCAGCTTCGTCTTTCAGGAGAGGGTAAAGCAATGTTTCCATTGGAATTTTAAAAGATGCTCCACCACCACGTGCACTTCTGTGGACTGGGGTTAGGTGGGAGGAGGAAGCAGTAGTGGGGAAACAAACGATTCCAGGGACCACAGTCCCTCTGTAACCTTGTGTTGGGCAGATTTAAAATTCCACTCGTTCAAGTCCACTAGGCTAGAGCTAGGCATCCCTGTCTAGTGCTTTACCTACCTCCTCTCACTCCTTACTACACCCTATGAGGCAAGTGCTATTGTGCCCATTTTTAGATGAGTAAACTGAGGCACAGGGGGATCAAGCACTTTGCTCAAAGATTCACAGCTTGAAGGGGGTAGGGTAGCAGGGTAGCTGGGCTGGGTCCAGTGACTAGGCCTGGGGAAGCAAAGCCACAGCTGCCTCAAAGCCCTCTCTGGACACGTTTCCCTCCCCGCCAAACTCCTGGCCCCACCACACACACCTGCCTTTCTAATTCTCAAGGGAGAAAGAATATAGGGCTGTTGCAAGAAAGGACGAGGAGCCTGATGGGGACAGAGCAGCCTAGGGGGGTCATAAGAACAGGGCCACCAGGCCTGACACAGGCGAGTGCCTCCCTGGCTGGGGCATGGGGAGAGGTGTGAGGATGAGGCTGGGCAGTGCTGGTTCCAGGGCTCCTGAGGACATCATAAGAACCAGCCCAAATGAAGCCAAGGGAAAGAAACGGTGACCTGAGTTCATCAACGCCATGCATTCTAGGCCAGGTGCCTTCTGCAGGTAATGGGGCTAAAGGAAAAGCCATTAAATCATGAGTATTTATAATGCCCTCGCCCTCCCTCCTTTGCTGGCTCAGCCACAGCAGGCCTTTGAGCTGGATCATTAGGGGTGAGGGTGGAGAGGAGCAGAGCCTGGCACAGCCATAGAGGTGAGGTGCAGGGTGTAGGGAGAGAACTACCTCGGCACGGGGATTGGAAGAGGAAAGAAGGGTGGATGTGGGTCAAGTGGACACCCAGGAAGCCTTGCTGCGGCTTGGGGTTTCCAAGGCTTTTGGAGCTGAATTTGCCTCCCATTTCTGTTCTCCTTTCATCTTTCCTGGACCACGTAAGGTGGGTGACAGATGAGGAAACTGAGGCACAGAGAGGCAAGATCTCCTGCCCATGGTTCCAAAGTGAGGAATTAGACCCGAGAGGCCAAAAGTGAGGTGCCTTCCCACTCCTTGGTGGTGCTGCCCAGGGTCAAAGCCCCAACAGTCAGGGACCCTGGGATATACAAAACCTTTTCTTTGTAATGTACCATAATTTTTTTGGGCCAGATTTATTTCTCCCAAATATTTCTTATCATGCCAATGTTTGTGCGAAACAATTACCCTAAATTCCTTAAGATGGGATGAAGACAGAGGCAGGGGAGGAACTGTAGAGAAAAATAAGCCATGGAAGGTCAGGGATGGATTGAAAACAAATCCTGTGGGTTCCAAACTTGCTGGATTTTTAGTTTTGTTTTGTTTTTGAAACAGAGTCTCACTCTGTCACCCAGGCTGGAGTGCAGCGGTGTGATCATGGCTTATTGCAGCCTCGACTTCCCGGGCTCCAGTGATCTTCCCGCCTCAGCCTCCTGAGTAGCTGGGACCACAGGCGAGAGCCACCACGCCCAGCTAATTTTTTATTATTTATAGAAACAGAATCTCCCTATGTGGCCCAGGCTGGTCTCAAACTCCTGGGCTCTAATAGAGGGAGGAACTTGGCCAGCCGTGGTGGCTCATGCCTGTAATTCTAGCACTTTGGGAGGCCAAGGTGGGTGGGTTGCTTGAGGCCAGGAGTTCAAAACCAGCCTGACCACATGCAAAACCCCATCTCTACTAAACATACAAAAATTAGTTGAGTGTGGTGGTGCACACCTGTAATCCCAGCTACTCAGGAGGCTGAGGCAGGAGAATTGCTTGAACCTGGGAGGTGGAGGTTGCAGTGAGCTGAGATCGTGCCACTGCACTCCAGCCTGGGTGATAGAGCAAGACTGTCGCAAAAAAAGTAAAATGAAATAATAATAACAATAATGATAATAATAATAATAGAGGGGGGAAATTAGCCCAGAGCTAAAGGGGGCTGTGTAATCAGACAGTCCAGGGGTTGACCCCAGTTGTGTGGCTCAGGGAAAATCGAGTCACTTCTCTGTGCCTCCGTTTCCTCACCTGTAGCCCATAGATAATAGATGGAGTCTGTTGTGAAGATCTCACAGGTAACACCTGTAAAATGTGTCTCCCCACAAACCCGGCACATGCTCAGGGCTCTGTAACTGCTGGAGTGGGGAGACTTGTTCAAGGCCACCCACGAATCTGAGAAGGGCAGTTGGGTGGGGGTGGGGAAGTATAATGGAAGGCATGGACGCAACATGCTGTGCCGTTTAGAAGATGAAATACACATGAAGCAAAACCCTGTTCGTGTACTTCAAAAGACAGACACAGGGCCGGGCATGGCGGCTCATGCCTGTAATCCCAGCACTTTGGGAGGCTAAGGTGGGAGGGTCACTTGAAGTCAGGAGTTCAAGACCAGCCTGGCCAAAATGGTGAAACCCCATCTCTAATAAAAATACTTTAAAAAAATTAGCTGGGTGTGGCGGTGGGCACCTGTAATCCCAACTATTCGGCAGGCTGAGGCAGGAGAGTCACTTGAGCCTGGGAGGCAGAGGTTGCAGTGACCTGAGATTGCGCCACTGCACCCCAGCCTGGGTGACAGAGTGAGATTCCATCTCAAAAAAAAAAAAAAAAAAAAAAAGACACAGGCTGGGAGCAGTGGCTCACGCCTGTAATCCCAGCACTTTGGGAGGACAAGCTGGGAGGATCACTTGAGCTTAGGAGTGTAAGACCAGTCTGGGCAACATAGTGAGACTCTGTCTCTACTAAAAATTAAAAAAAAAAAAAAAAATTAGGCAGGTACTCAGGAGGCTGAGGTGGGAGGATCTCTTGAGCCCAGGAGATTAAGGCTGCAGGGAGCTATGGTCATGCCACTGCACTCCAGCCTGGGCAACAGAGCAAGACCCTATCTAAAAAAAAAAAAAAAAAAAGTAAATAAATAAAAGACATGGTCGCAGGTGGATTTCTCCAGTGATGGTGCAGATGGAAGAAGTGCTGAACACAGGGCACCCCTGGGGTCCTTCCACCCAGGGCCCGGCGCTTGGCCCTGTGCTTGCAGATCTGCGGCAGGCAGAGCTGAGAGCAGGCAAAGACAAGTCACCACTGTGCTTGGGCATCCTGCCCACCAGCCCCACCGGGCAGCCAGAGCTCCACATGGTTTCCATCATGGTTACAAAATAAACAAATGCAAGTCACTCTGTCCCTTCTGTGGCCCCCCACAGCCCGACATCTGCACATCTGCGAGAACATTCTCTCGTCATTAGAGAGATGCCACTTGGGGATCTCAGAAGCCATGTGGGGAAGACAGAAACCTTCAGCTCTAGTTCAGGAACATTAAACACACCATGCTATCCCAGTTTGTTCATAAAATTCTTGTGTTAATGTCCTAGGGGAAACAAAAAGGATAGCTATTTTAGCAGCATTCTCTAGTTTGGTTGGGATTCTGTGTGGAGAAGAGCTCTGTTTTCCTTCTGGCTGCAATGTCTTGATTCTCTGGGTCTTTGTGGTTCTCCCTGCATGGCCCTGCCGGGCTCTGGTGAGGGAAGATAAGAGTGTGCTCCAAGGCTGGCGAGGCTGGGGTTTTCGTCTGCACCTGGTGAAAGGACTGGCTCCTACATCACCAGCTTCCCTCTGAATATTTTCAGAATTCTCCTGGGAACAGTGGTGGACAACAAAAGCCTTCTGAAAGAGGTCCTCTGGCACCCCTTATGCCATTCCCCTGGTGTTACCTTTTGTGATTTTCAAATGAAAGGGCAAAGAAGTGAGGAGTAGATGAGCCGGGAACAAAACTGGCGCTGCCCGCAGACAGTCATGCTTTCATTTCAGGCTCCCCCTGCTCTCCCACCCCACATGGCCACGTGGAAGCCGCACACTATTAGTTCCACATAATTGGAAAGGGTGTCAGGATCTCCCAGACATTAACCAGAAACATGCTGCTCAGTTGTCACCTCCAATGTGACTAATGCAGCCGTGTCTTAATTAGTCACTGCTCACTGACTGCGATGACAGCTCCCGAGCCTGTTCCAAGGCCCCAACCTGTGATGGGGCACTGCAGAGCAGATTAAAGGTGAGAGGCCGCTGGGAAGGAAGGACCAGGAGTTGCCAGTTTTTCAGGTCTCTTTCCCACTGAGCACTGTGAACCCAGGTGGCCTCTGCCAAACCCCTTTGTCAACATTGTGACAGTAGAGTCAATAGGGTCATAACATTGGGACACATTTATTGGAGGGAGAGAAGAAATGTGACAGGGAAATGGTCTAGAAGATTCCTTCACAAGTCAGCTGTTATGTCACGGGTCCCCATGCAGCTCCCTGGGGAAGGGGCGATGAGGGATGAACCGTGCCACTCTGACTGGCCTACACCTAGCAAATGCTGCTCAGGCCAGGGTGGCCCATCTACTGGCTAATGTATGACCTGTGATCTACAGTGGCTGTCTTATAATCTGTGCCAGTTCCATTTCTCCTGCAGGGGCTTTGCACTCAGAAGCAAGGAGGAGGGAGGGGGCTGGGGGCGGGAAGTAAAAGGTGAGAGACTGCCCCCTCAGTGGAAGTGCCTAGGCCTCTACCCTGAGAGCAGTAGCCATGTCTGGGTCCTCCTCCTCTCACTGCCCACCAGCCTGAGGGCTGGCCTGCTGTCTGGGCCCCAGGAAAAATGAGAATCACCCCACGGTGAAGCCGGGAGAAGCAGAGAGGGCTGGGAGCTGCCCCAGAGCCTGGCCCCTGCCAGCCTCACAGTGAGGCAGCCTCCAGGCACCACCTCCCTGCTCCTGGCATCCCCTTCCCTCCTTCCTAAGCGCCCAGGGCCCAGTGTTCATTCGGCCTCACAGGTGGAGCACCCAGGGCCCTTTAACTCTTCAGGCCCCTCAGAAATGAGATGAAGACAAAATTTACTGGCTCCGAAATAGAACGTTTCAAAATTGCTTTTTCAATGCTTTTTCAATTGCTACAGAACATACCACCATATCAGTTAGGCAGCCACCACTCTTGTGTCCTTATCCTTATATACGATTGTGTTCAACATGGGACATGATATACTGCAATAGGTTCCACAAGCTGGGGGTGGGGTCTCCAAACGTGTGTGGAGCCTGCAGAGGTAGGGACAGAGTTCCGGGCACACTTACTTTGCCGAGCATCTATGACTTGCAAGGAAAGACCTAATTCGCACATCTCACCTCCAGCACTTTCTTTTTAAGCCGCGCTTCCCAAGAAGAATGGAAAAGTCAACTGGTGAAGAATCGACTGCGCTGGAACAAGGGCTAACTGCTGCTAATTCATCTGAAGGATAATTGAGAAGTATTTATAAGTCTTCCTTCATTAGGCCCCTAAAGGAGGCTGAACTACATTAAGAGCCCATCTTCCCAATTGTGCTCTGATACACCCAGACAGTTCTGGTTAAAAATGAGTAACACTAAATAATGGGACTGATTATGCCAAGGTAATTGGGGACTGACTGATAATGCAAATCAGTAAGTCTTCCCTCTCCTCAAATTCTTCAAGTAAAACACCTTTTCTGCCACCTTGAAAGCTAGTTAGCAAATGAAATATTTACAACATTAAGGACCAATTCACTCAGGTAAGTAAATAATAGTGAAGCAAATAATTTTTCGTCTGCATCTGATTGTCTCAGAAGTCTCATTTCCAAATTAAATACACAAGTCTCAGTTACTTCCTGGACACTCATGGAATATTCAGTAAATAAATTTTAGAGTAGTGATCTTGTTCAGTTGCTTTTTTTTCTTTTTTACTTATTTTTTTGGAAACAGAGTCTCGCTCTGTCACCCAGGCTGGAGTGCAGTGGCGCGATCTTGGCTCACTGCAACCTCTGCCTCCCGGGTTCAAGTGACTCTCCTGCCTCAGCCTCCTGAGTAGCTGGAATTACAGGCATCTGCCACCATGCCCGGCTAATTTTTGCATTTTTAGTAGTGACGGGGTTTCACCATGTTGGCCAGACTGGTCTCAAACTCCTGACCTCAGGCGATCCACCTGCCTCGGCCTCCCAAAGTGCTGGGATTACAGGCGGGAGCCACCGCGCCCGGCTTTCAGTTGCTTTTTCTAGTCCATTGTGTTTCATTGTCTTTGAGAAATTTCTAGGGGACCCCTGATACTTGAGCCTTAGCTCATCTTCTTTCCAAATCTGGTCCTTTCTGACAGGCTCCACAGGCCTCCCGGCTTCCAGTGTGCCTTCCAGAACTCTTCCTTAGGGCCACTGAGAACCTTGTGCAAGCAGCTTCATGAGTCCGTGGGTCAGCTCCCAAAGGTGCTCAGGATCGAGCTGCTGGTGGAAGCTCTCCTCACTAGCAAGCCCCCTGCACACCCGTCTCACTTGCCATCGGTGCCTGGCCCCCATAAACTGCAGGAGTGTGTAAATATGTGAAGGAGGCCAGGCGCGGTGGCTCACGCCTGTAATCCCAGCACTTTGGGAGGCGGAGGCAGGCAGATCACTTGCGGTCAGGAGTTCCAGACCAGCCTGGCCAACATGGTGAAACCCCCTCCCTACTAAAAATACAAAAATTAGCCAGGTGTGGTGGTGCATGCCTGCAGTCCCAGCTACTGGGAGGCTGAGGCACGAGAATTGCTTGCACCTGGGAGGCAGAAGTTGCTGTGAGCCAAGATCGTGCCACTGCACTCCAGCCCGGGCAACAGAACGAGACTCTCTCAAAAAATAAATAAAATATGTGAAGGATATCCCCTGTTCGGATTCTCTCTCTTCTTTAGTCCCCACCCCGTTTTCAGCCATGGCTCTTCTAAGACTAGGCCAGGGATCATGCTGCCCCTGATTTCCCACTGTGAACTGAACTCCATCCATCCCAGAGGCCACACAGCAACACTCACAGCTCCCACCGTCCGGGCCTGCCCAGCCTCTCACCTGAGCCCCTCCTCCTCCAGGTTCTGGATGCTCCCAGCTCCTGCCTGTCTCTTCCTCAACATCAAAAGCTGCTCAGGAAATAATTTTTTTTTTTTTTGGAGTGGGGGGACAGGGTCTTGCTCTGTCATCCAGGTTGGAGCGCGAACATGCTCATTGCAGCCTTGAAATCCTGGGCTCAAGCAATCCTTTGCACCTCAGCCTCCCGTATAGGAACTACAGGTGCGTGCCACCACGCCCAGCTAGTTTTTAAATTTTTTTGTAGAGATGGGGTCTCCCTGTGTTGCCCAGGTTGGTCTCAAAATCCCGGGCTCAAGCAATCCTCCTGCTTCAGCCTCCGAAAGTGTTGAGATTATAGGCGCAAGCCACAACGCCTGGCCCGGCAAAGAATTCTTTTTTCTTTTTTCCTCTCACTAGAGAACAAAAAGGAAATAAATCTTGATGGGGTTATTTTACATCTTAGTGTGAATGAGTCACCGAGTTCTCTGCGGAATCTGAATTTCCAGTATCCTCTCTAATTCTGGAAATAACAGTCTTTGAACTAGGTGAAAGGAAATTCTGGAAATAACAGTCTTTGAACTAGGTGAAAGGAAATTCTATCACCTGATGGAGGAGGATATTAGAGTGAAGGGGCTGTCCTAGACCCCCTGAAATCACACACTTGCCCTGCTCTGTGCTGAAACTAGTCCTGACTTCTCAAGGAATGGCCGTTTAATAAACAAACAAAACAAGGACCAGGCCAGATGGAGAAGACAGGAGAGAAGTCCCGCAAACAACGGGAAATACAGCTTAAGGGGGGATGGGGAGAGGAGCAAAGGAGACACCACAGGCCTTTCAGTCCCAGACACAGGAGGTGCCAGGATACCATCCCTCTTCCAAAGTCAAGAAGCCCAGTCCCAGCTACAACATCAACAGAGAGAGAAACGTTCCAGCTGAGGAACACCAAAGGTTCACATCCTCAAGTTACTTACCTACCCTCCTTATGAAATTAAAGAATTTTTGTCCCTTTTGGAGGGAGAAGGGGTATGAAAGAAGAAAGGTCTTTTCAAAAGTGTGAAGAAAATATTTTATTTCTTATTAAACCAGGGGACTGATGTGAAACTAGCAACAGGAATGCATGATTAAGGAAAAAAAATGGCTGGTCTGGAATCCCAGCACTTTGGGAGGCTGAGGCAGGAGGATCACTTGAGCCCAGGAGTTCAAGGCAACAGTGAGATCCAGTCTCTACAAAAAAAAATTAGAAATTAGCTGGGTGAGGTAGCACACACCTGTGATCCCAGCTACTCAGGAGGCTGAGGTGGGAGGATTGCTTGAGCCCAGGAGTTTGAGGCTGCAATGAGCTATGATGACACCACTGCACTCCAGCCTGGGCGAGAGGAGAGAGTGAGACCTTGTCTCTGAAAAGAAAAGAATAGGCCAGGAGCGGTGGCTCACGCCTGTAATCCCAGCACTTTGGGAGGCTGAGGCGGGCGGATCACAAGGTCAGGAGTTCAAGACCAGCCTGGCCAATATGGTGAAACCCTGTCTCTACTAAAAATACAAAAATTAGCCGGGTGTGGTGGCAGGCGCCTGTAGCCCCAGCTACTCAGGAGGCTGAGGCAAGAGAATCGCTTGAACCCAGGAGGCAGAGCTCGCAGTGAGCCGAGATCGCGCTACTGCACTCCAGCCTGGGCGACAGAGTGAGACTCTGTCTCAATAAATAAATAAATAAAGACAGGAGGAAGGAGGGGCCCTGCTTGAATCAGGTTGGGAAGTGGCTGGGAACAGGGCAGAGTAGCGGTTCCAGAGCCAGAAGTTGCCATCAGGTAAGCATTAAACAGCACAGCAGCAGCTCCTCACTGAGAGACCCCAAGCCAAATCTGAAGTGACCAACAGTTACCTGTGGCCAGAGGAGCACAGGAAGTCAGCGATACTGTTCTTCTCACCAACGAATGCTCCTTCCTTTCATAAAGGTTGTGCCTCAGAGACTTGTTTCCATGGAGAAGTAGCCTCACTATAAGTGGTATTGAAAGCCAAAAGTATGATTTCTGCTCCCCAAATCCACTTGGGTAAAGTGAGGCAGGCTGGCCCACATGTATGCAAGCTCCCTGAGGCACAGCTGTGGCTCTAGGGGGTCCAGCAGGGGAAATGCCAGAGGCCTGGTCAGGTCCAGCTGAGCTTTAGGGAGGCACCAGAGGCAGAGAACCACAGAGGACCTGCTGCCAAAGTGCTGACAGCCCAGGCGGCAGGGCTAGTCCTGGGAAAACACGCAGCCACATGTACAACTCTCCCTAGATACAGGGAAGCAGGACACCGGAAGAAGCCCTGGGCTGCCTTTGCGGCTGGCTGTCTTTCAAGAGGAGCTGGCCCTGACAGCAGCACTGGGCGAACAGCAGGGGAGGGATGAGAGAGTGAGCACTGCCTTCAGACATAGAGCCTCTCTCAAGCTGAGAGAGCACAAGCCTGGGGAGTCCTGCTCCCAGAGACCCCGGAGTCACAAGGCTGCTTGTAGAGCAGCAGCTCTGTTCCTGGAGCAGAGAACAGGCACTGTGAGCATGAGCATGATGGTCCTGGGCCTGTCACGAAGGAAGACAATGGGGCATGCCAACCTTGGTGGCATCAAAGCCACGTGGGCTTGCCAGAAAAGCCAATCTCAGAGCCCTCCTCCTGGGAGACACAGACCCTGAAGGCCTGGAGTGGGTCCTGGGAAGCCATGTTCTGACTTGCAATCCAGGTGATTCCGAGGCAGGTAGAATGAGGATCATGCTTGAGTCTGGGGTCAGGTGGGCACGGGATAGGTGCAGGGTTCCGGGAGGGTGATCAGCAGCTGCAGAGAAGCAGCTCATGAGGACTGAAGGTCCCTTTCTGTGGATGCCAGGGACAGAGAAAGGACATGGGAGGGAAGGAGGACTGCCTTCCGTGTGTGCTCCACTTGACCCTATGGGACCATCCATTTTTCTGAGCTGGCCTGACCTTGCCCGATGAAGGCATGACTGAGGCCATGCTTTGGAGGTCCTCTAATTGCTCAGGACACCTTGCATTTAGCTGCTTTTCTCCCACTTAGTGCAAAGCATTCTCCCTCTGAGTAGATAAAAACCTGCCAGGTGACTGGGCCCCAGTCTTGGTGTACTGACAGGTCTTAATCCTTAGCCCCTGGGTACTGGCTCTGGGCAAGCAGATTTAAATACATGCATTTTAATGCATGATAGGAGTTGCCCTTACTGGCCCTCTCTCTAGGTGTAGACACAGAAGGTTTGGGGCACTGAGTGACAGGATTATTAACATCCAAGTTATAGTTTGTGCATATAGTTCTGAGGGGGGTTAATATCTAAAAGGAATTAATACATTAACAAAAAAATAAAAACACTTCACACTCCAGAACACTGCTCATGATTTCACCTGCAGTGTGCAGGCTGCAAGGTGCAGAACACCTGGGCTCACACTGTAGCCTGGAGTACCAGGCCCCCATGCCTGCCACTCTTGTCCTGGGGCTGGAATTTGGTTGTATTGATCAATGCTGGAATTAATGGGTCAACGGGAGGGACCTGACTCAGTAATACTAGCCATATAGAGTTTGCCTTGTCTTATTCTGAGGATAAAAAAGTACATCTGTTAAACCTTATCTGTCACCAGTGCAATTCCCATGTGAGAAGTTACAGAAAGCTGCAAAGCAGCATTCCCCTCAGGGACAAAGTGGCTCAACTGGATCACAGTTTTCTTCAAAGTCCGCCTCTTGCAGGTGGCCAGGCCAGGAGTCTCCAGCCAGCTTTCACCCACCCTTCAATCAACAAATCCTGAGAGCCCACTCTGGGTCAAGTATGTGCTGACCTGGGGCGGCGGGGAACAGTGTGATCACGACAGGCAAGATTCTCCCGAACTCACTCTGGGAAATGTGATCTGAAAACCTTCCTGGTTTCATTTCTTGGATTTCTCACTGAGTAGCATTTTTCCTTCTCTAAAAACTCAGACCACAGTTTTGACACAAAGAAAGCCACAACTTCAGGGCCACACTCTGTTTCCATGTGGTGCATGAGAGAGAGAGGTTTCTCTCTCTCTTTTACAGAAGAAGTTCAATATTCCTGTGAAGGGTAAAATCACTGCATCTCTTTTTCTGGGCCAGATAATTATTAACAGTTAACAATTAAGATATAGTTTGTTGGAGCATGTAGCTCCAAAGGCCAATCATACGCAAAAGGAATGAGTATATTAGTAAAAGAGAAAATGCTGATTACTATAAAATGATAAAAAACTATTATTTTTAAAGGGCTTTTGGTCTTCACTTAAAAATGAAACTCCCCCCCCGCATTTCAGACTTCGAATGGTCACAGGTGTCTCATGCAGTGGCACTCTCTGGTGCCTCATCTCTGGGGTTGCTGTCACTCCGCTGCAGAGCCCTCAGTGGGGCTCTTACACAGAATGTGTTCCACCCACAGAACTACCCATAGCTGGTCCAGGTGCCTCGGGTGTCCAGGCTTCCCTGAAGTCATGTCATTTTGTCAGTGCGTCTGGGCACACCTAACTGAGTCCTGAGGAAATGGATCAGCTTGGTCTCTGTGAGGAATGCTGTCCCGAGAGTTGCTCCCAGACAGAAGGCCCCCACAGCAATGTGTGCCAGTCTGGCTGGCCAGCCCTGCTCACAGCAGAGGAATACCTGGGGAAAGAAACCATTGTCAGTGCCTGTTCCTCAGTCTATACCTCCTTCCTCTGGGACCAGCCAGGGAAGACAGCTGTGGTTCCAGCTTCTAAGTCAGATAAAAGGCATAACAGCCATACTGCAGGTCCATTGTTTCCCCATTGGCAACATTCTCTTGTCACATTATCAGAAGATGCTGCCCTAGAGGCCTGGGGAGGGGACAGGAGGAGGCAAAAACCTGGGAAGAGGAGGCCTAGCGGGAGAGACAGCGGGGCAGCTGCAGAAGCATGTGGCATGATGGCTCAGGGAGTCTCACCTCCGAAACAGCAGTAACCCCACCACTGAGGGCAAATGTCCCGAGCAGGACTGGCGATAGGTGCAGGCCAGCCAGGGGCCTGTGGGGGCTCCTTCGGTAGTAGCGGTGGATGAAGCAAAGGCTCTGCGTGATCCGAATGCCCATGTTAAAGCAGTTGGCCAAGATGAAGCCCACGCTGCCACACCAACGGGTCAAGAGATAGGATAACACCAGGAATGAGGAGGACAGGGCCAGCATCACAAAATTGTACCTGGGGAGGAGACAGGAAAAGGAGGGCAGTGGTGACCTTGCCCTGGACAAGGCTGCTCCCAAAACAGCGGCCATGAACATCAACTCACAGAAAGAACCTGAGCTCCTGGAATCCAGGTTTTCATAACATCGAATGCTACCTGGAGACCATGGGAATGTCCCTGTCCCCTTACCCTGAGCAGAAAGGTAAGAAACAACTCAGGAGATGTATGTTTTTTGAAGACAATAATTAGTTAGTTAAGCGATACTTTGTGATCAAAACATAAAAACCCTGTTCAGCCCAAGTCCTCAATGTGAGATACAAGAATGTGACCTGGGTAATTAGACATTGGATGCTAACTCTGTGACAGGCCCTGTGAGGAGTGCTGGGGACACACTGGAGAATGAACACACATGGGCCTTGCCCTGCAGAGCTTGGATTTATTTCACAGACAAGGGAAGCAGCACAGAGAAGTTGAGTAATTTGTCTCAAGAGTGAGGTAACACTCAGCCGGACTTCTGACCCCTAAGCTTCAGTACCTCACACCACTGCCCTTGGGAAATGCAGCACCCAGTAACCTTGGGCAGTAGACCCCATTCAAAGCAAATGACTGGCCTCCAAAATGAAATGGGAACTGAAACCAAAGCCTGGATCACCTCTGCTATTTTCCAGACTCTTACATATCCTCACTCCCACTCTCTGTATCTCTAGAGCTCTTTGGATCCTGGCGCTTCTTGCACTTCTCTGATTTCAAAGCAGCACATCACTTAGTTATCTTCAGTCCTCCAAAAAGAAAACAGATTCTCAGCAAACACGAAATAGCTGCCATAGTCCTCCAAAAGGCTTGTACAGCCAAGAACAAAATCCCCTAGCCTCTGGTTTCCGCCTAGCACCAAGCAGGCACTCAAAGTATATAGCTGTTGAGGGAACCAAACTTTTGACATCCTCAAGCCATGTCTGCTGGGTTAGAAAACCTCAGAGGCCACCACCCAGATTCTGCACATGAGGGGTCGTCAGAAAGCAGAATCCCAGTGCTTTGAGAGGCTGAAGTGGTGGGAGGATTGCTTGAGGCCAGGAGTTCGAGATCAGCCTGGACAACAGAGCTAGTAGACCCCCGTCTCTACAAAACCCAGTAAAAATTACCCAGGGTTGGTGGCACACACCTGCAGTCCTAGCTACTCGGGAGGTTGAAGCGGGAGGATCGCTTGAGCCTAAGAGTTTCAGATCAGCCTGGGCAATATCATGAGACCGTGTCTCTACAAAAAATTAAAAAATTAGCCGTGATATACACCTGTTGTCCCAGCGACTTGGGAGGCTGAGAGAGGAAGAAGGCTGGAGCCCAGGAGTTCAAGGCTATGGTGAGCTATGATCATGCCACTGCACTCCAGCCTGGGCAACCGAGCAACACCCTGTCTCAAAATATAATGATGACTTAAAAATGCATATGGGGCCCTCACCACCAGAGTTCCTGATTCTGCAGGTGTGGGAGGAGGTCCTAGAACTTGGCCAGTACCCTAGAACTATGCTTGTAATCCCAGCACATTGGGAGGTTGAGGCAGGAGAATTGCTTGAGGCCAAGAGTTTGAGACCAGCCTGGACAACATAGTGAGACCATGTCTCTACCAAAAAGAAAAAAGAAGGCAAGCCACTGCATCCCCCAAATGCCCAGGTATAGGTCCTTGGCTGATTCAGGCCAAGGTGCTGTGTGCTGTGGAGATACGCTTTATCAAAGTGGGTGGTAAAAATACTACACGCACACACACACACACACACACACACACACACACACTCTCACACACAATACTATACTCCAACAGGAGAGATGTGCTTTCATCCGGAGTTCCAGAGAGGGAGTTTATTTGCTTTTCAGTCCAGAGAGAGTCTCTTTTAATGAAGTACGAGAGCCTGTACCTCACAGGGGAAGTTTTTTCACTACTAATCAGTGATCAGAAAGGTCAACTTCAGAACAAGCCACTCAAATGGGACCCATCACAGACCAGTACTTTGACCTCTTTTCCACAAAGCAGCAGAGATATGTAACCTGTTTTTCAGAAACTATCTCAGAAAGGTCTACTATACCAATCCTTGGAGTTTAAGTCATAGATTCACAAACTTTTAGCCATCATTCCCCAACTCCGAGTAAAATAACAATAATGAATAAAGCCAATAGTTAATTCATGCTAATTCAAGCAGAGACGCATTCGACAGCACAGCCTCTTTGATATGGCCATCTGAGAGGAGCTGATGATGGGGTCCATTGTCTGCCACTAGAAGAGGGCCCTGCAGCTGCTGAACTTTCCAGAATTCACAAATCTACAGCCTTAAAGGCATAATCCACTTCAGGAAAAAATGAGAATTTTAAAAATGCAATTAAAATATCACTTTTTTGGCCGGGCACGGTGGCTCATGCCTGTAATCCCAGCACTTTGGGAGGCCGAGGCGGGTAGATCGCGAGGTCAAGAGATCGAGACCGTCCTGGCCAACATGGTGAAACCCTGTCTCTACTAAAAATACAAAAATTAGCTGAGCTTGGTGGTGCACGTCTGTAGTCCCAGCTACTCAGGAGGCTGAGGCAGAATTGCTTGAACCCGGGATGCGGGGGTTGCAGTGAGCCAAGATCACGCCACTGTACTCCAGCCTGGAGACAGAGCAAGACTCCGTCTTAAAAAAAAAAAATCACTTTTTAAAATCAAAGCAAAATTATTAATCGGTGACAATATGACTATCCTGTAAGGTTTGGTTAACATAAACAGTAAATTATTTATGAATACTTATTTCTCCATGGTCCCAAGAAAATACTGGACTTAAAATCAGGCTTATTAAAAGATGGACTGGCTGGGCACAGTGGCTCATGCCTGTAATCCCAGCATTTGGGAGGCTAAGGCAGGCAGATCGCTTGAGCCCAGGAGTTGGAGACCAGCCTGGGAAACATGGTGCCCAGAGACTCCGTCTCTACAAAAAATACAAAAATTAGCTGGGCATGGTAGTACACACCTATAGTCTCAGCTACTCAGGAGGTTGAGGTGGAAGGATCGATTGAGCCTAAGAAGTCAGGCTGTAGTGAGCTATGATTGTACCACTGCACTTCAGCCTGGGCGACAGAGTGAGACCCTGTCTCAAAAAAAGTTAAAAAAAAAAAAAAGGCATGGATGGTCGAGGATATCAACTGTAGCACCACCTGAAGAAGCCCCCAGCAGGTGCTGGTTGAATACATCAAGGCACAGCCATACAATCGAGCCTTCACAGCCATGAAAAGGATGGCACTGATATCTTATGTGCCAAAGTGAGAAGATCATACCCAGCCTTCATTTGACAGTTATGGAGTCCACTTTGGCACTCAAAGGCCAACAAATCAGACAAAGGAGCTGTCAATCTTGGGCCTTTACACAACTGATCTGCCTAGAAGTCTCTGCCCCCATCTTAGACCACCTTCTTGGTCATCCTAAATGGCGCTGTGCCATAGGGGCCTGCCCAGCAAACCCAATCTAAAGGGCCCCTACCACTCACTATATACCCGTTTTCATTCTCAGCACATCACATTTTCTTATTAATTTACTTGTTTGCTATCTGCCTCCCCACCGTCAGCTCCAGGAGAGCAGAAATCCCATCTGTCTTATTCATTGCTGTATTCCTAGAGCTTAAAACAATGCCTGTTAGAGAGTAGATGCTCAAAAGTATTTGCGAAATGAAAGAAAATTAGACAGCCTTAACAAAACAACAAAAATTCTTCAATAAGGCATAATGAAAAATCCATCAATCAGATTCTATATATATTATGAGGTTATTAAAAAAAAAGCAACCAGGCCGGGCACGTTGGCTCACTCCTATAATCCCAGCACTTTGGGAGGCTGAGATGGGCAGATCACCTGAGGTCAGGAGTTCGAGACCAGCCTGGCCAACATGGTGAAACCCTGTCTCTACTAAAAATAAAAATAAAATTAGCTGGGCATGGTCGCACACCTGTAATCCCAGCTAATCGGGAGGCTGAGTCGGGAGAATCACTTGAACCTGGGAGGCGGAGGCTGCAGTGAGCCAAGATCACACCACTGTACTCCAGCCTGGGCCACAGAGCGAGACTCTTGTCTCAAAAAAAAGCAACCTGCAATTCAAAGGATGTTTTAATATTTCATATACAACCAAATGCTCTCTTCTCTCTATATATTTTTTGAGACAGAATCTCTCTGTTGCCTAGGCTGGAGTGCAATGGCATGATCTCCGCTCACTGCAACCTCCGCTTCCCAGGTTCAAGTGATTCTTGTGCTTCAGCCTCGCGGGTAGCTGGGATTACAGGCGTGCGCCCCTACGCCCAGCTAATTTTTGTATTTTTAGTAGAGACAGGGTTTCACCATGTTGGCCAGGCTGGTCTCGAACTCCTGACCTCAGGTGATCCACCTGCTTTGGCATCCCAAAGTGCTGGGATTACAGGTGTGAGCCACCGTGCCCGGCCCAAATGCTCTATTTTTATTCAGAAAAACACTGGTTAACCTTAAGTTGGTTAAGTAAAATGCCTGCTTTTTTTCTATTCAGAATCTGAAATGTCCAATGCAAAGTCATTATAATTGATTGTAACAGTTAACTAAGCTATCCAATTCTACTATAAAAATCCTTGCTAGAGTTTTTTGTCTGTTAAAATTCACAGAGATTAAAAAAAAAAAATGCCAACGTCTGTGATGAGCCCAGGTATTCCACGTGCTCAGACCAGGGCCAGGCGCTGGGGCCAGGGGCCCAGAAAGAACTGGAACTATTGTGTTTTATACATGTCTGAAAACTGCACTTAATATCACATTTTACTCTTAGGGGAGGTGAGTTACCCCACATGGGAACTGCACTAGAAGGTGCTCTGGGCTCTGTTTTTTCTCTATGTTGACTAATACTATGAAAATAATTTTCCACATGTTTATATACTATCGAAATTCCATTACAGCTAACTTAAAAAGTTGTTTCCTTTGGTTCAATACAATATAAGAGAAAAGAAAGCAACCAGCCACTATCCATATTCCCTCACAATTTGGTTGCAATGTATAAAAACATCTTAAATGGGTTTGGTTTTCATTCACCCCTTCAACACTAACACTGAAGTTACCGTAACAAAATTCCCTTCAAGGAGATACACTCCTAGTCCTGCTCTTTCCACTCTAACAGTGCCTCATTTCACATGTTTCCAATTATATTTTTAAGTTATTCAATGTTAGAAGTAGCTTTCAAATAAAAACATTGTATTTTCAAAGCTAAATTGAAATAGACTTTTTCATCCATAGGGAAAGAAGAGGATAGACTCAAAGCAGTTCTACTCTAAAGCTATAAATTTAACTATCTGAGGTGAAAACCACATCTAGACTACTATTTTAAAACTATGGGTTGTGACCTACTAGGCTGGGAATCAATTTAGAGGGTAATGGCATGGCATTTTTGAAAAACAAAATAGAAGAGAGAGTAGAAAGCATCAGCGTGTCCTACGCATAACTGGGGTACTTCCTGCCTTGTGAACTCATGTCTCAGTCACACACACCTAAGTGCGTCCTAGGTCACAGTGCTCCGTGTCGTTTTTACTGTGAAAGCTGGTCTGGGCCAGCAGTTTCCAAAGCCCTAGAATCAGAATTGCCTAGAGCTGTGTAATAAACAGATTCCCTGGCTCAAGCCTTCTAAGATTCTAATTCAGCTTGGCTAGGAGTGGACCAGAAATTCCTAGATGAATCTCATCAGTCTGGACTGAGACCTGCTGGTCTGGACTCTAGTTCTCAGTCACTGTGTAGCAAACAAAGTCCCCAATCTTTTACATGAGCCAGCGCAGGAAAGGACACACACAGAGGAGGGGGAAGGGTCCCCATTTGAGACACTCCCTCCCCATCCCACCCCATGGCCAGGCTTCTGAGGGCCCTCACCAGCAATCAAGGTTACAGAGGCAGCATGAAAACCCCCATGAGGCTGGGCACGGTGGCTCATGCCTGTAATCCCGGCACTTTGGGAGGCCAAGGCGGGAGAATCACAAGGTCAGGAGATCGAGACCAACCTGGCTGACACGGTGAAACCCCATCTCTACTAAAAATACAAAAAATTAGCCAGGCATGGTGGCACGCGCCTGTAGTCCCAGCTACCTGGGAGGCTGAGGCAGGAGAATGGCGTGAACCTGGGAGGCAGAGCTTGCAGTGAGCAGAGACTGCGCCACTGCACTCAAGCCTGGGCGACAGAGCGAGACTCCATCTCAAAAAAAAAAAAAAAAAAAAAAAAAGAACCACTGGTAGGGGATTCCAGGACAGGAATCCTGATCTGGAGTCAAGAGTTGAGAAAAAATTATGGCAAGATGAGATGTATGTGTGCACTTGGGCTTTTCTCAGGAGAAGTGTCACAGAATCCCTGAGATTCTCAAAGACCCACCAATCAGGTTCTCAGGGGTAGGAATGTGCATCTTGAAGAAGCTCCTCAGTAACTTACTGGAGGACCACTCTTCTGGGGTGAGCAAGGAGGTGGAGGAATGGAAATCTAGCTTGTCTGGTGCCTGACTCTGCAAACCTGGACTAATGTAACCTTTCAGAGCCGATGTTTCTTCCTCCACAAAGGGGAGGCAAAGAGTAGTTGCTGCCTCCCAGCCCTACAGTGGGGAGCACTTGCTGAACCATGCTGGTGCCACAGAGATCCCAGGGGAGCACCACACTGGTGGACTAAGTGTTGCCTCTAAAACAGCCATCTGTAAATGCATGTTCAGAACGAAAAGCAAAAAGCTTGACAAGTTATTTCATTTTGGCTGAAGGCCATGATTAAAGGTGTACCTGCTAGGTTACCCACCTGTCGACCTCCTCTTTGCTCATGGCAGCAAATGTGAAACACTCTGTCACTCCATTGATGGCAAGCAGGAGAACATAGAGACAGTAGGAACGCAGCAAAACAGGACCTACAAGGAAACAACTCACTGAGACTCCAGAGCCCAATCAGAAGGCCCACATGTACCCTCAGTGCTGCTGAGTACCCAGAGAACCAGAACCAGACTATGAGGTCTGCTGGTATCAGCAATGGGCAGACTGCATGCTAGAGCCCAGGGTCTTAATAATCTAGAAGGATTCCCAACATTCTATGGCATTGACTAAATAATCAGCAAAAAACAAAATGACAGGCTGGGCACGGTGGCTCACACCTGTAATCCTAGCACTTTGGGAGGCCCAAGGCCAGCAGACTGCTAGAGCCCAGAGGTTAGAGACCAGCCTGGGCAACATGATGAAACCCCGTGTCTACCAAAAATACAAAAGTTAGCTGTGTGTGGTGGGCATGCCTGTAGTCCCAGCTACTCGGGAGGTTGAGGTGGGAGGATCACCTGAGTCTGGGGAGGTCAGAGCTGCAGTGAGCCATGATAGTGCCACTGCACTCCAGCCTGGGTGACAGAACAAGACCTTATCACACACACAAAAAAGAACAATTATGAATAAATGTACAGATCTCTTGCTGGACAACTAAAAGCTTATCTGGCTAGCAAGCAAGTCTGTTCCCTTTTTTCATCAGCATGAATAGGCCTGCTGGTTTGGACTCAAAGTCAGTAGTGACCCTGCATGTTAAGGGAATCTCAGTTGAGCAGGTCCTGAAGAAAAGACCTTTAACAAAAGCCAGGGGCCCAGGACCAGCAGAAAATTACACAAATCCAAAGTGAGAACCAGTGCCCATAATAGTATTTTCTTCTAAAACAAAGTAATGCAGTTCTATAGCTAACAAGCTTCGGAAAAATCTTCTAAGCAGAGAACAGGAGGCTTACAAATGGGATTGATTCCCCCCTTTTAAGAGGGCCATAATCAAGCACCTAATAAAATAAACAAACACCTAACCTACGACCCAGCAATTGCACCCCTAGGTATATATCCAACAGAAATGAACACACATGTTCACAAAAACACTTACACAAAAGCATCTGTAGCAGTTTGATTCATAATAGCCAAAACTGACCATCAACAGAAGAAAGAATAAACAAAACGTGGGCCATCCACACAAAGGAATACTTAGCAAGAAAAGATAATAAAAATCACTGATCCATGCGAAACCATGGAAGAATCTCAAAAACTTTATATTGAAGGAAATATGCCAAATGCAAGAGCGCACATGCTGCATTTCATTGATATAAAATTACTTTTAAAAGAAATACTGATCCATGGTGATAGAAATCAGATTTCTTCTGATTTCTCTTTGTCTCTGAGGTGGAGTGGGGTAGTTGACTAGAAAGGGTCCCAAAAGAACTTTCTGGGGAAATGGAGATATTCTATGTCTGAATCTGTTTGGTAGTTACATGGGATTTTTTGTACATATTTGTCAAAACTTACCAAACTGTACTCTTAAGAGAACAGCATTTTACTTTATGTAAATTATACCTCAACAAAGGGAGAAAAAAAACTCCCAAAAAAAACACATAACCACTGAAAGAAAAGGAGGGGGACTGAAGTTCCGGAGTCTCAGAATCTGGAACTCATTCAGGGTTTATGAAAGCTGTTTAATACAAAAGATCTCCATGCTGTGGGACCCCTAAACAGTTTTATGGCAGTCACAAAATTATAAAAGGAATACTAACAGGGCAGCCCCGACGCTCAACAAAAAACCGTTTTCCACGGCCCTGTCTCAGATTCCATGTTTATCACCTCACATTGCATTTTGCTTGTCAAGCCGCTGCAGGAAGTAGCCTGGCCCCCACCCCAGCTGACGGTGACTCCAGGAAGGGAGGCGGGGACCAGGCTCTGCACCCGGGAGGCTCAAGGCTATGCTCAAGTGTGCCTCCTGCTTCTCCCCAACCTCCTCTCCCTGGCAGAAGCAGAGAAGAGTGGGGGGCCTCCTTACGTGGTAACTGAACGCTAATGGCACAGGAGGGCCCATCAGTAGGTGAACAGTGGGCTGTCGTGAGGCATGGAGAACACAAACTCTGGCACCAATCAGTGACTCACGTAAAGGGTTTTGTGTCCATTTGGGGAATTCAAGAATGGAACCAACCTTCGATTGTAGACTGAATTGAGGGGTGTTTTAAGTTGAACTGTCCCCCCAAAATAGATATGTTAATGTCCTGACCAGTGGTACCTGAGAATCTGTCCTTATTTGGAAACAGGGTGTTCATGAAGAAAACTGAGTTAAAATGAGGTCATTAGGGCAGGCCCTGATCCTATATGACAGGTGTCCTTATAAAAAGGGGAAACTTGGTCAGGTGCAGTGGCTCATGCTTGTAATCTCAGCACTTTGGGAGGCTGAAGGGGGGCAGATCATCTGAGGTCAGGAGTTTGAGACCAGCCTGGCCAACATGGCGAAACCCCGTCTCTACTAAATATACAAAAACTTAGTCGGGTGTGGTAGGGTGTGCCTGTAATCTCAGCTACTCGGGAGGCTGAGGCGGGAGTCTCTTGAACCCGGGAGGTGGAGGCTGCAGTGAGCCGAGATCACACCACTGTACTCCAGCCTGGGTGATAGAGTGAGACTTCATCTCACTAAAAAAAAAAAAAAGTGGGGGAAACTTGCATTGAGGCAGACACGTGCAGGGAGATGATGACGTGAAGAGCGCAAGGGGGATGATGACGTGAAGACAGAGAGAACACAGCCATGTGACCGCAGTACTGCAGCTGCAAGTCAAGGAACGCCAGGATGCCAGCAACCATTAGCAACTAGAAGAGGTAGGAAGGGGCCTCTCCTCGAGCCTTCAGAGAGAACACGGCCCTGGCCATAGCTTCATTGTGCACTTCTGGCCTCCAGAACTGACGGACAATATGTTCTGTTGTTTAAAGCCACGCAGTCTGTGGTACTTTGTCATGGCAGCCCTAGTTCATTAAGACAAGGGGATAGAGAAGGAAAAAAGTAAAAGGCAGAGGGACAAGAGAGAAGCACCTAAGAGAGAAATGTAAGAAATCTTGGGGAAATTCTGTGAATGTGTGGGTTTTGCTTAAGGATAGAAAAGCTAGGTGTTGTTCTGTGAGTTACCAAGAAAAAAGAAAAGAAAAGAAAAAGCAAAGCAAAGCTAGGTGTGAGAAGGATTTCTAAGAAAAGCCTCTAGAACACTTACAAAGACCCTAATTAAATGCAGGGCTAATCCCAAACAACGGAAGAGAAGCCACACCCCTACACAAAAGCCTGTCCGTGCTGTGTCCGAGTCCCACATCTGGAGATGGCCAGTACAGCTCACAGGTAAGTAGTCCACTTCCAGGGTGAAGACAAAGACAAGTACACAACTGGGGACAGCAGTGTTGCGAGTTCCACTTTCAAAACTAAGATGATGGGCTGAGTCATGATAATGATGGGACAGCCCCCTCCTTGAGGCAACGCCCTGTGATTGTGTGACATTAGAGGCTGCTCCTTGGTGATTGCTTTCTAAAGGGGAAGAGCTGCTACAGAATAGTCGAGTTCCCAATCTCTGCCCATAAACTTACTAATGCCTTCCTCATGAGGCCTCCCCACAGCTGCCAGATGGAAATACACTTCTCACAGCACAAGCCCCAGGGAGCTGCAAACCACTTCACTGGTTTCACAGCAGGTGTTTCTCCAAACTTAATGACCTTTGCTCTGGTATAGAAACCTGGCCCTTCCTCCCCTAACACCAAAAGTTTGGGCCCCATTGTAGTGGAGACTAAAACATGCTAGTGAACTTGTAAAATGGCATTTGACAAAGCCCTTTATATTGAGATGGGGCAGCAGAAAGAAGTCCTCAGCGTTCTTGTCCAGCGACCTGAGAAATTAAAAACATCTTTGCTAAACCCAAGATGAAGCACTGCAAATGGACTGCCAGCTTACAGCCCAGCACATTTTGAAATTGATGAAGTCCCCAAGACCTAACAAGTGCTGTGAGATCCTCAGCGGCCTGGTGTTTCAAAATTAGACACATTCAATACTTTTCTTCTTCAAAAACTGAGAGTCACTGGATTAAATATACCATTTTATTTGCAGAGATCAATTTTATTCTCTGCAAATGGCTTTGGGTTATCCTTCAGAGGCTTTTATGCACTAGGCTGGGAGATTTATGTGGCATTTACTATCTTCAGATGTGTTTAGTACCAAGTGGAGACTCATTACCGTCTGCCCTCTGCCTTCCTCCCTCACCCCAGAGGGAGCACAGGGAAGCGCTTGGCAAAACACATTCTAGGCCCGAGAGGAAAGCCAACAGCAAGGAGAAGTCCTAATAACTTCTCCAAGTGAGGCTGGGGAAGCTGATTGTCCTGGCGCCAACGCCCCTGCCTATACCTTGAGTGTGTGTCTGGAGTTGAACGAGGGGAACAGTCCCACAGCCCCTGCCACCAGACAGTTTTCCCTACACTGACACAGATAACAACTGTGTGTGCACAAGTTCTTGAATTTCGTGACTCTTCTATTTATGTTGGGAAATCAGAAAAAATCCAGAAAAACTCTTGTGCGTACCGGATCCTGAGCTAAGCATGGTCCCTCCGTAGATATCCAGAGCCAGCTGAGAATAGGCAAAGCCAAAAACAGTGATGGTCAGGCCGGCCAGCAGGGCCAGCTTGAGCAGGGACTCCAAGACTGCAGCAGCCACAGCAACGTCCTCCTGGGGCCAGGGAAGAGGGAAGGAAGTTGGATGAATCATGAGCTGAAGAAAACCTTCATCCTTCACGTCTGGCCTTCTCCCTTCACTGTTTTACAGTTCACTCTTCCAACAGCGTGATGGATATCACTATTTTTTTGTAGTGTGTTTGTTTTCACGTCAGTTAGCAAATGAAGGAAAAAGTGTGTGTCTCCTTAGGTCGTAAGGGGGAGGGTTAGTTTTCAATTCACTTGGGATAAATTGTTTCAAATATTGCTTAGGAAACACTCACTTTCCCCTCTGATATTTGTTCTTTTTTTTTTTTTTAAATAGAAATAGAGAAGGGAGTCTCACTATGTTGACCAGGCTAATCTCAAACTCCTGGCCTCAAGCAATCCTCCTGCCTTGGCCTCCCAAAGCGTGAGGCTTACAGGCATGAGCCACTGCACCAGACCACTAATATTTATTCTTAAATGTGCAGCAAGTTTTCATATACACTAGCCAGCTCTGTGCTTCTCCTGCTAAACATTCCAAAATTATGATGATACTGTGAAGGTACTCTTAGGAAAATATTCCTAAATCAGACTGAGTACCAGATTAGCTCATTTTGAGATATTGTGCATAAACTGTATTTTACTAAATTTCTTCTAAGACAAGCAAGAGGCTGAACTAGCTTGCTATTCTAAGAAAAGTCAGACATTTTCAGTGGTTTTGGAAAAAGTGAAGCTCCTACAACAAAATACTCCTAGATTAAAATCTCTTCTTCTGTATTTACCAACCCGAGTATACAGAATCTTACAGTCAGAGTGTAGCTCTGGGCATGTCCCAGTTGTAAGAAGCTTAAATAATTGGTGTGGTGAGCGAAAGCCAACAACCACTTCCTCTCCTCCCTATGCCCTTGATTAGCCTGGCTCCAACTTCTGCATCCTTTGGCTCTTGAGACTCTGAGGATAAGGGAAGCATTCTTACGCCTAAGACTAGCCCATGGCTGGGCATCTGCAGGGCAATGGGGACAGCTTTAGAGTCCTGAGAGGGCTGGATCAAGAGTAAGGTCACATGGCCAGGTATGGGGGCTCACACCTGTAATCCTAGCACTTTGGGAGGCTGAGGTGGGCAGACTGCCTGAAGTCAGGAGTTCAAGAGCAGCCTGGCCAACATGGCAAAACCCCATCTCTACTAAAAATACATAAATTAGCTGGGTGTGGTGGCGCATGCCTGTAGTCCCAGCTACTCAGGAGGCTGAGGCAGGAGAATCGTTTGAACCTGGGAGGTGGAGGTTGCAGTGAGCCGAGGTCATGCCACTGCACTCCAGGCTGGGCGTCAGAGCAAGACTCTATCCCCGCCCCCCCCCCCAAAAAGAGTAAGGTCACAACGAATAACAAAGGTGTGAGAAGGAAGGGACAGCCAAGAGCAAAGCAAGAAGGCCACGAAAGAAGAGGTGAGCCCTGGGTCCCACTATCATGAAGAATGTAATAGAAGAATGAAATCTATAAGAAAATTCCTGATCAAACAGAAGAGAAACAGACTGCTTCACACTCCTGTCTGTCTTGCAATTAAAGGGAGAATTCACTTGAGAGATGACATAAGAACCAACATTACCTGCTTCTGAAGTGTGGCATCCTTTCCCCTCTCCAGCACCTTAGCAAAAAATATATAAAAACTTTCCTCTATTGGCTGGAAAATTAATCTGGCCACAAGGGAGCCAAGATTATTCACTATATCATACACACCTACAAAACAAAAAAGAAGAAACAACAATCATGTTGGTTTTTCTATTTTAATTTTTATAGCACTATTAAAATTATTTAATATTTTCATTAAAGTTTGTTTATCTTGAGATAATTATAGATTCACACAGAGTTATAAGAAGTAATAGTGGCCAGGCACGGTGGCTCATGCCTATAATCCCAGCACTTTGGGAGGCCAGGGTGGGTGGACTGCTTGAGCCAGGGAGTTTGAGATGAGCCTGGGAAACACGGAAAAACCCTGTCTCTACAAAAATGGAAAAATTTAGCCAGGCGTGGTGGTGTGCATTTGTAGTCCCAGTTATTTGGGAGGCTGAGGTGGGAGGATCACCCAAGCCCAGGAGGTTGAGGCTGCAGTGAGCTGTGATGGTACCACTGCACTCCAGCCTGGGCAATAGAATGAGACCCTGTCTCAAAAAATAAAAAATAAATAAAAAAGACAAAAAAATAGGAAGTAATAGAGGGATCCCATATATACCCTTTACCCAGTGGTAACATTTTGTAAAACTATAGTACAATATCACAACCAGGATACCAACGATGATACAGTCAAGATACAGAATGCTTCCATCAACAGTACTTTCTTATACAGGTCATTAATGCAAAGTTGATGTTTTTCTATTTGATTTCAGTTACTTTGGGATTACATTAAAAGATAAAAATGAAAATACTGAAAGACTATCTAGCCACACAAACATGGGGCAGATTTTTGTGGCTGTGACAGTGAGCTCCCTTTTCTCCTCTCTTGGCACCTCCCACCTCCCAAAATGAACACCAGAGCTCTCAGGAGGCAAAATAGAGGGCCGGGGTCTCACCAGAATACCTGACACCAAAGTCATGTTGGAGGGCATAGTCAGTACAAAGACCTACAATTTACAATCTTCAGGATTTTCTTTAATCTTCAGGTTCATCTTTCATTAAATATATCAGAGAAAAATATTAGGAAGTATCTATTAATAGTGTTCACCTTTAATTAAAACACTACAGAATTTCATCTTACCCTGATCACCAAAGTTCAATACATTCAAAAATGTCATCACATATCGCTCGCCTATAAACAAAAAAGCAAAATAATTAGCAATGTCAAATGCACATTACTTTATTGTTTCCTTTCTCTCACCAGCTATCAACTTTTCCAGCTGACAAATAAAGGAGAAATACTAGGTAATCAGTTAAAGACATGTCCTTGTCCTAATGTTGATTTCAAATAATCTCAGAGTAACAATTTGGAAAGTGCTGAGGACTTTATTGACAGCAAATCTCCAAGCCAGTTAAATTACAAATAAAAAAAAATAAAAATAAAACAAGTCTAAAAAGGTTTTTTTTTTTTTTTTTGAGACGGAGTCTCGCTCTGTCACCCAGGCTGGAGTACAGTGGCACGATTTCGGCTCCCTGCAAGCTCTGCCTTCTGGGTTCATGCCATTCTCCTGCCTCAGTCTCCCGAGCAGCTGGGACTACAGGCGCCCGCCACCGCACCCGGCTAATTTTTTTTGTATTTTTAGTAGAGATGGGGTTTCACTGTGTTAGCCAGGATGGTCTCGATCTCCTGACCTCGTGATCTGCCCACCTCAGCCTCCCAAAGTGCTGGGATTACAGGCGTAAGCCACCACGCCCAGCCCTAAAAATAAGTTTTTAAAAAAGTATGTGGAGATTATTAAATGTTAATAATGAAGATGATAGTCCCAAGTCTTAAGGGGAGGTCAGATAATCTGAGCGTAAATTATCTGTGAAGAGTCCATGATTATATGCACAAGCTTATCCAAAGGTTCCTCAGGGGTGGAGACAGCTCCCTGGGGGCTGGCAAGGCATTAGACTGTCTTAGATTTGAATCATGAACTCACGTCTGAGTTCATGATTCAAATTTAAGACAGTCTAATGCCTTCAAGGTGAAGACACCAGCCAGGGCCCCCATCCCCTTGGCTTTCATGAAGTTTCTCATCTATGAAGAAAAAGTGTTGACCACTATGGAAAAGGAGCACTAAACAGTGCCCACGCCCTGAAGGGCAAATTCTCACCTCCTAGTAACTTGCTAAAAAAGGAAAGCATCAAGAGGCTAGAAGCAGTGAGGATCTTCTCTCAAGACTTTCTCCCACCCTGACTCTCTCTCCAAGCCCCTGCCACTGTGTTTGTGGTAGGGACCACTGCAGGTCCTCACAGGCCTGTGTCTCTGTGCTGCTTGGATCCACCCTCACTGCTAACAGTTCCAGCTTCTGCAAATACAGTTTTGTTTTGTTGTGGTTGTTGTTTTGAGACAGAGTCTTATTCTGTCGCCCAGGCTAGAGTGCAGTGGCGCGATCTCAGCTCACTGCAACCTCTGCCTCCCAGACATAAGAGATTCTCCTGCCTCAGCCTCCTGAGTAGCTGGGATTACAGGTGTCCACCACCAAGCCCAGCACTTTTTTTTTTTTGTATTTTTAGTAGATGGGTTTCACCATGTTGGCCAGGCCAGTTTCGAACTCCTGACCTCAAGTGATTCACCTGCCTTGGCCTCCCAAAGTGCTTGGATTGCAGGTGTGAGCCACTGTGCCTGGCCTCAAACACAGCTCTTAAATCAGTCTCTGCTTTCATATCTTTTTTTTTTTTTTTTTTGAGACATAGTCTTGATCTGTCACCCAGACTGGAGTGCAGTGGCACGATCTCGTTCACTGCAACTTCTGCTTCCTGGGTTCAAGCGATTCTTCTGCCTCAGCCTCCTGAGTAGCTGGGATTACAGGCACCCGCCACCATCCCCAGCTAATGTTTTTTTTTATTTTTTAGTGGAGACGGGGTTTCCCCATGTTGGCCAGACTGGTCTTGCACTCCTGACCTCCCACCTCGGCCTCCCAAAGTGCTGGGATTACAGGCATAAGCCAACACACCCAGCTTGCTTTCATATCTTTAAATGGTTTTTTTTTTTTTTGAGACAGAGTTTCGCTCTTGTCGCCCAAGCTGGAGTGCAATGGTGCTATCTGGGCTCACTGCAACCTCTGCCTCCCGAGTAGCTGGGATAACAGGCGCCTGCCACCACGCCCAGCTAATTTTTGTATTTTTAGTAGAGATGGGGTTTCACTGTGCTAGCCAGGCTGGTCTCGAATTCCTTACCTCAGATGATCCGCCCACCTTGGCCTCCCACAGTGCTGGGATTACAGGCGTGAGCCACCGTGCCGGGCCAAAATGACTCTTTAATGTTTGCAAAAAGTCCAGGCTCCTTAATTCTGTATTTGTGGGCTTTTATACACTGACCCCAAGCTATCATTTTGGATTCCCTTTGCCAACCTCACCCTCATCACCCTGTCATCTTCTGCTGCACCCTACCTCCCAGGTTTTAGCCCTCCAGCTGCTTTGAGTCAGGCTGGGCCCACCTTGGCTCCTGTCATTCTCACCACCTAGTGTGTCTTTTCTGCAGGGCCCTCCCTGTCTTTTGGCAAAATAGACCTCTCCTTCCTACATTCTATAGACTCCCTGAGGGCAGGAGCCCCTCTCAGTCACCTCTATGACCCTGGTTTCCTAGCAAAGCTCTAGGAAATGAGTTTCCAAGTACCACACACCTCACAGCCAAGTAACAGTTAACCACATAAATGTCTGTGTCTTTGGTGAGAGAATGAAATGCCTGAGGCCATGGCCTGTTACTCATTCATCTCAGTATTCTCAGCACCTGGCATAGTGTTCAGGAAATGTGGGGGCAGAAGTAACAGCACATACATTTTTGCTACTACAAAAAGTGATTTCAAGCTGAGCTCAGTGGCTCATGCCTGTAATTCCAGCACTTTGGGAGGCCGAGGCAGGAGGATCGCTTGAGTCCAGGAGTTCAAGACCAGTCTGGGCAACATCACAAGACCCTGTCTCTACAAAAAAATTAAAATATTGGCTAGGCGTAATGGTAGGTGCCTTGCCTGTAGTCCCAGCTACTTGGGAGGCTGAGGTGGGAGGATCACTTGAGCCCGAGAGGTCAAGGCTGCAGTGAGCTGTGTTTGCACCACTGCATTCCAGCCTGGGTGACAGAGTGAGACCCTATCTACAAAAACAAAAAACAAAAAACAAAAAAAACCACCAGGGATTTCAACTTTTTTAGAGCTGTAGTTTTAAAAATATATCGAATCTGAGGATCTCAGTCAGGCAACTTCCTTATTTCACAGCCAAGGAGATGGAGGCCCTGAGAAGTTCCTAATGGCACTCTGCCAGTCAGGGAGTCAGGCTAGGGGGATCCAACCATGGAGCAGGCTCCTGGCACCACATTCAGGTCGAGCTCTGGAGGCTTTAGTTTGCAGTAAACTTAAACCAGCTGCTGCAAAGACATGTCTAGAGACATGTGTTGTCTGCAATCCAGAAAACCAATTTAGGGCCATCACTTGGACTGGATCCATTCCTTCAAACTTATTAAAACTGCTCTTAAAACCTTGGAAGGAAAAAAATGCATATGAGCAACCGTCCTTTCCAAAACTCACTCCACCGATTTTCCTGTTCTTACAACAATGTGAACTATCATCATACACATTTCACAATAGTTACGTTGTTGCTTTTCTTACCCCATTCACAAATACATGCTGAATAGCCCTCCTGTACCAGGCCACAGGGAGGCAGTAGTGAACGGCACAGTCTCTGCTCCCCAGGAGCTAAGTGCTCAGGCCCTTCACTCAGCTCTTCTGAGGCTTCTGACCCTCCCTTCCCCGAGAAGGCCTCGGAACGGTTTCATTTTTGTAATAGCAAAGTTATAAGGTTAGGCTGGAAACGTGTGTACTCTCAAAGATCAGAGAGCCCTCAGACACTGCCTGGTCCTATCCCTTATTCACAGATGGGGAAAGCGAGGCATAGGGGGAGTTGCTTTCTTTTGGAGACATAATAAACAAAAAATACAGATGGGGGGGAAATAAAATAACAAGATAATAACAGTTGTATTAGAATGCTAGTATTATTTTTTCTATTTTCTTATTTTTTTCTAACGGGACTATATTTTATAATTAAAAGAAAATTTTTGAAAAGATTAAAAATACATTCAGTAATAGGTATATGGATATGAAATATATATGAAGAGAGAAACTACTACCTTCAGCAACTTACAGCTGTCTTAAATCTCACTTTTTAAATTAAAGCTGGGTATAAGTAAACCAACACATATACATACAAAAACTAAATGTGCTTCCAGCCCCTTGCTGGCCCTCCACATTGAGAGCTCTGTCGTAGGTAAACTGAAAGGACCAAAGTCTGACCAAACTCTCATACAAGTGCATTTTGTTGTTTAAGAAAATAAATCCAGGATTAGGGAATTGACATAATTTTTAAAAAGAAGAAGAAGAAAATAAAATGATATAAATAAATGATATAAAATGATAAAAAGGCTGGGTGTGGTGGCTCGCGCCTGTAATCCCAGCACTCTGAGGCAGGCGGATCACAAGGTCAGGAGATCGAGACCATCCTGGCTAACACGGTGAAACTCCGTCTCTACTAAAAATACAAAAAAATTAGCTGGGTGTGGTGGTGGGCACCTATAGTCCCAGCTACTCAGGAGGCTGAGGCAGGAGAATTGCATGAATCTGGGAGGTGGAGCTTGCAGTGAGCCAAGATAGCACCACTGTACTCCAGCTTGGGCGACGGAGCAAGACTCCATCTCAAAAAAAAAAAAATGATAAAAATACTTTTATGTAACTGATATAATACTTTCATAATAAATTCATAAAAATCATATAACATGGGGTTTTGGAGTTAGACCTGGATCCCAGTTAAGCTGTTCCTTGTTACTATAAAACCCTAAAGAAATTCTGCAACCTCACTGACCCTTAGTTTCCTCATCCATGATGAAGGGGAACAATATGTTTCTTATAAGGCTGTGGAGAGATTTAAATTAGACCACTAAGTAAAGCATCAAACTAAACAGACGTTGGTTTCTCTCTCCGTATTAAGCCCCCTCCTCCCATTTCTGAAATTCTTCTGCCCCAGAGGCTCTGGACAGGTGGTCTGGACCCAGGTAATTGGCAGTCCTATGAAATCCCCTTCTACTATGGTCTCCCGACGATTCAGAGTGACCGTCTACTTACCTTCTGTCAAAATCTGTTTCAAGAAAGACTGTTTGAAAAAACTCCAAGTCAGTTTAGCCTCTTTCCAGTTTATAAACGCCTAGAAGAGAAAACAAAACAAAACAAAAACATCACAGGCGTTGCAAGTCTAAGAATGCAATGCTACATGAGAGGCAAATGCAATCTGGTCTCTAAATCCCAACTTGGATAGTCTCCACTGAATCCTCATCCAATGCTAAGCACACAGAAGGCATCTCACAAACACTGGAGAAGAATTTACATTACTAAACACAAAGCCAAAGTCTGTAAGGGCCTGCCCAAGACTCATATACTGAGACCCCTAAAGAATTGCTGCTGTCCCTTGGGGGCCCACACAGTACACTGACCACAGCTAACACGTACAGCTCACAGTTTGTTCTTTCCTTAAAAACTGTCTAAAGCATGCCAGGCTGCAGAAGAAATTCTGCTCCATATACTGCACATTGTAATGCTATGTTCAGCCATCCAGGGCCCTTTTACACAAAGTATAGGAGCTGCCCTTCTGCATTACAAAAGAAATTTAGCCTTCGCAGGTCAGGTAAACCACTCAGAATGGGTATGACAGAGGAACGGAGAAAATAAAATTTCTGATATGACTCTTCTAAAACTCCAGGCCAGGCGAGGTTGCTCACGCCTATAATCACAACACTTTGGGAAGCTGAGGTGGGTGGATCACTTGAGGCCAGGAGTTTGAGACCAGCTTGGCCAACATGGCAAAAACCCCATCTCTACTAAAAATACAAAAATTAGCTGGGCGTGGTGCTACGTGTCTGTAATCTCAACTACTTGGGAGGCTGTGGCACAAGAATCGTTTGAACCTGGAAGGCAGAGGTTGCAGTGAGCCAAGATGGCACCACTGAACTTCAGCCTGGATGACAGAGCGAAAATCTGGCTCAAAAATAAATAAATAAATAAAACTCCCAGCGGCACCAAATGGCCCATTTCCTAAGGACAAGGAAACACTTAGGTAGGGTAGAGGTCAACCTATTAAGAGACAGGTGGCCTCAAAGCCAGGGAGCTGAGCACAAAATGGAAGAGCAAGGCAGCCAGGGAGCTCGGTATCCTCTGACTCCTGTTTTTCTACCTCCCACAGTTCTCTCTGGGGCCCCCTCCTCTATCTTGTAGGCACCCTGGGATCCCAGAATATTTAGACTAGGTGTTTGGTTTTTTGTTTTGTTTTGTTTTAGAAACAGGGTCTCACTCTATCACCCAGGTTGGAATGCAGTGGCATGATCATAGCTCACTATAACCTCAAACTCCTGGGCTCAAGCCATCTTCCCCCCTCAGCCTCCAGAATAGCCGGGACTACAGGTGTGTGCCACCATGCCTGGCTCATTTTTAAAATTTTTGTAGAGATGAGGGTCTTGCTGCATTGCCCAGGCTGGTCTCAAACTCCTGGCTCAAGCAATCCTCCCACCTCGGCTCCCAAAGTACTGGGATTCCAGGCATGAGCCACCATGCCTGGTTGATGTTAGGTTCTTAATCCTAGGGTACTTGCATTTTGAAAAGTAGTGATTATCCAAAGTGATTACTTCTCAATGGTAGGATTTCAGAGGGCTTTTTGGGAGGGGAGGGCTGAATTACAAAGGCCAAGCCCACTCTACCTCTCCAAAAGGTCAGCCACAGCTCTGGAAGTGGGCCCAAGGGCAGGCCTGGAACCTGTCTCAGTCATGTGGGCCCCTGTTCTGGGCAGAAAGCCCATCCGTGAAGAGCAATGCTATCCAGTAGAAATGTAATGTTAAATTTTCTAGCAGCCACAGTGCACAGGAAAAAGAAACAAGTGAAATTAATTTTAATATATTTTATTTAACCAAAATATTATCATTTCAACAAGTAATCCCTGTAAAAAATATTTTTTTTCATATTAAGACTTTGAAATCCAATATGTATTTTGCATTTATGACTCATCTGAATTCAGACTAGCCATATTCCAGAATGCTCTATAGCCACATGTGGCTGGTGGCTAACATTTGGGACAGGGCAAGCCTAGAGCACCTCTGAAAGCAAGGATCACTTCTAGCCCCCATTCTCTTTACTCCTTGGTTTCTGAGCCTTTTTTCCAGACACAGGGAGTGCAAGTGTGAATCCTCCCAAACAGTGCAGCCCTCAGGGAATCAGAGAACCTAGAGCAGATGCCAGGTTATCTCTTTAGCCCAGGAGTAAATCTTCCCTGATGAGAAGGAAATTGGGCCACAAGATGTTTAAAACAGGCCATCTCCTTTCCCCGGAACAAAGAGCACCAGACAACTTCCTACCACTAGGGGGCACTGGGGACCACGTCATCTTCAGACTTGGATTCTGACCACAGCCGGCTTCAGCACCTTCTCTCTCTCACACTGCTCCTCACCCCTTGCCATGCTGTGGTGGTCCTCCCAGGGGTCAGCAAAGCAGGACCTGTCCCCTTTTAAAAGGAAACGAAGGCTGCTGCTTGTCATGAGGCTCTCGTGATGCCTGTTTGCCTGCAGGTTGTGAATGGATTTGGGAAGATGATTGAGCTCTTTAAAGACAAAGTTCTTTGGGAGAATGAGATCATGATGGTGTACCTAATCTGAGAGCTCATACTTGATTTTCCTAATGCCTTTGGTTTAAATGGGCCTGTGGTTCAGAAGGAATGGTGACACCACTTACTAAAAGTGCTCATTAAGGACACAGAGGCAGGAAATCCAATCTGAGATGCGGCTTCTGCAGGCAGGGGCTGAGTGGTGGGAGAGAGGAAGCATATGGTGGACTGTTACCATTCTATTCAGAATGGAGGTTCAGAATGGAGGTGTCACTTGGGGCGGTCAAAAGAGGCCTATTTCACAATAGCTGGGTTGGTACTGATGAGCTGATCTAAATAGCCAGGAATTTCCCTGGAATACCCTGACCAACAAGCCATTCCACTGCCCTCACTGTACTAACGGAGAAATGGCGGCTAAGGTGGTAAAAGGTGATGGATGGTAACTCCAGGGAAGGTCTGGAATCAGAACTCAGAGGCTCATCACACTTTCACCTGAGTCACTCGTCCACTTCCCAAACTCTTCTGACTCAGGATGATATGATCAGCCACATCCTTACCACAATGACAAGAGTCACTGGTGAGTGTGGGGCTACCATCCTGTCCACTGCCCTCTGTCACCTCCTCCACCCTACAGAGCACTCCTTCCTCTCCCTCTTGCTCCACCTATCCCAGTCACTCTGGGGCTATTGATGCTGCCCCAGCTTTATCCATCCTCCCACTTTCATCCATCCTCCCCCTGTCCTTACTCCTCACCTGGACAATTGCCACAGGCTCCCAATGAGCTTTTTTTGCTTCTTACTCTTTCTCTAGCCTATCCTTCTCATTGCAGGTTCAGGCTTTGGAGTCAAGCTTGGAGATTGGGGCTCGACCTGCAGTTCCTTGAATTATTAGTGTAAATGTCGCCGTGAACAAGATACTTAATTTTGCTAAGCCTTGGCTTTCTCATCTGCAAAATGGGATAAGAAGTCCTGTCTCATGGAGCCAGTATGAGGACTGAATGAAAAAAAATAAGACACTATAACTCTGTAAGAGACGGCAAGCTCCTCAATACAGACAGTTTGATCATGGTGCTGTTCAAAAACCTTTCATTAGGCTCCACTGCCCCTGAATTAAACCCAAGCTCCATAGCACTGAGGCCACTGCCACCTGACCCTAGCCTGGCAGCCAGGTTTACTTCCCTTCATAACTTCCCGCCACCTTTTCCTTTCTCTCCCTTCCCCCATTTTCCAGCCAACCTAAGTACCCCAGTCATCTCTACATTCCCAATTCCAACACAATGATGGGCAGGTAACAAGCACTGAGCAAATTTTCTTTCCTTCTGTGGTCACGAATGCCCATCTCTACCACACATATACATTTAACCTCTGCCCACCCATGTGTCAAAGTCCAGCACAAAAGAAGCTTCCTCCGTGAAGCCTTCCTTGATGTTCCTAGATGGAATTCAGCAGTCCTTCCTCTGTGCTTCTATTTTGATAACGCTAGACACACACTGTCCTATAGCATAGTTGAGTACAGATCCTATCTCTCCATCACCATGCAAGTTCTGAGGGTAGGGGCCTCACTCAGGGCACCTGGTACAGTGCCTAACATATAATAATGTTTAATACATGCTTGCTGAGTCAAATTCCTCAGCTTTACTTAAATATTAGCATATCTCTCATATTAAATCCCTCAGAAATGTCAATGAATATAAACGGAAGCCATTATTTGAAGTATCATTAATTTATTATAAGGTTAAATAAGCATCTTTAAAGAAGATGGAATTCTACAAGAACAGGAAGGGAAATCTTACAATTAAGTCAAATTGATAGTAAATATAATTATTTGACCAGCTTCCATTAAGGAAGTCCCCAGTGCAGAAAGCTGCTCTGGGGAGTCAAGTCAGGCATGCTGCTCATGGTAAAGTCATACACTGCGTTCATGCATTCAGAATCATCTCATTTCTTTTTTTTTTTTTTTTTTTTGAGACAGGGTTTCACTCTGTCGCCCAGGCTAAAGTGCAGTAGCATGAACACAGCTTACTGTAGCCTCAGTCTCCAGGGCTCAAGTGATCCTCCTGCCTCAGCCTCCAGAGTAGCTGGGATCACAGGCATGTGCCACCATGCCCAGCTAAATTTTACATGTTTTGTAAAGACGGGTTCTTACCATGTTTCCCAGGCTGGTCTCAAACTCCTGGGCTCAAGCAATCCTCCCACTTCGGTCTCCCAAAGTGCTGGGATTACAGGCTTGAGCCACCACACCCAGCCTCTTTTTTTCTTTCTCTTTTTTTTTTGAGACAGAGTCTTGCTCTGTTGCCCAGGCTAGAGTGTAGTGGTGCGATCTCAGCTCACTGCAACCTCCACCTCCTGGGTTCAAGCAGTTCTCCTGCCTCAGCCTCCCAAGTAGCTGGGATTACAGGCGCATGCCACCATGCCCAGCTAACTGTTTTGTATTTTTAGTAGAGACGGGGTTTCACCATGTGGGCCAGGCTGGTTTCCAACTCCTGACCTCAAGTGATCTGCCCGCTCAGCCTCCCAAAGTGCTGGGATTACAGGTGTGAGCCACCATGCCCGGGCTTCTTTTTAAAATAATAAACCTGAATTATGAATTGTTCCACCTGGAACTTCCTAATCTTTATGTAAACAATAACTACTATGGGCAATAAGCCAATTTCTTTTGGAAGGCTACATAACATAGGGGTAAGCCACAGTCTAAAGCTAGTCCCCAGCAAAAGGTGGAGAGAAGTGGGTCCAAAACCAGCTATGTGATTTTGGATTAGTCACTTAACTCCTCTGAACCTCAGTTTTCTTGTCTGTAAAATGGAGCTAACAGTATTTATCTCATACATTACTAAGAGAATTAAACACAAAATCCATGTAAAGTGCTTGGTGTAGTGCATGGCACAAAACATGCAGTCAATGGCAGTTATTGTAAATGGCTCTTTGTCAAGGTTCAAATACTTTCATGGAACTCCTGAAGTCTTCAGAGGGGCCTCACAGGTCACGTAGGCCAACAATCTCACTTTAAAAATGAAGACCCTGAGGTCTGGGGAGAGTCCCACAGGCTTCAGATCTATATCAGGTGCCTCTCAAGCCCACAGGAACCTCCCTGAGGCCCAGGAATCACCTCTCCTACATGTCTGTATCCCTGATGGCACCAAGCATGGCGCCATGTTCTTACTGTATGTCAGCGGGAACAGTATCACTATGTGTGACAGGTACACACAGCCTTCTCATGATCAGGGCTTGGGTCCTCGCAGTCTGGGCATGGGTACTTTCAGAGCATATTGCCAGATTAAACCACTGAGCTCCCACACCAATAACATCAGAGCTGCCTAGCTAGGGTGCCCCTGTAGAGCCAGCTCTGCTCTCAGGGTGTCAGTGTGACGGTGGTGATATCGGTTGTCACTTAAGGATACCCACTTGTGCCAGGCCACAATGTTAAGACCTTACATGCCCCAACTCATCAGGTCTTCAAAACAGCCTTAGGAGTGAGGTACTATTATTATCCCCATTTGACAGATAAAGAAACTAAGCTTAGAGTTCTGAGCCCATCACAGGTTTTATTTATTTAGTTATTTATTTGAGACAGGGTCTCACTCTGTTGCCCAGGCTGGAGTGCAGTGGCACAATCATGGCTCACTGCAGCCTTGACCTGTGCTCAAGCGACCCTCCCACCTCAGCCTCCTGAGTAGCTGGGACTACAGGTGCACACCACTATACCCAGCTAATTAAAAAAATTTTTTTTTTGTAGAGACAGTCTTGCCATGTCACTCAAGCTGGCCACCACAGAGTTTAATAAACACTTGGCAGACTCTTTTCTTTACCTTCTCTCTTTGCTTATACTAATGGTTCAAATGTTCCTTCCCAAAATACTGCTGGGGCACAGGGACAGGCCCAGTATGAAAATCTGCCAGGCTTGGTACAGGTGGGCACCAGGAGACACTAAGGGGAAGAAGAACTCTTCTGCACTCTCGGACCTGCTCTGGGGGCAGGGGGCAGAAGCTCTAGGCAAGAGAAGCGATCCTGAGTCCTAACCATCTAAGCCTGTAGATGAGGCACAGTGGTATCCAAAACGTCCTGTTGGTTTAGGTTATAGGTAAAATCTAGCTGAGCAGAATGGAGAACTCTGACCTCACAAATGAGAACATATCTGGCTTTGATACATAGGATCTAGTTTTTCTCGAAAAGTTGTATAACAGGATTCTGTGAATTCTGAGACTTAAGTCTCACATATTTTACTACTTTTTCAAGTATCACAAGAGGAATAAGGAGAAATCCAGCATGTGCCTTACCACAACTGAGTGCATTACATCCGGCAAGCAAACAAGCATGGAGAGAAGGGAAAGTGCCCAGAATGGAGGAGCTCATGAAGTGTCTTAGCAGAGACAACGTGGCAATATCATCACGTGTGCAGCTCTGGTGGCATGGGCAGCAGCACTGACCCCAGAAGAGCCAGAAAATGAAAGTCCAATGGCCTGAGTGTGAAGGAATTGAGTAGAAAAGATTATGCGCCACTCCACACATCAGCTGTAGAATCCACAGTGCTCTAGATGGAAAAGTGTATCACCTGAAAGACTAGCCTGACACTCAGAAGGAGACCACGTGAGGCCGGGCGTGGTGGCTCATAATCCCAGCACTTTGGGAGGCTGAGGTGGGAGGACTGCTTAAACTCAGGAGTTCAACACTAGCCTGGACAACATAGTGAGACCCTGTCTCTACAAAAAAAAATTTTTTAATTAGCTGGGCATGGTGGCATGTACCTGTAGTCCCAGCTACTTGGGAGACTGAGGCAGGAGGATCACTTGAGCCCAGGAGGTCAAGGCTGTAGTGAGCTATGATCACGCCACTATGGGAAACAGAATGAGACACTGTCTCAAGGAGAAAAAAAAAAAAAGACCATTTTGGGTTCATCCCTACTTTCTCAGAACTCTCAACTGTGTGCTAGAAGTCAACTGAGGAAGAAAACCAAAACCACAGCAGAATAGAGAGAGTGGAACACAATGGTGGAGCCTGTGCTCTGCTGGCATGTGAGCCCCTCCAGGCTGCTGTCCTCACTCTGACCCTCACCTAGGACAGGTATTTATTCACTAAGCCTTAGTTTCTCAACCCTAAAATAGAAACAGACAGTGTCAGCCTTTCAGGGTTGTTGTTAAGCATTAAATAAGGCAGGTAAAGCATTCAGCATAGGGTCTAGCACAGTGGTTGTCAACTGGGGGCAATTTTGTCCCCCAGGGGACATTTGGCAACGTCTGGAGACATTTTGGGGTGCTCCACTGAGGGGTGGTTGCTACTGGCATCTAGTGGTTTGAGGTCAGAGATGCTGCTAAACATCCTACAATGCACAGGACAGCCCCTACAACAAAGAATTGAGCAGCCCAAAATGTCCACAGTGCAAAGATTTAGAAACCCTGGCCTGGCATAGAGCAAGCACTCCATAAATATGAGCTATAAAATTCTATTTATGATTATAACAATAAACCAGTTGCAGTTTCTTTCTCTCAAGGATAAGCAGCACCTATGATTAAAATGATAAGAGATAAAAATGTATTACTTACTCCATTTCTTGTAATATTGGGTAACAGATCTGTTATTCTGGAGACAGGAAGAGTTTGAAGCTTGGTTGATTCTGGGGAACCCAGTAACTTTGTGAAATAAATAACATAGCAGAGCACCAGAACTGTGGTATAGAAAAGCTGAGAAAAAAAATAAACTGTTTTAATAAAGGCATAATTAAGATATGCCTATAAATTTGATCTCAAAGGCCAGTCAAGTAATAGAACTCTCTTGATTAACTGCACTTTCTATTCAGCAATGCCTTACCCTCTGGGAAATGGCACTAGTCACTTAGACCCAACTCCACTGCAGCATCTACCTGCAAAGTGTTCCCAACACTTCACTTAACTGGAAGAACATAATTCTTCTCGGCAGGCAGAATGTAATTTCCATAACAGATGTACACTAGCTCAATTACCACAGCCATGTCTGATACATTCTCAAAAGGTGTGTATTTGGCCAAAGGAACGGCTCTTCCACCTAGTCAGCACCCTGCAAAGATCTATGTATCCTAACTGTGTTAATATCCAAGGACTTGCCGTCATCAAGGACTGTGGGTTTTCTATAAACCCCGGAAACCTGTGCCATTAATGATTACAAAGCACAATTGAGCTGCTGGCTCTCTCCTCTTCGCCAGGGCAAGAGCTACTACAGATAGGGGAAGAAAGGGTAGGGTGATAAGAGGGCCCACCCCTCCCTCCACCCATCCAGGACAAAAGAATGGCTTCTGGCCAGGAGCAGCCAGATGGGTTTTGTCTGCAGATTGAGGAGGAAAGTCCAAAAAAGCCCCTTTTCACAAGCTCCCTTCGACCCTCTTTCCCTCCTGAGAACAGCAGTGCACACTGGTTCAAGAAAGACTGGCACCTCTAGACTTGCTTTCAACCTGGCAATATCAAGGCTGCTCCTGTAGTAAAGGCACAGGGCAAGGAAAAAGAAGAGTCTCACTTTAGTAGGTGTGGGCCCCTCTGCTCTCCACTCCCAACCATGCCTGAGACAAAGCCCATCATCCACCAGCCTTCTTTCTTCATGCTCCAAGCCCTTAAAGCTCCAGCGGCACTGCTGTGAGCCACCCACCTGATGCCAGTGTCCTCTGTGAGAAGTACCCTTTACATAAATCATTACTAAGAATCTTAATTTATCTTCCTAAACATTAATGAAAACTACAACTGCTTTGCACTGTAAAATGTTCTGGTAACTATCTGATCTTAAATTTCATTTTTAAAAATAGCACTTGTACTCTAGTTGTATTTTTATTAGAACCAGAAATATGAACTAGAACTAGGAAACAATGAGATGGAAATGAAGCCTAAATTGCTAAAACTGAACACATACCTACTCTGACTTGATTCATGCCCTCTGAATTATGTGAGATTTCAAACTAAGTTTAAAACAGGCTTGGCAGAGTTTCCACCTATTCTGCAAAAAAAAGATGGAAATCCAGGGAAAATAATACATATACAATTTGATTCCCACCCCACCCCCCACTGATTTTTTTCTCCTTTACAAGACTATCAGATGACCAAAGATCAGTTTGAAACAGGCTTGCCCACTGAATGTCTAAAAGGGGTTTTTGATGTTTGACAATGAAGTCCAGTGTGTGGCCCTCACCAGGTCCCTAGAAACACCTACGGTCTCAGTGTATGGAACACAATGGACCTGGCAGCTAGAGAAGCAGTGCTAAGGCCACCCTTCTGGTGCTTCCACCTCCTGCACAGGCATGGGTACTGTGAATGCAGACCACACGGCGGTGGGAACAAGAAGAAAAACCAGTTGGAGAAACAAAGATCATATAAAAAGTTAAAAGCCATGATTCTTACCTGGGCCAAAGAGAAAATGTACAATCCCCAGTGAGGCAACCACAGCACGAGAAAAGCTGTCAGAACGCTCTTAAGAATTACCGACAGGCTCTCTGCAATCACCTGCAAACATGTGGTTAAGGTGCAGTTTACAAACATCATCAAAAAGTCAAGATGTAATGGAATGATAGACAGAAAATCTAGGGCAGTGGTCACCCTGGCTGTGGGGGCAGGGCACACAGCTGGACATAAGTATCAGTAACGTTTTACTTCTTGGGTAGGGTGGTGGGTTCATGGATCTTTCAGTATATTATGCTTTAAGATTTACATTAAATATATATTCTTTTGTAATCTATTATAAAAGATGAAGAGAGAAAAGTTAATGTTAGTATACAACTAAATATAACCACTAGAAAAATCTGAAAAACCTTTACGGTCCTTCTAAATTCTGACTTGAACTAATAAATTATTAGCAAATCTGTTTTTTATTTATGGTGAAACAGAGGTGAACTTTAGCCTAGCCCATCTGACAAATTTCAAGTGTAAGAACTTAACTGACCATGTTATCTTTTTCTAAATACATTTTTAGGTGCAAGTCTGGAAAAATCATTCATTCTCTCCTATAAAAGCATTTTTAAAAAACAACGCTTTTTCTTATTCTTCCCATTTCCCATTCACAGCAGAAGGTGCACTGACCTTGAGCTTCACAAACATATGTGCTTGTGCCAAGACCCAAAAGGGCTCTCCTAGAAGCTCCACCACTGCCGAGAGACCAAACAGCACCACTCCAGTTGCATAGTGAGGGACAACATTAGGATCAGGCACTTCAAGCAGCTGCAACCAGATCCAGCCCAGGAATAAGGACCAAAACACACCCAGGGGGACTCTAGAAGAGGAGAAAAAAATAATTCACTAAATTTTAAAATAAATATAAATATATATTAAAATAGTAACACTGAACAGAAAAAAATAGTTATAATACAAACAGCTACCATTTATTTATAAGATACTAACTACATGCCAGGCACTATGATTCACGCCGCTTATCTCACTGACACCTCACAATGATCCTCTGTCATTATCTCCATTAAAAAAATGAAACTGAGGCTGACAGGCACTGGGCAATTTGGCCAAGGTCATGAACAGCTAATCAAGGGCAGAAGCAAGACCCAATCCTGCAATAACTCCAAAGCCTAAACTTCTATCCACTGGGTTACACATACTGACCCCATAAGCAAAATTCCCAGAAAGAAAATGCCTGTTGTTAGAATGACTGACAGACTGTATACAGCTGTTCCTTGCATCCCAAATAACCAACAGAGCAGTGCTCAGTATCCTTTCGCATGTTTCACATGTGTACCATGGGGCACTTAAATATGACTGGGTGGTTAACAGTTGTTCCTCTAATAAAATGAACACCTACCAGCCCTCATGACAGTCATTTCTGTGAGGCAATAAGGAGTTATGCAAGGGCAGCACTGGGAAATAACCTCAAACCCCAGCCCTCCCTGTGGGGACCTAGCTGGAGAAAAGCCATTGCAATTTTAAGCTAATGTATTTGATCTTCAAGAATATCCTAAAAGACTCAGAACTGAAGTCACATAACAAAACTGAAGAAAAATGTAATAAAACCCATAAAAGGCTTTCAAGAAATACTAAATCTAAGTGGCTGTTAAAAGCTCAAAAGATATTATAGAGCAAAAAGATTAGGAATAAAAAAGATGGCACAGGCCAAGTGGAGCCCACAGTGGTGGTCAGAAACAGCAAGAAACCACCTCCAAAGAGGATGAAACCAGGGCTAGAAACCTGGCCCAGAAACCCCAACCCAGAACCTCTTCCTGGCTCCTGGATATCCAGAGAGAAAATGAGCCAAGAAGTTCCTTTGACACAAACACTGTCCCCGTCTTGTTGTATGCCTGCTCCCAGAAACCCATGACGAAACTGAATCTGGGGGCAATTCAGCTTTAGGCACGTGTTACTGTTTCATTTCCAATGCTCACTACACCTGCCTTCCTGAAACGTGTCTCCTGCCAAAGCACAACTCACGTTAGCCACAGCAGGTTGAGGGTCTGGCTCCAGTCTCGCTGGGTGCCCCCACTGAGACATGCTCTGCGGAAGGCCTCTCTGGCCAGGAAGAGGGTGGTTGAGTAAAGCAGCGTTAGTCTGTAAATGAAAGGGAGAAATCAATAAGGTCTCAAGTTTTTTCATAGAGAGAACTTCTGGGATTTTTCCAGCAACAGGGAGGAGATAAAGTCTTGGTCATAAACCACTGGTGGTGATGTGGAAGGCAGTGGGCTCTTACAGGACCCCCTACCGGTCTGATCCATGAGAACTAATGAGTTAGGAACCAAATGAAAGACACCTGAGGGTGTGTGCCTACAGTTACGTGAAGGATAGAAACTGCTGCAGTGGCCTCAAAAGGCTTCAGCCTTCATGGCTACAGGCAGAGGTGTGGCCATGACCATAAGGAGGAGAAGAAGATAAGATTATAACCCCACCCTTCTTGGTCACACTGACACGAGTGACCGATGGCCCCTGTGAGAAAAGCTGAGCCTCTACCGAGTGGAGGCTCTGGCCAAAAGAATCTCAAGACAGGCAACAAGGCTGGCAACCATTACAGAGGCTGCTGCAACCCAGATCAGCAAGGCGTGCCTGGGTACCTCCCAGGTGGGCAGCACCTGGGTGAGCCTTCCTGCATCTTAGCGAGGAGTAGCTGAGATCTCCCCTCCTCAATAGACAGCCGTCTGGGTGAAGCCAGAGTAGGGACAGCCCAGGGTTAAGGTCTCTGGGGTTGTCCAAGGATTATCCTGCTACCCAGTGCCTCTGTGGAACACTGCAAATAAGGAGATGGAACCAAACCTTAAGCAGGGGAGCAGGGCAGGCCAGACAAGGGCTGTCAAAGCAGGACCTGCCAATCTCAGGAAGGCTGCCTGGGGAGAAAAATCTGAGCCCCTAGGAGGATTTGCCCCTCTTCCTTCCTGCTTTTAAAACAGTATTTCTTAGGGCCAAGTGCCTATATTTCTCAGGCTCATGCCTACAATCCCAGCACTTTGGGAGACTAAGATGGGAGGATCACTTGAGCCCAGGAGTTCGAGACCAGCCTGGGCAACACAGTAAGACCTCATCTCTACAAAAAATAAAAAAATTATTCAGGTGTGGCGGTGCACACCTGTAGGCCCAGCTGCTCAGGAGGCTCATACGGGAGCATCGCTTGAGCCCAAGAGGTCAAGGCTGCAGTGAGCCATGATGGCGCCACTGAACACCAGCCTGGGTGATAGGGCAAAAGCCTGTCGTCTCAAAAAAAGAAAAAGAAGAAGAAGGTGAAGAAGAGGAAAAGAAAACATATTTCTCAAAGAATGGTCCCTGTTTCAAAATCACCTAAGGAGCTTATAAAAATTCAGATTCCTGGGCCCCTGTTCAGCACTATGTAGTGCAAAACTCCACAGATGATTCCTTTGCTCAAAGCTTGAGTCCTGCCACTAAGCTCTGAGACCAGAGCCAAGAGTATATGTTTGGTAAGTATTAGACATGAAATGCTGTCTGGAACATATTGTCTTATTTATCAGGACATGAAGACACACCTGAGAAGCTGAGCTATTCTGAGCACTCACATCATTTCATATACTTTGTGTCATTTGTGAAGACAAAATATGCGTGGGTGTCCTTGAACAGAAAGGAGGCGAGTAGAAGAAACAAGCTGAGTCTAAAAGACAAAGAAGTCATCTTTCCAAGAGCCTCCAAGAAACTGATGACAAAGACTCAAGCTCGAATCCCAGTTGCCATATCCCAATTATAAAATCACTGAGGAGGGAAGGAAGGTGGCTGCTCCAGCCCTGCCATTATGAAGCGCATCCTCACAAACTACTGAATTTCTGTTTCCTTTGCTGTCAGCAGGACAAGAACATAGGATTATATCTGAGAGAGAGTTTTTAATGAATTACTCCCACTCTTCTCCTTCCTGACTTCCAAGAGCAGGAAAACCAGAACAGCTGGCAAAGAAATGTGCATTTGGAGGCTGCTAATGGAAAACACTCCATGAGTCCATTAAAAGCAACATCGCCTGCGCGTCCCTCCACTCCTGCACGCTTCTCCTCAGCCTACTGCTAAGACATTCTGCTTCTGATAAAGGTCCATGCTTCTAGAATCCAAGGATGACAAACAGGTACAGAGTTTGAAGAAAGCCTGGCTAGGAAGGTGAACTCTGACAGTGCCAGGGTGCATCTCCTCCTACCTTACATTTACTACGCCAACGATTTCCTTTGACAGGAAGCGAAGAATAAATGCATTCAAGACAAAGGTGATCAACCGAAACAACACCTATAGAAAAAGAGGAAAAATACGTAAGAATAAATGACGTTAGAAGTGTTTACTTAGCTGAAATGAGAACAATGTGGCTGTTCTTCCTAATGTGATGTAATGACATACAGCAGCTTTTTCATGGAGACTCTCCTCTAAGACGCCCAACCTGTCTGCATTTCTCCTGAAATTTCATTCCATGGGATCTCTCAGCACTCCCGTGCAGTAGTCAAAGAACCCAGGAAGGCACTTGGAAGGCTCCCTAATTTATTAATAACAACCAAGAGGCCCCAATAGACTCACTGAGTTTCTACAAAGTCAAGCCCTTGAGGAAGCAGAAAGAGAATTCTAGTTAGTGGTTCACCTTGCCGGGCCCTGGCCACACTCCCCCACCCCAGCCTGTTTAGAAATAGCATACGCTTAGCAAGTGGGAGCCTTAAGGGTATAGCAGACTCACCAGAAATCATGGGGACTAATTTCTCTTTTCTCCTCTGCCTCATAATATCTAGGAATTTCAATAATGACATTTATATCGTTCTGAACTTCAGTTTTCTCAATTAGAACATAGAAAATGTATTTCTTTATTGAATACTTGTCTCTTTCCAGGGAGAAGTTGAAATACCTTTTAAATGATGCTGCAAAAATAAGATAACGTAATGTAACATGGGGGGAAGGGAGAGAGTGTCCAATTATTGCCGCTTGAAAGGGACATTTCCTGAGACTTTCCAATCTGTCAATTCAAGAAAACCATCTAAGCAAAGAACTTCTCCCATGAGACACAGAGAACAAGAAGACTGTAATTAAACAGGGTTGCTAAATGGGGATGCTGGGAAGAGTGCAAACCTCATTCACTGAATGACTCCCTTCTGCATCCCAGCAGCAAATGAAAATCACTTCTGTGTCAAGCACCCTCAGAGTTATCTGTGAAGAGTTGCAATTTGGAAGATTTGATCTAAGCATATCAATGGACTACTGTGGTCTGAAAATCTCTGGGGACAGCTATGACCAAAAAGGGACATTGTGTAACACTGTACCTAAAGTATCACAGAGCAGCAAGGTCTCCAAAGCCAAGAAATCACCATCTTAACCGTTATGGAGTCAAAGGTGGTCTTTTGAGTCTGATGACAGCTCTGTAGCTGCTCCTTAGAAACATGCAGATATGGCTGGGCATGGTGGCTCATGCCTGTAATCCCAGCACTTTGGGAGGCCGAGGCGGGTGGATCAACTGAGGTCAGGAGTTCGAGACCTGCCTGACTAACATGGTGAAATGCCGTCTCTACTAAAAATACAATTCACCATTTAGCTCTTCTATCTGTTATCTTCTAATTGTTATAAGCCTCAATTTCCTCGGTCAAATGAGTTTACCTATCACATAGGGTTGATTAAAAGGATCAAAAGAGATTGTAGGGCTGGGTACAGTGGCTCATGCCTGTAATCCCAATACTTAGCTGGGCGCAGTGGCTCATGCCTGTAATCCCAGCACTTTGGAAGGCCGAGGCTGGCGGATCATGAGGTCAGGAGATCGAGACCATCCTGCCTCACACGGTGAAACCCCGCCTCTCCTAAAAATACAAAAAATTAGCTGGGTGTGGTGGCAGGTGCCTGTAAGTCCCAGCTACTCGGGAGGCTGAGGCAGGAGAATGGCGTGAAGCCTGGGCGACAGAGCTAGACTCCATCTTAAAAAAAAAAAAAAAAAGAAAAGAAAATCCCAACACTTTGGGAGGCTGAAAGGTAGGAGGATCACTTGAAGCCAGGAATTTGAGACCAGCCTGGGCAACACAGTGAGACCTCATCTCTACAAGAAATATTTTTAAAAGAAATGAGACTGTAGAAGTGAAAGCATTTTTTAAGTGCATACAAATGAAAGGCATTAATACTTTCAGCATAGGTGGCTTAGAATTAAGATAGAACAAGCTCTCAAATTCTTGCAGAATAAAATGTAACCACAAAGCTACCTGAAGTGTCTACAGTGTAATTCGAGAAAGCATACAAGAATGAAAACACTCAAGAAACCATATAAAAATATGGTTATTAAAAAAAAAATCCGAGCGCGGTAGCTCACACCTGTAATGCCAGCACTTCGGGAGGCTGAGGCAGGTGGATCACTTGAGGTCAGAAGTTCGAGACCAGCCTGTCCAACATGGTGAAACCCTGTCTCTACTAAAAATACAAAAATTAGCCAGGTGTGGTGGCAGGTACCTGTAATCCCAGCTACTTGGGAGGCTGAGGCCTGAGAATCTCTTGGGCCCGGGAGGCGGATGTTGCAGTGAGCCGAGATAGTGCCACTGCACTCCAGCCTGAGCAACAGAGTGAGACTCCATCTCGAAAACAAAAAACAAAACACCATGTGTACATACTTATGTTAACCTCAAAGTTACCACTGTCTAAGAAACTTAATGTTCCAGGCCATATCCATGTCTCCTAATTGGTTTGAATAAAGGTTGCAGCTAATGAAACTGAGGTTGCTTACGCCACCCAGTATTTGCCACACACTGCAGTCCTTATTAGCAACACAGCCTTCATTTACTTCTGCAAAGAACTTTACAGCTTTTGTTTTAAGACAGGGTCTCACTCTGTTGCTCAGGCTGGAGTGCAGTGGCATAATCACAGCTCACTGAGGCCTCAACCTCACAGACTCGAGATCATCCCACCTCAGCCTCCTGAGTAGCTGGGACTACAGGTGCATGCCACCACGCCCATCTAATTTTTGTATTTTTTGTAAAGACAAGGTTTCACCATGTTGCCCAGGCTGGTCTTCAACTCCTGAGCTCAAGCAATCCTCCTGCCTTGGCCTCCCAAAGTGCTGGGATGACAGGCATGAGCCACCGCGTCCAGCCAACTTTACAGTTTTAACAAAAAGGCTCTCTCACATCTGTTAAATTATTTGACACTAAAAACAACGAGGTAAATGCACAGGAAGCAAGACTGAGGGTTAAGTGATTTCCTCACTGTCACACGGCAAGTAAATGACCCAGCTTGACCTTACAGGTAAGCCACCTGACTCGTAGTCCAGTGTGTTTTCCGTTATAACTTGTTTTCGTTTTATGAAGCCTATCTGAGTAGTAAGATATTATCAAAGGCTGAAAAAAAACCAACATTGTGGATAAAACAATAAACTCAGTTATTTATGTAGTGAAACAGAAAAAAAAAATCCCTAGGTAAACTTAGAATGGCTAACATTTACTAAGCACATATCACGTGCAAGGCACTCTTCAACATGCTTTCCATAGGTTATCTCATTTCATTCCTACATTGACTATTTTAAAAATACTTATTACCCTAATAAAAATAGCTACATTTATTAAGTACTTGTAGTGTGCCAGGCACTTAAGAGGCATGATTTCATCTAATCTTCCTAATGACCCTGTGAGGTTGCACTATGATTCTCATTTAAGATGAAGAAACTGATACAGAAGTCATCGGATTTATCCCGAAGGCAGGCATCTAGCAAGTGACAAGGCCCAAACTCAAGCCCCATTCTGCTTGGTTCTTTCTTCTGCCCTCCATGTGCCTCTCTAAGATAAGGGGTAGGGTAGATTCGGGACTTGTGTGAAGTAGGGTTGATTGGCTCAAGAGTGAGACAGAGAGATACTGAGCCACTTGACTTAAGAGGTTCAGCTCCTGGGGTTGAAAGAATCTTCAGATACCATTTGGACTAACTGGCCTGTATCATACCTGACAGATGACAAAAATTAGGGCCAAGAAGGGAAGTGACTTGTCCAAGATCACATAAACAGAAGATGCAGCCAACATGTATTAAATGCATACTAAGAGCCGGGTACTGTGTTAAGTACGTTTATTTGAATGATCCCAATCAATCCCTGCTTATGAGCTAAGTACGACATATTATTACCCCCATTTTACTAGTGAGGAACTCAGGCTCTGCAGGTGAAGTCACTTGTCCTGGGTCACGGAGCAATCCAAGCCTAACTCCAGATTTCTCTTCTTAGCTATGCCATATGGACTCTCGGAACTCAGTGGGACTCAAAGTTTGAGGAAGGTGTTTGATGAAGGAAATGAACCCCTTGCCTGAAAAATATCAGATTCTCGAGCACGAAATACCAGTCCCTCACCCCCGCCACCTGATCTAATTCACTCCTACTGCCATATGGGAAATAGAATGCTCAGAAGGAAAGCGGCTTGTCTGCAGTCACCCGGCCTAGACTCTAAAGGCAGGCTCCTATCTCCGGGCCAGGGTCCCCCCTCATCAATGCCACCGTCTCCGGTCGACCCCCCCACCCCCTCCATTGCGGGGTCCACCTCGGGACTGGGTCGGCCCTGGGGCAGGCTCTCAAGGGCCCAAGGGCTGCCATCCCGCGAATCCCGGCTGCAGTACAAGCTGGAACCTGAAGGGCAGAGAGTACCTGCAGGAGGAGACCGGAGGAGGCCAGCCGGGCCGCGTGGCCCAGCACCTCCTGGCTGCCCATAGCCTCCGCGCCAGGCTCAGACACCAGGAAATGCCGCCGCCACTCCGTTTAGTCGCGATAAGATGGCGTCACGGCGCGCCTCGCTGTCTGATTGATGGCCTTGAGAGAGGGGGGCGGGGCACGAGAAGTTCTGGTCCTTTAAGTGGGCCTGTCTCGGGCCGTCTGTTATGGCGCCTGGCTCTTTCTATTTCGGTAGGTTTTGCGCTGTCTGTCGCTTGTGCGCTGTCTGTCCCTCTCTTCCCCGTATAAACGAAATAGTGTGGCGAGTACTAAGAGATACCGTTAAAGAATCCAAAGTTCCTTCTCTGAGGCTTTCAGCCACCAACCAAGAAGCACTAACTTTCCTGGCCTCATCTGCCAAAAGGGGAACAAACTTCTCACTGGCCCGTTAAGAAGATTCTCACCATTGACCTTTGCTTACAGAATCACAGCCACAGACCCTCTGAATTAGGCTGGACAGGAATTGTCCTCATTTAACAGAGAAAGAACTGAGGACCAGAAGTTAGATATAGCACTGTTATGTGTATGGTTTTGTGAAATCCTTCCGAAAGCTCTGAGAATTGGCCCCTGTGGTTAGAGATGAGTAAAGCCTTGGAGATGGGAAGTGACTTGTTCGAATCTACACAACTTGTTTCCTGACTAAGTGGATACCAGGCTCCTGATCCTAAACTTATCACTCTTGCCTGTATGCTAGAAATTGTGAGGGCAGAGTGGAAGAAGGACTGGAAGTGCTTTGTAAAAAAATGTAAAGCGCCCAACATACACAATCAGCTGCTGTTCTGTCAGTGTTCTTATTATCTACCAAGCAGGCTGTAGGAAGCCCAGTCTTTCCCCAATCTCTTTCAGTCCTCACATGATTTGGCCCCAACCTATCTTCTACTACCTTTCACACGATCATTGCCCTTCCCAACACTATCTAGGCCATAGCCATTCCGAGTCCTTACTGGTCCTCAAACAGGCGGTGACTCACTGGCCTTTGCTCCTCCACCCTCTTTGTCCAAAGTGTCTTCCCTGACAGCACCCCTTGCCCTCCTAGACCACACTGTCCTGACTTTCCTGGCCAACCACAGCTGGTACCTGCTGTGGACTAAATGTTTGTGTACCCTCAAAATTCATATGTTGAAGCCTAATCCCCAGTGTGATAGTATTAGGAGGTAAGGCCTTTGGGAAGTAATTAGGTCCTGAAAGTGGAGCCGTCATAATGGGATTCATGTCCTTATAAAAAGAGATGTCAGAAAAATGATCTCTGTGTTTACTATTTGAGGATACAGCAAGAATGTAGCTGTCTGCAACCACGAAGAAGGCTTTGTAAAATGTAAGGCGCCCAACATACACTTAACAGGAACCAAACTGGCTAGCACCTTGATCTTGGGCTTCCAGCCTCCAGAGCTGTGAGAGAAATTTCTGTTTTTGACTTACCCAGTCTATGGTATTTTGTTACAGCAGCCCAAGCAAATCAAGACAGTACCCCTAAAATACTCTGTACCCCTTTATAGTTCCTAATGCAATCTGCATTATAGCAGAAAGACTAGAATATGTGTCTCTATATAATCAGCCCATGAGCTCCAAGAGGGCAGAAGTGCAGCCTGCCTGGTTTTGCTTCCTGAAGTAGCGGTACAGAACATTCTTAGGGCTCCTATAAATGTCTCCTGACACATGACTGCTGCTACTGCTGCTGGAAACAGACTGTGGAACTCAAAGCCTATCACTCCCATCTTCCCAGGTGAAATGAGCTCTGTCTTAGTGTGGAGGCCCAGAATGTGAGCTTTTCTTTTTCTTTTCTTTTCTTTTCTTTTCTTTTCTTTTTTTTTTTTGAGACAGGGTCTCGCTCTGTCTCCCAGGCTAGGGTGCAGTGGTACAGTCTTGGTTCACTGCCGCTTCCACCTCCTGGCCTCAGGTAATCCTCCCACCTCAGCCTTCCGATTAGCTGGGACTACAGGCGTGCAGCACCAGACCTGGCTGATTTTTTCTGTGATTTTTGTAGAGATGGGTTTTTCCCACGTTGCTCAGGCTGGTCTCCAACTCCTGGACTCAAGTGATCCGCCCACCTCAGCTTCTCAAAGTGCCGAGATTACAGGCATGAGCCACCGCACTGCACCCTGCCCAAGAATGTGAGCTTTTGTCTGTCAGAGAGAACTGACCTTGAATCCTCATTCTGCCACTCACTGACTGGGTGACCTCAGTATGCTCAGCTACTAAATAGGGATATTATCTGTCCTGTAAAAATAGTCATAAGGATTGTTTCAGGCAAGTCTGGCCCTCAGAGAGCTTAAATTCTAGTGAAAGGGAAACTGAAAAAAACTCTAACAAACAAATAAAATTTCACATAGGGCTAAGTGCTACGAAAGAATGAAACCAGGTAAGATCCTAGAGGCTTTGGAAGAGAGAGAGGGGTGCTGTTTTAGGATGAGTGAGTTGGGCACCCACCTGGGGAGGAGTGTACTTGGAGAATAGAGAAAGTGCTGGAGGGTCCAGGTATTTGGCATAATGGCTGAGATGCTAAAGACCTTGACCTGGGCAGCCTTCCCACCCCCCTGGACTGTGGGCCAGCAGGTGAGACAGCCTCCCACTTCCTTTATTCCCAGCCAAGCAGTCTCCTCCTCTACAGCTCATCCCCAGAGTAGAACCAGCCAAGAGTTCATCATGTGCACACACTCCTAAGCCTGGCATCCATGTAAGCTGCTTTGGGAGGGAAGAAGTGATCATTTTGCTAGGAGCAAAGAAGTCAAAGGGGAAATGCTCCAAGCTAAGTCTAAAGGGCAAAGCATTCTAGGACCCCAAGGTATGGACTCTGTGGGGCTCCTGGGTGAGGAATCCAGGGACTTTTTCTCTTATTCTGGAAGTTAACACTTGGCAAGGAGGGACTGAGCAGAGCCCAGAGCCGTGCTGGGTTCTGGGGTGGGTGGGGAAAAAGGAACTGTGAGGAGAATCCACAAACATTGACCACTGACTCCATGTCAGGCACCTGTCTGAGCACTCTACATGCGTGTACTCCATCCTGTCAATAACCTATGAGAGAGGGACTGCAGATCAGGAAACTGAAGCACAGGGATGTGACGTAACTCATCCAAGGTCATTCAGCAAAGGAATGGTCAAGGAGGTATTTGAACTCGGGTCCCTTCTGATTCCAAATGCGTGAACAGTAATGTTCCTCCCTTCAAAAAAAGCTTCTGATTGTAAAGGAGACCTAAGAGTCCCTATATGTAAGCCACAGAGAACATATGTGGCATTGAGAGAGTGGAGTCTGGGAGGGCTGCAGCAGTCGAGCTGTGGTAGGCTTGGAGGCATTCCCTCTCCCCAGTGAGGATCTCTGAAGGTCTTGACCCTGTTGGAGATACTGGCCTGCACGCTCCACTGGGAGTTGCATACTCCATGGTCTTGCCCATGGAGGACTCAGCTCAGGGCTGGCAAGTAATGGCCCACTGGACGTTGCATTTTGTATGGCCTACAAGCTAAGAATAGTTTTTACATTTGTAAATGGTTGGAAAAAAATCAAAAGAATATTTCATGACACATGAAAATGGTATAAAATTCAAATTTCAGTGTCCACCAGGTACAGTGGCTCACGGCTGTTATCCCAGCACTTTGGGAGGCCAAGGTGAGTGGATTGCTTGAGGTCAGGAGCTCAAGACCAGCTTGGGCAACATGGTGAAACTCCATCTCTACAAAAAAATACAAAAATTAGCCAGGCATGGTGGTGCGTGCCTGTAGACCCAACTACTGAGGAGGCTGAGGTGGGAGGATCATTTGAGTTTGGAGAGATCAAGGCTGCAGTGAGCTATGATCATGCCACTGCACTCCAGCCTGGGCAACAGGGTGAGACTCTTGTCTCAAAAAAAAAAAAAAAATTCAGTGTCCACAAATAATGTTTCATTGGAACATAGCACACGTACCCGTTTGTTTACATATTATCAATAGCTACTTTCTTGCTACAACAGCAGAATAGGTTGGTCCACAAAGCTGAAAATATTTGCTAGATGGCCCTTTACAGAAAAACTTTGCCAATTCCTGGTGATCACCATTGAGCACCTGGGATATAGTAAACATTTCAATATTGAATGAATGAATGCATGTGTAAGTGCATTGGAATAAATGAATGATGAAGGACTAGGAAAGGAAGAAAGACAAGTACATAGGGCTCTTGTACTCTTGGTCCTCTTGGAGAGGAAGTGGCCCCTTGAGAATACCAGGCTGTAACTGGTGGTCATTGAAGGAGCCGTTTTCCCCAGCCTTCCTCCCCGCCTCCTGCGTCTGTGCCAGGTAGCCTCCCTGCCAGGGAAATCTGACCCAAGCCACCTATTTTATTACAAAGCTGGAGGGAAGTGCCAGAGCTGGTGCCAAGCCAATTAGGCTCCTAGGGCAGAGGAGCAGGGAGGGAGGCTGCTAGTGGGCCAGGAGACAGGGTGGAACCTCTGGCCAGCTGGGCCATGGATCTCAGCTAGGTGGAGGCAGGAGAACTGGGCATGGTCCCACACACCAGCCACTAGGTGGCAGATCGTCCTGGGTGAGGGCGCTGCCTGGCCAAGGCTTCTGCGTCCCAGAGCACCTCCATCAGGGCCCCTTCCAGAAGCAGGACCTCAAGGCTCTGCCTCTCTCAAGGCTCTGCCTCTCTCAAAAGTCCCAGGGCATGATAATGCAGCTGTGATACTAGTCGTCCACATCTGTCTAAGTAAGCACTGTGCTGGACACCTCACTTTCATGATCTCATTTAATTCCCATAGCAGCCCTACAATGTAGGCACCATTATTATCCCCATTTTACAGGCCAAGAAACTGAGGCTTGACAAAGTTAAGGGACTTGCCTAAGTACTAGTGAATGGTAGTGCCAAAATTTGAACTGGGCAGTGTGGCTTTCAGTCCCTTAACCAGACCTAACCCAGAGGGTTTATTGTTAATGCTGATTCCTGGGCTCCACCTCAGCAATTCTGGGGTAGGCTCAGGAATCTGCATTTACCAACACTCTGGGGGCTTCTTCTTTTTCTTTGTTTTCTCCTTCTCCTTCTTCCTTTTTTTTTTTTAAGACAGAGTTTCGCTCTTGTTGCCCAGGCTGGAGTGCAATGGTGTGATCTCAGCTCACTGCAACCTCCGCCTCCCAGGTTCAAGTGATTCTCCTGCCTCAGCCTCCCAAGTAGCTGGGATTACAGGTGCGCGCCACCACCCCCAGATAATTTTGTATTTTTGGTAGAGACAGGTTTTCACCATGTTGGTCAGGCTGGTGGTCTTGAATTCTGACCCCAAGTGACCCACCTGCCTTGGCCTCCCAAAGTGCCGGGATTACAGGCATGAGCCACTGTGCCTGGCCAGCCACCATGCCCAGCCTCTGGGGGCTTCTGATACAATGATCTAGGCTCTCAGAAGCACTGCCTGAGGTGGGATCTTCAGGCACCTTGGAAAAGCTGCCTCCTTCAGTGAGCTAGAAAAGTCTCTCTGCCTCAAAAAGCAAAGCAAGTTCTGAGATCTGCCTCCAGGCTAGACAAGCCTTAGCGTTGGGCCCAGGGCCAGAGGTCAGAGCAGTAGGGGCTGGAGGCCGTGCCTACGTGAGGGCCTTGGGAGAATTCGGTGCCAGGAAGACTACACAGGGCAGCCAGCCCCTGGGACCCAGGGTCTGCCCATGGGTTGCAATGAGCAATCATGGGGCCTTGGCTTTGCCTTCTCCTCTGGGCATTGATTTGGGCACAGGGAAAACAGTAACCTGCAAAGCTCACACATCAGTATGTTTCATTCCATTCAGCACTCTGCGCTGGGCGTCAGAAGGGGGCACACGGGCGAATAAGCCACAGTCACTGCTCACTCAGGCAGCAGTGCTTTCTCCTTTTGAGGGGAACACAAGAGTGATACCAGGTATGTTGAGGTGGTAAAAACTGGCAAGGGGAACTCAGGAGTCAGGGGGCAGATTTTTTGGCTGGGGAATCAGGGAAGCTTTCCTGGAGGGGATGCTTTTGAAGTGAATCTTGAAGGGCAAAAGGGCTTAGTCAAAAAGAGGGACATGCCAGGCTGAGAACACAGTAACGATGAAGGCTCACAGGTGGGAACTTGCCGAGCCTGTTGGAGGACCCAGGAGTTGGCTGTGGCTGCTCCGGAGTGCAGAGGTTCTTCCACTCACCAGTCAGTGGCCAGTGCTGAGCTGGTGGTCCTGAGAGGAGCAGGCTCATGGGTGTGGATGTGTATATGTGAATGAATACAAATTCAGGTGCATATGTTCACGCGCATGGGGGAAAGTGAGTGTGCATTTGCATGTGTGTACAGGCCCATTCGCCAGTCTGCTTTCAGATAGACAACGTCCATGTGTGGGTGCATGTCTACCTGCATATGAATGGACATGCTTGTGAGTTTACCTGCAAGCGTGGATGTGAAAGCGGGAATGCAAGGTCATGTGCAGCACATGTAGTGTGGGGGGTGGGTATGAAGGTGTGCATGGCTGCAAGTACACAAATATGTGTGCTGGTTTAGGGTCAGCCTTCAGGCTCTCTGATTCTGGGTCTGTGGGCCGCATAATGGTAATCATGGTTGATATTGTAAAATCTTTTCCCCTGAGTCAGGCCTCCACCTTCCATGCATCACTCCAATTAATCTCATTGATCTTATGAGGTGGGATTACAGTAATATACTGTTGGCCCTCAGAGGCCCTCTTTACCATTTTCTACAAGCTGCTCCTCAGCAATTGAAAAACTTCTGGTGAGGAAGTGCCCCTGGCATACTCAGGGCTGGCCTGGATCAGGGGTTTTCATGCACTGGGTGGGAACGGACATTCCCTGGGGCCTGGATCTTGGGACCCAGAGCTACACACATAGAAAGGTCACACAGAGGTGAAACAAGGTAGCCCTTATTTATCCAAACACCCAAAGAATTTGGGCCAGAGCCAGCTGAGGCCCCCAGCATGAGCAACTGTTTTGTTTCTTGCCCCTTAAAACAACAGCCCAGCTTGGAGATTTGTCCCAGATTCTCCTGGGCCAGTTTCTCAAAAGCTACTCACAAGCACCTGCTCCTGAAGAGGGCTGGAGTCCCAGCCTGGAGACCTGCATATTGCTGGGAACCAGGATGTCCCTCCCTGAGCCCTGAGCACCTGTCAGATGCAGCAGCACCACCAGCTTTCCTCTTGTATTGAGGATGTGGGTTGCCATGTAAAAAACAAAACAAAACAAAAAAAACAACGGCTGGCTGAGTGGCTCATGCCTGTAATCCCAACACTGGGAGGCCAAGGTGGGCAGATCGCTTGAGCTCACGAGTTTGAGACCAGCCTGGGCAACATGGGGAAACCTCATCTCTACAAAAAATACAAAAATTAGCCAAGCGTGGTGGTGTGCACCTGTAGTCCCAGGTACTTAGGGGGCTGGGGTGGGAGGATGGCTTGAGCCCGGGAAGCAGAGATTACAGTGAGCCGAGATGGTGCCACTGCATTCCAGCCTAGGCAACAGAGCCAGACCTTGTCTCAAAACAACAACCACCACCACAGGGTCACTCAGAACCATTTTCCCTACCATTTAGAGATGGACTAATCTAAGCTCAAATGCCCTTGGGCAAGTCACTTCACCTCTCTGAGCTTCCACTTCCTCATCTGTAAAAATAAGGATAATAATAATACTCACCACATGGGTTGTGGTGAGAAATGAATGAGATAATGCATGTGGAGGCATCCACACCATTGGGCACATGGAATGAGTGTGCTTAACAAACAGGATCTGTTAGTGTCATTTTTATAGTATTTGCATCATCAGGGCTGACATCATTTCTCCGCGTGACCTTGGGAAAGCAGTTAATATTTCTGGACCTCCATCTCCATCCCCACAGAGATTCTTTTGACCTTCAATCCTTCCTTTCTCCCTTATTTCTTCCCTCCCTCCTCCTTCCTTCCTTCCTTTTCTTTTCTTTTTTTCTTTTCTTTCTTTCTTTCTCTTTTTCTTTCTTCTTTCTTTCGTTCACTTTTTAAAAATGGACAATTTAGTGAGTTTTAGTGTATTTACAGAGTTGTACGACTATTACTACTATCTAATTCCAGAACATTTTTCATCATCCCCAAAAGAAACCCCATACTCATTAGTAGTCACTCCCCAAACTCTCTTCTTTCCAACTTCTGGCAACCACTAATCTACTTTGTGTCTATTTGGATTTGCCTATTCTGGACATTTTATATAAAAAGCATCATACAGAATGGGGTTGTCTCCGTCTGGATTCTTTCACTTAGCATGCTTTTGAAGGTTATCTATGTAGAAGCATATATCAGTACTTCATTCCTTTCTTAAGGCTGTATAATATTCCACTGTATGGATATACTATATTTTGTTTTTCCATTCATCAGTTGATGGACATTTGGGTTGACTTTTATGAATAATGCTGCTGTGAACATTTGTATACAGGGTTTCGTGTGGACATGTGTTTTTAATTCTCTAGAAGTGGGATTGCTGGGTCTTGTGGTAACTATGTTAAACAGGCTGTTTTCCACAGTGGCTGTACCACTTTACATTCCCACTAGCAGTGTATAAGGGCTCCAATTTCTCCACGTCCTCACCAATACTTATTATTGTCCATCTTTTTGGTTATAGCCATCTTACTGGGTATGGAGTGGTATCTCATTGTGGTTTTGATTTGCATTTCCCTAATGACTAGTGTTATTGAACATCTTTTCATGAACTTATTGGATGTTTCTGTATCTTTTTTGGAGATATGCCTGTTTAAATCCTTAGCCCACTTTTTTATTCTTTTGATTTTAGCTAACATCTACTGAGCATCTCCTGTGTGCCAACATACAGGGGGACAGGAAGGGGCACACAAAGCCAGGGACTCGGCCTGGGGCATGAAGGCCTACCCTCCCCTGCTCTGCCTCCCAGGGTTGTCACATGGAAGCATGTGCGTAAAGGAAGGGACACTGGTCCTTAAGGGGAGGAGGTACGGCCTGAGACAAAGGCTTCAGGTTTCAGAGTCTCTATCTGTGCAATCCACCCTCCCAGAGGCCTGCCCTGCCATACCCAACACCAGTGTGATCAATACCTGGCAGCTAGAAGCTAAACACACATAGCAGCCACCCAGGCCACCAACAGAGCAGGCACCCACCTGGGTATGAACCCTTAGGAGTCCCAGTTTAAACCCACCACCCAGCCAAGGCCAGCCTCTTAGTCTCTGGTCACCTGCAGGCAACTCTGCAGGGTGAGTGCTAGAGACAGTGAGGCTGCTGTGGCCTGAGCAACAGGAAGACAGAAGGACCCTGTTCTGTCCCCACTGCTGTGTGCCTTATGCGTGTCCCTTGACCTCTTTGAGCCTTGGTTTTCTTATTTGTGAAATGAATAGCACAACCTCTTAAGGTAGTTATGAGGCTGCAATGACATCTTGCATGCAATGGAAATGTTCACTGAATAGAATGCATTATTTTTCTTGTCACGTAAAAACTGAGAGGGAAAAGATGATCTATAAAGGCTCTACTCTTTTATAGAAAAAAGCAGCAATAAGGAGCCAGGGGCACCCCCAGGTCAGATGGAAGAAGCAAAGAGGGAGGTCAGACTCCCTGAGACACAGTCACGTTTATGGGGAGCAGCTGCCCTGAACTCCAGGGTTACCCAAAAAGGACTTCAGAGGCAGTGGCCCTGGCTCGGGCTACCAGACCATCTTGGGAAGCCCTGCCACCTCTGTGGCTTTCTGGCCTCCATCCTGGCTTGGCCTCAGCCCTCCCAGCCCACACCACAGCAGCCAGGAGTCTTCTCACTGATCTGTCGAGCTCATGACTGAGAGGAAATATGTTTCCAGATAAGATGAAAATAGATCCTTCTCCAAATATGCTCATCATGGCTAAGAAAAATAAATAGAACCAAGAGGGAAAAGAAAGCAGGGAGCAGCCATCAGAGAAGGCCAGGCCTGGATAGCCTGGAATGGCAATCTGCCCATGAGTGGGGGTTGAGCTTGTGCAACAGAAGGGGGTACGTGAGTGTGCATGTGTGCATGTGTGTGTGTGTGATCAGTTGAGTTTGCATGACTACATGAGTGTGCAGGTGGGACAGCAAATGTAAGTATGTAGATGAATATGAGTGAGTGGGTATGTGTGCATGGGTGTGAGGGTGTGTGTGCCTGTAGGAGGGTGTGTATGCTGGTTGAGCATGTGAGCATGTGTGTGAGAGACTGTGTTAGTACGTTTGTGAGGTGAAAGTGTGTAAGCATGTGCCAGCGTGAGTGATTGTGTAAGCATTGTGTGGGTGTGAGTGATGCAAGTTAGTGCATATATGGCAGTGTGCAAATGAGTGTGTGTGTATGAGTACAAATGTGTGTGATCATATGCCTGTGTTCATGAGTGTGTGAGTGTGTGCATGTGTGAGAATGTGTGTGAGTGAGGATGCATAGGAGTACCTATGTGTGTGTGTTCACCTGTGTTGTGTGGTGTGCTTGTGTGACCATATATGGGCAACTGTGTGCTGAGGGTGTGCATGCAGGTATAACTCTCTCTGGGTGTGAGTGAGAGAGAGAGAGTGTATGAGTGTGTGTGCATGAACTGAGCATGCGTGTGCATGTGTTTCTGTGAGTGGTTGTGGTACTGTGTGTATGTGTGCCCTGAGTCACGTGCTAGGGTAGGTGGCCCCAAGGGAAGGGAGAAGGGAGAATTCTCTAGGCTTACTCACTATGGCTCAGGCACAGCCAATCAGAAAATATTTCAAAATAGACTTGCTTGCATTTGTCATGGCAACTTCCTGCTACCCAGTGGCCAGAAGGCTTCCTAGAGTTGCAGCTTGTCAGGGACCTCTCAGAGGCACAGACTGTTGGAACTCAAAGGGGTCTTGAAGCTCATCTCCCCAAAGACCTCATGTTACAGGTGGGGAGACTGAGACCCAGGGTCACATAGCTGTTGAGGGCAGAGCTAGGCTTGGAACTCAGGCCTTCTGTCTAGTGTGCTTGTGCCTCCCACCAACATAAACCTTCTGCCTCCCTGGCCGTCATTCATTCATTCATTCATTCATTCATTCATTCATTCAGCAAATGTTTACCAGTCCCTATTAAGTGCTGGGTTCCAGGGTACAAATCCTGCCTCAAGGAGCTTTCCTCCCAGTGCAGGGAGGTGGGCCGAGAATTCTAGATCCCGATAAGTACCCTGAAGACAGGAAGGCAGGGTGATGTGATGTCAAGGCCTGCTTCAGCTGGGGGTCAGGGAGGGCCTCTACAGAGTGGCACTGTGGCTGAAGCCAGGTGGATGGAGCCAGCACCTCACAACCAGCTATCTAGACCCATTTCCTAATCAGCCTTGTAGGAGCTGATGGAGCAGTCAAAAGTGCCCCAGGTCAGGAGGCCTCTGCCATTTCCCAATTCTGACGGGAAGTGATGGAGAAAAGCCTCTTCCTTGTGGGTGCTATAGGAATCCTCCTTCAGAGAAGGCCAAAGCTGGGAAGCAAGTGGGTCCTGAGGCTGCTGGGGATGTGGGGAAAGTGTCACCTTCAATTCATGCTCTGGAGCTCTGGTCCCACCCTCATGAAAATCATAGACACCACTGATGTTAAATAATTGTAACTGCTGATGTTAGTGAAGCCTGTAGCTTGTCTCAGACATGAGCTAGGGGCTTCAGAAGCATTATTGTTTTTAATCTCCTCAATATACCTTAGGAAATGAGCAGACATCACCCCCATTATATAGATGAGGAAAGTGAGGCCCTGCTGAAGTAACTTGCACGAGGTCATACCACCAGGAAGGAGCAGAGCCTCAGGGCTTTTGTGACCCCAAAGACCAGAGCCTCTGAGCACATACCCAGCCCCTTCTGCCTACTTGACTTCATGTCTCACTGATATGGACACTCCTGGCTACGCTGGCCCTCGCTGATCACCCTGCCTGCCCTTGGAGCTCCTACCGACTCAGCCTCATGACCTGCCACAAACCCTAAATATGCCTCCCTTTCCAAAGGCCGTGATCAACATCAGTGTCCTAACAGCACCCACTGCGCCCCAGGAGCATCTGGACCTTTACATGCGTGATCTCATTCTTCAAGAGAACCCTCCAAGGTCAGGCTTATGTGTCTCATCTTACAGGTGAGAAGGTAAAGGAACTGGCTGAAGGTCATGCAACCATAGGAGGGGATCAGGTAATCTGACGCCACAACCTGAGAGTGCCCCATGCCTTCCCCTGGGGGTGCTGGCCAAGAGCTCAGCCTGCTTCACCTTGCTTAAGCCCCCACATCAGTCACTCCCTCCTGCCACCAGCCTTGACCTACGCAGAGCTCAAAATCATGCCTCAGCAATGCTACAAATGACAGAAAATCCCCCACCTTTGAGGTCACTCTCGAACACTTGTAACCGCAAATATTGAGACAGTAAATGCCGAAGGTTGTCCATGTCTGCACTTCAGGGCAGTGAGAGAATACATCTAAAAGAGCACAGCCTCATGTTAGAATAGGGACCCTGGGCAAGTGACTTGACCCTGCAGAGCCTGTTTCCCCATCTATAAAATGGGGTTACACAACAATTCCCGCCTCATAGGTTCGGAGTCAGGTAAAACCAACATAACATAATGGTGTCTGGCACACAGCAGATGCTCAGTAAGGGTCCATCAGTTTGTTGAAAATTGGCCTCAAGTACCTGAGGGGTTGGTGCTATTTAGAGTCTGGACAATGGGATGGAGATTTCAATTTCCTGGGTTTCTGGGGCATTGCTTGGAAGACCTCTGTCCTCAGCTCTCTTCCCAATCCCCTGGTAATTGGGCTCAGCAGGCACTGGGCTCTCCCTCTGGACACTGTAGAGGTGGAGGGGCAGCAGCACAGGCCCCAATCTCTCCAGCTTGCCCACAAGCTGGGCAGGGGAAGCAGTGGGTTTTCTAGCCAGCTGTGCTCCCAGGCCTGCAGTCAGGGAGGGAAGTATGTGCTCAATGGGGAAGTTTCTGCCACAAACACCCAGTTGAGAAACATGGTGGGGAAAATCCAGCAGGCTGCTGATCTCCGAGTGGCTCATGCAAACGACTGCCTCGTCCCTTTGTCCCTCTAGCCTGGGGGTGGTGGTAGCTTCCTGCTGGTGCTACCCTCTGGGCTGCCTTTCCATTCCCTTGATAGCTTCTCCACTTTTTCATCACTTGTATAATGGATTCCCTACATTCAATTCCCTCTATTTGAAATACCTAGAATGGCTTCTTTTGCTATTGGACCTTGAAGTTCAGAGAAGTGAAGTCAGCCCCCTGTTCCTTTGGAGATCTGCCTCCCTCACCCTGGCTCTCTGCTAACCTTTTTGCCAGCTGCCATAGCCTTTGTGGAGTTCTGTCTGAGAATACAGTAAGCCTAAGGAACCTCATCAACTGATTTTCACTAAAGTATTACTGACTGATACTTGGGTCATGTGGAAGAAGCTAGAACATCACGGGGCCTGTCCAGGGGAGTCTAAGGCCACAGAGGAGATGCAGCCACAACTGGAAAAACTGCCTAAGGTGTCTCTCTTCCTGCCTCCCTCCATTTTCCTCTACAGGCCAAACTAGGCCACACAGCATGGGAATACAGCCTGAAGAGGTTGGGCCTCTCTGCCATAGGCGAAGATCAGAGCAGGGGAAGGATGAAGAAGGATTTGAGGCAAACAGCCCCACACATTCCCCTTCTGTGTACTGTGGCAGGGGATTGGACCAGATGGTCTTTGAGGACCCTTGTTCTCTGAAAGTCTACAGATCTAGGACTCTTAGGGCAAGGACACAATTTCCCTGGATTCTGTCTCAACTCTGATCTCATGTGGCCTTCTGATCCCTCTTCTCTCTGGCTTCAGTGTGCCTATTTGCTCCGTGGAGGAGTTGGCCAGCCTGGTCCAAGAGGGCCCTGGAAAAAGACCCAGGTGTGTAAGCTGATTGCTTATCCACGCTTCTCCAGGGAATCTGCTGCACTCACCATCCCTGACCACTGATGCCTTCTCCATTCTGCTGTCCCAGACTGTAGTCCTGTGCCTGCTTCTCTCTCTCTTTTTTTTTTTTTTTTATGGAGTCTTGCTGTCACTTAGGCTGGAGTGCAGTGGTGCGATCTCAGCTCACTGCAACCTCCACCTCCTGGGTTCAAGCGATTCTCCTGCCTCAGCCTCCCTAGTAGCTGGGATTACAGGTATGTGCAACCACACCCGGCTAATATTTGTATTTTTAGTAGAGACGGGGTTTTGCCATGTTGGCCAGGCTGGTCACAAACTCCTGACCTGAAATGATCCGCCCACCTCAGCCTCCCAAAGTGCTGGGATTATAGGCGTAAGCCACCGCACCCTGCCATGTGCCTACTTCTCTCCATAGCTGTGAGCCCATCAGCCATGGGCCCAAACCTGCCAACCCTGTGAGGCCAGGAGTGACACCAGATGTCCAGGCTCCACCTTCTGCCTGGGGATAAGGAGCCCTTTCCCCTCAGAGGACTAGGAGGCACCTCCTGGCCTTGGGCAGGAATCCCCTTGAGCCCTGCCCCATCTGTCCAGGACTCCTCCTTTCTTCTTCTCCAGAAAAGAAGAATGGACCAGTTTCTAGAAAAGTTTCTAGAAAGACTCCAAAAGAGGTGTAGACCATAAGAGACGACTGGTCTCCCTCCACAGAAGCAGAGGTCAGACCCTCCCAAAGCTTCTGCAGACTCTCAGCTCTCAACTCAAGTAAGTTAAAATGTACCCACTTCCCGCATTATAACACTTTTGAATTACTTTGTATGAGTTAAGGCGTGCTACAGTTTACCGGCTGTCCTAATATTACATTTTGCAGATGTTTAATTAAACATGCAGGAATCTCAAGCTTCCTGTGACTGAGCTCAGCTCAGGCCTTGTTCTGTGTGATCTCAATCTATTCTTCAAAATTGTATTATTATTAACCCCATTTTACCAGGGAGAAAACAGGATGCAAGAGGTCCAGCACTTTGTTGAAGGCCACACAGCTAGGGGCATGGTGGCATGGGCACTGGCTGCTCTCCCTTTGCCCTGGTGGGCCTCTCCCTCAGCCTGACGTCTGTCAGTGCCTCCCTGCCACCCCTCCAGTTCCTGGTTCTGCCTTGGGCCGACTGGGCCAGGTACTTCAGGCCCGTGGGGCTCAAGTCTCTCTAGGAGAGTGAACAATCTGACCTGCTGCTGGACCAGAGCCCTCCTCCTGGCCCAGTTAGGAGCATGGTGCCCGCACCCCAGGACCCCTCCCTGGGGTGAGCTGCAGGGCACATAATTTACCTGCCAGGAGCCAGGAGGTAGGAAAGCAAACACCATAAATCATCAGGATGCCTGTGTAAATATTTTATAGCTGGGACAGTAAATAATGCAGCTCCCTGGACACGCCCCGCCCAGTTCGTCTGTCCCACATCTAGCACCCAAGACAATCTGTCTGGGCCTCTCTCACACCTTGTGTTTTTAAAACAAATGCTGTGGCCCAGTGCTGGACATTTTCACATGTACATCTTCACTGATCAGCCTTCGCTCAGGTGTGGAACAACTTTCTCCCTCCTCCTTCAGGAGTCATCTCCTCCTGGAAGCTTTCTTTGATTTCCTGAGTGGGGTCAAGGGTTCCTCTGGCTCTCAGTCCCTAGGCTTCCCCATCTGGGCCCTGCTCACTCTGTGTGATCATTTCTTGGCTCCTATTACGATTCCTGGTGACTAGTCTGCCCTCCCTCTGACTGTCAGCTCCAAGAGAGCAATCGTATCCCTAGAGCTGAGGGCAGAGGTTGGTGTATAGCAGGTGCTCAACAAATAATGTTGAAGGACAGAATAAATTATCTTGCTTAATCCTTAAATAAGTCTGTGGTATAGGCATTATTATGTGTATTATTTCTATTATCCTTATTTTATAGACAAGAAAACAGGCCCAAGTGGCAGTACTGGGATTGACCTGTCTGTCTGGCCCTAAGTCTAATGCTTCCTCAATAACCCATCTGGGACCTTGACTCTTTCCCCTGAGGACCCCAAGTTCCTTGAGTCAGGGACCCTCCGTTTCTGCTCAGGGAAGCTCCTGACCCCTCCCAAGGGCTCTGGTACCCAGTGGGTGCCAATCCATGTGTTTGAATGGCTGGAAAGGGCAAGGGAGAAGTCAGACTTTTGTCCTTGACCTGGGAAGGAATGCACAGTGAGCACCTTGGGAGCAGAAGGCTGGGCAAGGGGACCTGTGATCCCTGGGCCCCAGAGCAGTTCTGAGAAGATGTGCTCTGGGGAGGGTCTCAAGTCTCGGATGGAGGCGGGTGTGGAAGGTGCTCTGATGCAGCAGCCCAGATGCCTTCCATCCAAAGGCACTGTGCCACTGTGGGGCCGCATCCCTAACTAGGCTATCGCAGCCTTGCAGGAACCTGAGACAGAAGACAGATGATACTGTCTGCCTTCTCCCCATCCTGTGTCAGGCATTGAGAACGAGGACAAAGAAATCAGGGCATGGGCAGTGCAAGGGGGGGACAGGGCAAGGACAGCTTTGCACAAGAAGCCCTGGCCTGACCCTGGCCTCAATCCTTGGCAGGAGGTGGGCTGCAAAGGGAGGGCCAATGGATTTCAACTGATGTATCAATTCCAGCTGGTCGCCAATGGCTCCCTGGAGCTGTGTTGACAAGGATTCTGAGCTATATCCCTCCAGGCTCGGCAAGAAGCTCTGTGATCACTTAGCAATATCTGCCTCAAGCACAGAAGTGGGCACAGTAGCTCACCTAGGAATTTGCCACCCCCTTCTTCTACCTTTCCTCAGCTCTCAGCAGAGTAGGGATTTAATAAAGGTTTGTAGATTCACTGTTGACTAACAAGGTCAGTGCAGAAGTCATTTAGAGTTACCATTTTCTGTGTAGATGAGAAACATGAACACATGGCCTATTTACTATTGCCTCTGCAAGAACCAGAAAGGGAACCAGTGAGAAGAGAAAATGACAGACAGCAAGTGAGAAGCCAGTTAGATGCAAGTGAGACGTCAGTTAGAACTTCCTAGTAGTATGGACTAAGACCTTAGCCCAGGGACAAGGGAAGTCGCAGCTCAGCCCTCACGAGTCAGCAGAGACTGGGAGTTTTTTAAGGCAAATTCCAGACAGCAAACTTGGCTAGGCCCAGGCAGTGAGTCTTGTGTGGCAGGAGATGGGGTGCAGTAGACTCACACACCCCCACTGCGCCCAGGACAGTGCGAGGGGCACAAAGCGGTCCTGGGTGGAGCCCTGCCCTCACACCACTTCCCACGCTGTAGGTGGGGAAGAGCAGGCAGGGACACACAGGTTCCCTCTGGGCTGAGAAGATCTGGGCAGGCTGCAGGGGAGATGGCATGGCCAAGAGTGCCGGCTGTGAGGCAGCCAGACTGTGTGCCTACCCTTGCCTTCCCCAGTCTCTTGTTTCCCCCTAGACACCCACCTGTGAGGCCACACAGGCCTCACAGTTGGCAAATGAGCTTTCAGAAGGGAAACTGTCCTTCCCCTGCCAGCTGCTGACGCCTCCACGCCGGTCACTTGTCTCACTCCACCCAGGCCAGTTACCCACTGTCTCACTCTCACCTCTGTGGCTTTAGGGACAAGCTGGCCTAGTGGTTGTGAAGTCTGGCCCAGAACCCAGGGTACTGTGGGTGACCATAGGCATGTCACTTAGATTCCCAGGGCCTCAGTATCCCCTCCTGTAAAATGGGACTAATGATGGTACCCATATCATAGGGGCTTTGTGGGAAGTTTGTGAATTAAGGAACATCAAGTGTTAGTTCAGGGCCTGGTAGGTAGTGAGTGCTTGATATGTGGGGGCTGGAATTACTGTTCTTGTTATGATGTGAAGCTGAGACCAAGCTCTCTTCACACCCTCTGTAGAGTCTGGAATCCACCCAGACACCCAGGGGACCACAACCAAGATCTGGAGGCCTGTAGGCTGATGGAGGGCCCTGGAGCTGGGACTTGGAACACTCTGCACTAGGCCTGGTGCAGAACAAGAGGGGCAGGGGCAGGGCTCCCTGCAGCCTGTGGCCCTGGGCCTGCTGAGCTTAGGGCTATATGCAGAGCTGGCCACCCCAGGCCACCTATAATTACCTTTTGGCAGAGCTCTGCGGTACTGGGCGGGGTAGCAATTTTCAGGTTTTATTTTGATGCCCAGACAGTGCCTTTGGGCAGCTTAGCACCAGTTGCTGCCAGACAGGATCAAAAATTGAGTTCTTCAGGGAGGAGGCCCTTCCAAGGAGGCTGACCTCTGAGTGCAGGGTCTAGGGTTCAAGATCCCATGGTCTCCACCAGGCACAGTAATAATCCCTGTATCCTGTAATCACGCCTGTAATCCCAGCACTTTGGGAGGCCAAGGTGGGCGGATCACCTGAGGTCAGGAGTTTGTGACCAGACTGGCCAACATGGTGAAACTCCATCTCCATTTAAAAATATAAAAATTAGCCAGGTGTGGTGACGCGTGCCTGTGGTTCCAGCTACTCAGGAGGCTGAGGCAGGAGAATCGCTTGAACCCAGAAGGCAGAGGTTGCAGTCAGCTGAGATCACACCACTGCACTCCAGCCTAGGCGACAGAGCGAGACTCTGTCTCAAAAAAAAAAAAAAGAAAGAAAGAACGAAAAGATCCCATGCCCATGGTCTCCACAGACACCCCCAACTTTTTTTTTTTTTTTTTTTTTGAGATGGAGTCTCGGCAGGCTGAAGTGCAGTGGCATGATCTTGGGGCTCACTACAACCTCCGCCTCCCAGGTTCAAGCATTTCTCATGCCTCAGCCTCCCGAGTAGCTGGGATTACAGGCATGTGCCACCATGCCCAACTAATTTTTTTGTATTTTTAGTGGAGGCAGGGTTTTACCATGTTTCCAGGCTGGTCTCGAACTCCTGGCCTTAAGTGATCCATCCACCTCAGCCTCCCTAAGTGTTGGGATTACAGGCGTGAGCCACTGTGCCCGGCCCACAGACTCCCTTTTGCCCAGTCCCTGGGGGCAGGGGCTGCGCCGGGGAGCCTGGGTAGCTGGGAGAGTCAATGGGAAGCAATGCAGGCCCTCTGGGACACAGAGTAGAGCACACAGGAGGATCCAGGCCGGGAAGGCACAGTGGACTCTTTTCCTTGTTCTCCTCTGCTCTGTCCCCCTTCCCTCCTCCCCTCAGGAGGGAAAGCCTTGGTCTTATGTGGAAAGACGCTGTCAAAACTTCCGCTGGGGTGGTGTGGAATGAGGGTGTCTCGGGAGCGGATCCTGAGCCTGAGCCATCTCTGGAGGCCACACACTCTTGCCTGCTTGCACCTGGCATCTCCTACCCTGCTGCCCCCACGCCATGCCTCTTAAGCATAAGAATGCATGCACATATGTGTCCTTGCACACTCACCCAACAGCGACCAGGGTGATGATAAAGGAAGTGATGGTAGCTTCCCACCCAAAACTCCCTCATCTTGAAGCAGGGAGAGAAGGAAGTCAGGCTCCAGGTAGGAGAAACAACCCCGTGTGTGCCTGAGTACCTACGGACCCCACGGCCATTAGCATGGCAGGCCTGCCCCATGGTGCTTAATCATGCACTGCTGCTCCCTCTTCTCTTGGACACATTCCTGCCTGCTGCGTCTGACCCCCATGGCAGAGCCCATATTTCTCTGGATCCCATAGAGACTTCCAGGGCAGGGCCTGCCAGTGCTCCTGGGTGCAGGGAGCCCCAGAAGTCCAGGCCAACCCCATGCAGCTTAACTTTTGGCCCTTGCTATATGGAGGCTGGGGGCTGAAGAAGCCAAGAAACATGCAGTCACTAAGGTTGCTGAGTGCTGTCTCTGGGCACAGCGATGTCAACACAGGAAACCTGGTCTTCACTGAGTACCTGCTGTGTACCCGGCCCTCACAAGGTGGGAGTCATGTGTGTGGTGGCAGTGGGGAGTGATCAGGAGGACAGGACATGGCACTCAAGGGGTGACCTTGCAGCTAGGGAAGGAACAAAAACATACAGGATCTAAGTCTCAATTGCCAAAAAGGATAGCTCCTGGAAGCCCAGAGACCTGTAGACTCAGGTTTTAGAATTGACAGTGAAGGAAAGGAAGGGTTCAAGGTGGCCCAGGAGCACCCTATACTCATCCTTGAGTCAGCTGGCCAGTGTCCCAGCAGCTCATTATGTAAGGGCTGAGCCAGCCAAGTTTGCAGAGCAAAGGTCAGAATGGCAAAGATTTATTGGAAAGTCTCCTTGCACTCATACCCATGAGTGCCCTTTCATGTGGGGACATTTTGTGCTCCTGGAGCACACTGCAGTTGGTCTTGGGTACTTCCTTGGGACAGGGAAGCTGGGCACGTGGGCTGGTGGAAGTCTTGGGCTCTGAGTTTCCACCCCTGCATCGGGCTTGGGCATGGCCAGCACTCTGGTTCCTACCCGATTGGCTCCAGAGACCCAGGAAGCATTCATATGAATCATATAGGTCATGGCTTCATTTTCCCACTCATTTAAAGGTGCCTGGTGCACTCACACCTGCCTCCAGCCTTTGCTCTTACTGTTTCCTCTGCCTTGAGTGACCTTCCTCCAGATCTTCTCCCCTCCAGTTTCTGCCTGGAAAGCCCTCTTTCCAAGCTTCATTTCCCATGATCTTCACCACAAACCCAGGCTTTTGTATGGCACCCAAGGCCGCTGTGAGTGTGAATCTTCAACTGGCCCCTGAGGCACCTGCCAGCAGTAACCAGTGCCCTGCGAATCCCACCCTGCAGCCCCTCAGCCTTCCCTAGAGTCAGCCTTGGATGCAGCGGGCTCATTACCTTCAAGCCTTTGCTCAGGCTGTTCCTTCTGCCTGGAGTGCTTTCTCTGCCTCCTCTGCCTTCCCACCACTGCCCACTAAGGAATTCCTTCTTGCTCTTCCCGGCCCAGCACCAAGGGCACCTTTTTGGTGAAGCCTTCCCTGCTTTGTTGGCCCTCGCACAGAAATTTTTTTTTTTTTTTTTTTTTGAGGCAGAGTCTCGCTCTGTCACCCAGGCCGGAGTGCAGTGGCATGATATTGGCTCACTGCAACCTCTGCCTCCCGGGCTCTAGTGATTCTCGTGCCTCAGCCTCCTGAGTAGCTGAGATTACAGGCATGCGGCACCACGCCCGGCTAATTTTTTGTATTTAGTAGAGGTGGGGTTTCACCATGTTGGCCAGGCTGATCTCAGACTCCTGACCTCAAATGATCTGCCCTCCTCGGCCTCCCAAAGTGCTGGGAATACAGGCATGAGCCACCATATGAAGCCATGCCTTAGATTTTATACAGAGGGCTTGAGGCATGCAAGCTTTCCTGTCCTACCCTAAAATACACCCTGAGGTTAACAAATTAAATCATAATAACAAAGCTGGCAATAATCCACTGAGCACTCGCTCTGATCCAGGCACGGTGCTAGGCCCTCCTCTTGTCTACTCTCTATGAGCCTCTGTTAGCAGCGAGTGGAAGCCAGAGAGGGAAGGTGATGTGCCCAGGGTCACATAGCTGAGTGGCTGAGCTCCCTGCCAGAAGACCAGCCCCCAGTAGCCCCAGGACACTCCTGACCTTGGCCACCACTTTCAACACCTCCGTAAGAATAGGCCCTTTCACTCATGCATTCTGACTCCCTCAGCGGACTCAGGCTCAGGGGCTTGGGCTGCCCCTCAGGCATGAGGAGAGGAAGAGGGGACCCTGGAGGGCAGTCACACAGGCATGCAACAGCAGGGAGGCTCCAGCCCAGAACCTCTGTGTCAGAGGAAAACAGGTACTTGTGGGACTCCCTCCCTTCCTCTGGTGGGCCATGGGCCGAAGTCCAGGTCACCATCTGGTCCCCTGCAAGCAGATCTTGCAGAATGTCCACCCCGGCTCCAGTTTCCTGAGACGTTGTCCTGGCCACGTCCCTGTCAGAACTGACTACCAGGCAGCAGAGCTGGCCCCAGGGCAGCATCCGTCTTCGGCTAGGGAAGGGGCTGAGACCCTCCGCAGGACACGTGAACACACCAGGTCTTGGACTCCTGCCTCAGCGCCCTGCAACAACCTGTGTGGCCTTGGGCCGGGCTTCACCTGAGCCTCAGTTTCCTCGTCTCTGGGATGGACGGGAATCCCTGCTTTACCCCAGGTGTAGGCAATTAGACAGCAATGAGGTGGCTGCCCACTCCTGTCCATCCTCCCATCAGACCCTGTGCTCAACCGGCAAGGAAGCCAGGCATCTTCTTCCTCCTCTCCCTTGCTCCATCAGTCAGTCCATGTGACCACTGACCGTTGGGTCTTTCATCATCCTCCCATCGTGTTTCAGAGAAGCTGAGCCACCTGCCTGAGGTCACACAGTTAGAGCAGGCTGAGCCAGGAGGAGAAGCCTGCAGCCTGGGCACACCTGCCTCTGAAGCCACCAGGTTTTCGTCCTGACCTTCGTCCAGCCTCGCACAGACGTCGGGCCTGGCCCTGCTACCTGGCCTTGGGCTTGCCTCCCTGAGCCTTGACTTCCTCAACTGTAAACTGGGGTTGCTCTTACTCTGCAGGTTGTCCTGATAGGCGGTTTTTAATCACTCAGCCTCTCCCTGGTAGCAGAGGTAAATTAGTATCTACTGTCCCATCACCTTTTCTGGGTAGCTGCAGCCACAGAGACCGAGAGGGGCAAGGCCCTGCCAGGATCCTGCAGCCAGTCAGAGGCATGGCTGAGCAGGCCTCTACCTGAGGGTCCAGCGTCTCCGCAGGCTCACTGGCATTGTGTGTGTCCACCGAGGGCCCGTGGAAGCCTCAGTGTTGCCACAACTCACTACCTGGACACAAACTTGCTCACTAATGTTTGCCCAGGCCTACCCTAGCCTGGTAGGCACTTCAGCGCTTAGCCTTCTTCCAGAAGTTTCACCCTACACCCACCTGGGCCCCCTGGCAGACAAGATCTGGGAAGCTGGCCTGCCCCTCAGCTTCTAGGGTTCCCTCAAAGCTGGGGATAGCCAGGGGACCTGGATCAGTGGTGGTGTGGGGTTGAGGCAATCCAGGGGAGGCACATTTGGGGGACAGTCAGTGATACCAGCTCCCACGTGAAGGACAGGGATGTAGGAGGCATCCTGATGTCCCCGGTCATCCCCTGCCCTCACTTCCTCCTGGTAACCCTATTCTGTCTTCCTCAGTGAACTGGGAGATGAAATGGAGCATCAGACTGTGGCTTGGCAGCCACACATAGATGGGTGGGGAGGCAGAGGGAGGAAGGAGGTCTTGGATTGTGTTGTGGGATGAAAAACACACATTGCCCTCATGTCGGAGCACTACCTAACCTGGCTTAAGAGGTTAGCCAGGGAGGCTTCCTGGAGGAGGAGGTAACTAAGCTAGAATCTACCAGAAGACTGAGAGGAGTTAGCTAGGCATGGTGTGCTAAGCAGAGGGAAGGGCATGGGCAAAGGCCCAGGGGTGAGAAGTTGAAGGATGTTGTCTGGTAGGAACTGGAAGACGTTCCTATTCCTGGAGTTCTGGGCTGGCAGGGGGACAGGCGGCAGAGGCTAAGTCACACTGGGCCAGGTGGCCACAGTAGAAGTTTGACCTTTATTCTGAGAGATCCATGGTCAGCCTCAGGGCTGGGGAGTGAGTAGTCCTTGACACTTTAGGAGGATTATGTGGCTGCTGTGAAGGAAAAGAATTGCTGGAGGTGGGGAGGTGGTATTCTGAACAGAGGAGACCATCACAGATGGCCAGACAAGGGACACTGGAAGCCCAGGCCAAGGTGATGGCATGGGGACAAACAAATGAATTCAGAAGTCAGGATGGGGAGTGTGAGGCACCAAGGGGAGAGAGATCTGTGCAAGATTCTGCGGTGAGCTGGGGCCTGGCTGGGGTGCAGAACATCGTGTGTGCAGAAGGTTGATAGTGGGTCCAGGGCAGAAGGCTGCCCAGCGCAGGCCCACTGGGATCCTGCCCAGGGGCTGGGAATCCTTTCCCCTCCCACCCTCTCTCAGAGAAAGGCTTTGGCCCGAGGGAAGAAAGTTCATTTTTTCTTCCTTTGCACCATGGCTATGCTGTGCACACCCACAGAGCACACCCACGGAGGCTGTGGTTCCGCTGCTGCCTGCCTTCTCCAGAGTCTGGGGAGTGGGGGAAGCTTCCTTGGGGCCTTCTCCTCCGGATTCCAGTGGCTTGGTGTGGGTGGGGTGGGAGGAGGGTGCTTGAGGAACAGGAGGGAAGACTTGGCATTTCCATTACCCCCCTTGCCTCCAAGTATCCCCTACCACTGACACACATACACATCAGCTGGCACCTAGGAGCACACACCTGAACCCAAAGTCAGATTCCACAGAGTACTCCCGCCACAGCCCCTGCAGCCCAGCACTCAAACCCACTGGCACTTCCCCCAAGTCTCCCCATGCAGCCCTCCAGCTCTCCCTCCAGAGAGGTACCCTAGGGTTGGAGCAGCCCACACACCAGGGAGCCACCCTTCCCCTCCAGCAGACAGACCAGCAGGTCTTCTCTAGCAACATGAGGGTGCTAGGGCAGACATCAGCATGAACTTCCCAGATATCCAGGTTGTAAAACACGAGGGCAAGTTGAAATTCTAGTTCATCATTTTCACAAGGCCCCCCGGCTGTGTCCCAGACCTTCTCCATACCTGGAGACCCCTGTGATCCTGGGCCTGGTACCTGAAGCTGAGGACTCAGTTCCAGTGCCCACCCTAGCACAACTATTAATAAATGTCAGAAGCTGGCAGGAATCCCCGCTCCACTGGCCTAGAGTGGAGGTGTAAGAGGCCCTGCATGGGGCCCACCTGAGGGCTTAGATTCAGTACCCCAGCCCTTGACCCAAATTCCACCGCTTACTCAGAAATCCCAGCCTTCTCCCTGCCCCCTACTGCCCTGGGATGCCTGCCCAGTACCCACGGGCCCTGAGGGGCTGCCCTGGGAACTGGCTGTGTTTCCGGCCCCAAGGCCTCACCATTACTGCTGCCCAGGCCTGCCCAGTGGCCTGGCCGCCTGCCTAGCCACTGTGGCCAAGATGGCCACAGCCTGTGCCCACAGAAGCCTGCAGGCAGAGGCAGGGCCCAGGCATGTGAAGGTGGTGGGGTGGGCAGAGCCTGAGGGTGAGACTCACCTCCCTGGGGAGGCTCCTCCCCTGCCAATTTCTGCCTCTGCCCACTGCAGGCTGCTGGGCATCAGGGGAGGAGCTCCCCTGGCATGTCTCTGCTAGGGGAGCTCATGGTCTGGGGGAGATGGACATGAACAGCCCAGCTGCCTATTTCTAGTACTGGGCACAGAAATGGGCACTCTGCTTCCAACATTTTAATTTATCTTCAGAGCAGCCCCAAGGCCTGGAGATTTTACAGATGAAGAAACTGAGGCTGAGAGAGGGCTGGCACTTGCTCCAGGTCACACAGCCAGTCAGCATGGGGGCTGCATGCTAGTTCTTCCCACTCTGAAGCCTCTGCAGTAGACAGTGTGGAGTTGGGGGGCTTACAGGAAGCAGAGGATGCCTCTGGTTAGGGGCAGGGATCTGGGAGCCTCCCTGGAGGACAATTTGCAGGAGGACCATTTGCATGGGACCTCATCAAATGGCTAGAGCTTAATGGAAAGGCATTCCAAGGCAAAGCACAACCTGAGCAGAGGCTTGGTGGGGAGGCTTCGATGGGCAGTGGCAGGGGGAGTGTAGGTGGGTGGCAGAAGTGCCCTCGTGCCCAGGGCCTCTCATATCACTGGAGGACTTGGGGTGGAGGGTGCTGGGTGCTCAGCCTCTGCCGGTCCAACTGGCCCAACCACTTCTCTCTGGCACTGCCCACTGTCCCTGCTCACAGCTCTGCCAAGAGTTGTTGGCAAACCCTGGGTGAAGTCTGGGTCAGGGGCCTAGGATTCCTCCAATCCCTGTCCCAGGGCAAGGATTAGGGAGTCCTGAGCCCCAGGCTGCTCTGCTCAGTCTTGGAAGGCCTCACGCAACCCCCTTCACAAAGCCTGCCCGATTGTGTCCTCAAGGGACAATTTATAGCATGCAATGACAGTGCGGAGGGCAGGTCTGTCTGGGGAGATGAAACGACCTGTGCGATTACAGGAGATTCCTACTTTCCTCGGTAAACTTGTCTCTGTCTTCCTTGCTTTAATAGAAAATGTATTACTTTTTTTTTTTTTTTAAATCAGAACAGCCAATGTGTGTGGCTACTTTTCCAGGTTTCGGTGACTCTCCCTCTTCCCCTCTCATCCCATATCCAGCCCCCAGTCCTCAAGGTCTTCTCAGAGGTTCCCACTAGGAGGCCGGCTGCAGTGCCCTGGACGACCCTCACACCCAGGACCTCAGTTGCTCCATCCAAGGAATGGGCGAGCTCAGGTCTTCCTGACTTTCCTGGAGAACAAAGAGGGTGAGGAGGCGAAAGGGCCTCCCGGCGCCTGGAGCCAGGTGGCTGCCGGACCCGGGAATAGAGCCGGGTGTTTTATAGCGGGGTTTGCGTCACGCGGCTGGGCGGGCGTCTGCGCCCCCGGCTCGGAAAGGCTTCCCTGAGGCGGGGCGGGGCGGGGCGGGGCGGGAGGGTGGGGCCCGGGGGACTTTGTGCTGGTGCACGGGGGTCGCGCCGACTGGCGTGTACGTGGTTGTGCGGTGGGTATGGAGGTGTGTGCACGGCGCGGGGGACCCTGCTGTGCCTGCAGTCAGTCCTTCCCAGCCTGCCAACCTCGAGCAGCCGCCTTTCAGCTCAGGGCCACCCCCTACACTGTTTCCCATGGGCCAAGCTGGGTTTGGTGAGCTGTCCTCTGAGGATGTGGGGGATGAGGGGCTGAGAGGTGGGAGCGGGGAGCTGAGGCACCCTCAGGCCAGGGAGCGAAAGGAAAGGCAGGTGAGGCTTATAGCCCTCCCTGCCCTGCTAAGCCCCATGAGCCTCCCAGTAGGGACCCCGTAGATTAGAGCTAAATGGGTGCCGGGGATGGGGGCGGTGGAGGAGAGCTGGGAGGTCCCCTGGACTCCGTGCGAGGGGATAGCTCTTGCTGATGACTGTCCCAACACCAGTGCCCCTTCTCCCCACCTACACACATGTTTGGGGGCAGGGGCAGAGGAGCCAGGGAAGGGGACTCAGGCTGGCAGGGGCTGTGCCATGGTCAGTGCAGAGAAGGGACAGTCCAGGGTACACACCCCTGGGAGAGCCACAGGAAAGCCCTGTGTTCTGCACTCCCAGGACACACCTTCCCCTTGTCTACCCCCAAGTATGTCTCAGGTTTCACCCAAACACAAATGTGTTGAGGAAGGAACATGGAGGCAATTAGCCCAGCCTCACCAACTCTCTGCCTGGCAGGTAACACCAACATGGGATGAACTTGAACTCTTCCATCCTCTCAGCCTCAGGAGGTCGATCTTAACCAAACACCACTCCACAGATGAGGAAGCTGAGGCACATTTAAGTTGCAGTGCAGGGCAGAGCCAGGATGCGAACCAGCCCCTGGGCTGGCACTTCCCTGCTGTGCAGCACTACCCACAAGGCCACTGTCCCCCTCAGCCTGTCCTTGCTTGTCCTTAACCTAGTACCTGAGGCTGACACTCCTGTCGATGACAGTCTTGGTGGCCTGAGGCATGGGCATGTCCCAAGTGTCCTTCCTACTACACTGTCCCCAGTGGGAACCTCCCAGGCTCTGCTGCCCCCAGCAATTGCCCAGGTGCACTGTCGCTGTTGACTGTGTCTCCTGCTCCAGAAACACAAGCCCACTCTCTCTTGGCCAGGCCAGTGCTCTGGGTGTGATGGGGATTGCCGTGGCAACCAAAGCTTCAGGGACAAGGATGGTGACACAGAGAGACAGAAACAGAGAGAAGGTGCAAAAAGCAGAAATGCCAGGACAAGGACCAACTCTTGGCAGGGATCAAGTGAGGGACCCCATTTGCCTTCAGCTGTGTGGGCCTCAGGGACAGAGGGAGGCCTTTTCCAGGTTGCTTGGCCGAGTCTTGGACTTCAGGAGTGGAGGAGTCTGGAGGCCTCCCAGGGTTGATGGCCTTTGGAGGAGGCAGAGGTGGCAGGGGTCAAGTTGCTTCTCCTCTGGATAAATCCTCCAGGAGGCCCACAGAAGGAACAGCCCTGGGTGGATGCTGTGGGTGGGAGTCTGGAAGCTGCCTGGCACCACCCTAGCCCATCTCCTTGGCTGCAAACCTGGAGGAGGAGGAAAGTATCACCTCTAGGCAGCTGCTATGAGTCTAGCCCTGCTCAGGGATTTACGCCCCATGTCAGGAGAGGCCATTGAAGCCTCTTTCAAGGCTGACAGCCTGTGACTTGGCACATGACCAGGCTGTAACCCTGGGCAATGTGTCTAGCCTGGCCGAGGCTCTGTATATATCATCTCATTTAACTCTTACCACCTCATTCAACTCCTGACATGAGTCTGTCATCAGCCCTTTTCATAGGTGAGAACTCTGAAGCTGGGAGAGGCATGGTCACCTACTCAGGGTCATACAGTTGGCATGTGACACAGCCAAGGTTTGCTCTCAGGCTTCAGCAGGCCCTTCTTGTTGATGCAAGGCAGATTATGGGGACACAGATACCAGCTCATCTGGACCCTGCCCTGGCCCACCAGTGTGGCACCCAGAAGCAGCTCCAAGATGCAGGGTGGTTCTAGTCAAGCTTGGCCTGGATTCTCTGGACCTCATGCAAACCTATTCTCCCTGGAACCCTTGGACCTAAGGCCTGGAGGGAAGCCCACCTTCATCCCTTCTCTGCCCTCGCCACAGCATAGCTAGCACAGCCTTAGCCCCTCTGACCCTCTCTGAGTACATCGCACTTCCCCTTTCTCTAGAGGAGAAAGATTGGCTGAAGCCAGTGTATGCTTGCAGCCCCTGAGCTCACAAGTCTGCATATCCTGAGGATCAGGAAAGTGCTTCCTGTTGTCTAATGTAAATCTTGTTCCTGTAACACCAGTATATGTCAAAGCAGTGATTCTCAACAAGGGGTAATTTTGCCCTGCAGCAGACATTTGGCAATGTTTGGAGACATTTTTGTCTGTCACAAGTTAAAGCAGGGAGGTACTATTGGCATCCACTAGGCAGAGGCCAGGGATGCTGCTCAACATCCTTACAGTGCACAGGGCAGCCCCCACAGCAAAGAATCATCTGTCCCAAAGGTCAGTGGTGCTGAAATTGAGATCCCTGATGTAAACTATGGGCTTTGGAGCCAGACAGACCTCGGTCTGAATCTGCGTCTGCCACTGACTAGCTGTGTACTCTGGGGCAAGTCGCTTCTCCTTTCTCTGAGCCTCAGTTTGCTCATCACCAAAACTGGCACTAACAGCAGCCCTCACCTCTTGAGAACTGTTCAGACTGCCCACATCCAGCACCCAGCACACAGCCTGGTGCTGGGTAGCCCCTATCAGCGATAGCCATGATTATTCATTTCCTTCTTCCATGGTGAACCACACGGAGTGGGAACAAAGGTCTGGTGGCTGGACCTGGAGCTCCTCAAGGGTCAGTCCTCCCTCTGGCTGCAGTCCCTGGCACAGGGTGGGCCTATTGTTTATGTTGAGGGAGAGACTGGGTTGGCTTACTGTGGACCTGAAGGAGGAGCCAGAAGGAAACCCGATCCCAAGTGGGCAAAGGTCACTTGAGGCTCACCTTGTTTACCCTTTCCTCCAGTCCAACCCCAGGGAAGCCATGGGGCATGATGGGTGGGGTGGGATGGGATCAGGACACAGAACATGCTAATGAATATGGTCCTTCACTCAGGGAAGTGCCGTGCATTACAACTGGGCATCAGGGAGGAGGGACATTTGAATGGACACAACCAGGGCAGGTAGAGGTTTGGGGGTGGGGTGGGAAATGGCATTCAGGCCCAGAGAACAGCATGCTCAAGGCCTGGGTGTGAAGAGAAAGTCTTTCCCAAAGGATAGTCCTTGAACCCACCTGGTCTGGCCTTTTCTCCCCATCCATCTTCCGCAATCTCAACCAGGGTCCTCCCACCTGAACAACGTGGCAGCCCTTCTGTCCCCCATCCAGCCTCTCCTCTGCCCTGCTGTCCCTCTGCCCCATCTATCCCGCAGGAGCCCCCTTGAGCCTGTCATCCTGCCTGGTTGTAATAGCTTTCACCACCTTCTCATTGCTCTGTGAGAAGACCAAAGTCCAATGGCCTGTCTCTGTCACAAGCCCCTTTCTCAGCTCAGGCCACCTCAGGGATTGTCCCCCACTTCCATCCCTTGTGTCTCAGCTGGGAAGAGCTGTCTAGACTTTCTCTATCCCTTCTAGGTGGTTCCCCAGGACCTGGAACCCTCTTTTTTGTCTCCTGGGAAGTGACATTTCTTTGGATGAGTATAAGGCTAATGTCTTGGCTTTCTGAGCTCTGGGGACAGGGGAATGGACTCCCTAGAACCCCAACTGGTCCCTAGACTTTGAGCCTAGGGGACACTCGGTGAATAGATGAATGAGTGAATGAATGAATGAAGGAGTTATGGCTGACAACCAAGTTCCATGTCTGGAAAGGAGGCTCAGGCGCCTGCCAGGAGCAATAGAGAGGTCTCAAAGGTGGGGGCAGGAAAGCAGAAGACTGCCAATCGGGGTAGGGGCAACTGCCAGTCCGAGTAGGGGCAGTTCCCAGAACCGCCTGAGGAGCAGTGCAGCGCCCGACCAGCGAGAACCTCCGACCCTGGAGTCTAACCAGCTCAGTCTTTGGGGCAGAGCCGGGACAGCGGGCTTGGCGGCGGGCACCGCGCCCGGCCGCGTCCGAGCTCCAGCCAACAGGAAGAGCAGGAGTGGGGCCAGGAGAGGCGGGCCAGCTGGCCAGTGGGGAGTCCCGGGCGTGGGTGTGGGGAGCGGGGGAACCCCCGCCGGCCCCTCCCAGGCCCCAGCGGGCGGAGGGAGCCTCCCCACCGGGCCTCAGCGTCCTCCTCTGTAAAATGGGCCCCTTCTGAGGGCTGGCTGCGCGCTAATGGCGGGAGGATGCGAAGAGGGCCAGGCAGGGCAGAGGGACCGGGAGACTCGGTGTCCCGCGCAGGCAGAGGCGGAGGGACGCTGTCCCCGATTGCAGCTGGCGGGGCGAGGCCTGGCAGGGCGAGGCCTGGCGGGGGCGGGGCCTGGCGGGGGCGGGGCCGGCGGCACCTGGGTGAGGTCGCTCGGCCCCGCCCCCTCGCACTTCCGTGTGCCGCGGCGCCGGAGCCCGAGGCGGCTGTAGCCCACATCTCCCGAGCGACCCCCGGCGCCCGCCCGCCGCGCGGAGGCCCGGGCCACACCTCACTGGCCGCTTGGCCCATCCCAGTCAGCGCCGCGCCGAACCCCGTCCGCGCGCGCCGGGGAGCGGCGCCCCCGCCGCTGCCGCCGCGACCCTTGGCGCCTGCCCCTGCAACGGGAGGTAAGTGAGGGCCGGGTCCGGGCGCGGGATCGGGGCTACCCCGAGGGCGCGGCGCCCTTCCTTCCCCCTTCCCGCCCCAGTTCCCGTTTCCGAAACTGAGAAACTGAGCCGCGGTCAGCGAAAGTCCCGCCGCGCCGAGACCTGCCGGTGACTCCGTCCCCCTGTCCGTCTGTGTGTCCCTCCGCTAGACAGTGGGGGCTGAGGTCCTTCTGTCTGCCCGCTCCCGGCCCCTCCACCCGCCCGTGTGTCTCCCGCTCCTCCGAGGGGCCCGTCCGTCCCTCCCGACTCTCTCCCGGGCCCTGTGTCCGTCCGTCTGTCGCCACCCACTCTGTGTTCTCCCCCTGCGCGCCTCTCCGAGACCCGATCCTTCTGTCCCTCGCCACCCGATCCGTCCGTCCCTTGCCCTCCGCGTGCTCCATCGCCCCACCCCCACCCACACCCCTACCCCCGCCCGCCGCCCCCTCGATCCCGTCCTCCCGGAGCCGCGCCCCCGGCCCACGCTCGCCGCCCCCTGCCAGTCCAGCCGCCTCTCCGCTCTACCGCGGGGCCCAGGCCAGGCCGCCCGCCGGGCCTCGCCTCCCGCCCCTGGGTCCCTGGAGGCCCGACCCGCGCGGCGCCTCCTCCTCGCTGTCTCTTCTTTCGGTCTCAAGAGTCTTTCTCGGTCCCTTCATCCGTCTCTGGGCTGGGCGTGGCTCCAGTCTCCACCATCCCCCTTCCCACCCCACCCCTCCGCCCCTCTGAGACCCCTCCCAGGGTGGCCCCTGCCCGATACGGTCTGTACTCGCCCCCAACCCAGATGCCACTCCCGTTGTGGGGGCTCCACCAGATGAGGGGAGGAGGTCGGGGGGGGGGGTCCTCCTGGCTGGTGGTGGAGCGGCAGAAGGAGAGCACCATCGGAACTGCTCCCACTTCCCCAGTTCCCTCTCTCTTGGGGCAGGGGAGAGCCCCACCGAGCCCCGCCTTAAACCTGGTCAGAAGGATCTGCTGTGAGTGGGCGGGGGGTCCCCTTCTCTGACGCCTACCCTGTATGCGTGGAAGCTGTCTCCTTGTGCTAAGTCACTGGTATCTGGGTGTGTGGGTATGTTGTGTGTCTGTGTCAGCTTCTGTGCTGTCTGTCACTGTGGGACTTGCCTGTGCATGTGTGTCCTTTTTCGCATGTGTGACTTGCTTGTGTGTATGTGTGTATGTCTGTTTGTGTCCTGAGGCTCTGTGTGTGTCTTTTGCAACTGTGTGTACCATTCTTGGTGTGTTTGTTGTCACCAGACTCGTGTGTGTGTGTGTGTGTGTGTGTGTCCTTGCCTGCTAGTGTGTGTGTCCCTGTGTGTCTGGAGGTTTCGGTGTTGCACACTGGGTATATCATGGTGACCAACTGGCCATGAGTACGTTAGATCTGTTAATTGTGGAAGCCCCTGGTGTTGGGTGCCTACCCACCAGTCTCATGTGTGAGTGTATCTGTATAAGTGTGTGTATGTGTGTGTACTCACGTGTGGCTCTCCCTCTGCCACTGAGTTTCTGTGACCAGGCCCACCTGGTCACTAAGGGAGGGGACTGATCCCTGGGGTTTCCTCGTTCCTGCTGTGGAGTGAGCTGGGGCTTGGTGAGCAGGCCAGCAGAGGGAGGCTGTATGGTGCATGTGTGATATGTGTGGTTGTGTGTGTGCGTGTGTGTGTGACAGAGAGGTGTGGTGGTGTCTGGGCAGCTGTACCTGGCTGATGGGTGGTGTGAGGGCTATGCGATGGGACAGTGCTGGGGTAAGCCTGGGAGTGTGTGGCCACGGTAGGAGTGTGTGACTGGTGGGACACAGTCTATGAAACTGCCGGTGTATGCTTGGGGAGTGACTGTGATTGTGGGGAACCGAGAGTGCCTGGGCGTGGGTGTTAGCGGCAGGAGGGGGTGTGACAAGGTGTGTGGTGACAGTGCTGGGAGGGAAGGTGAGAGCCCAGTGTGGGGGTGTGTGTGTGAGTGTGTGGGAGACCATGAGGATGTGGGTGTGCACATGGAGAGGGCTAGAGGGCAAGTCTTGGGGTTTGTAGTGTTGTGACCAAGACCTCGGGCTCTGTACCCAAGAATTATTTGGGCTCCAATACTTGCTTGTGCCTGTTAAGAGCAAGAGACCCAAGCTAGGCCTCTCAAGGCTGAGTGTCCTTATCTGCAGAATGGAGAGAGTGAGGACAAAAGTTCCTGTGTTAAAGGTCCTTTAACACAATCTTGGCCCATAGTGAGAACACAGCACATGTGAAGTCTTTTGTTGTCACCACCCCCAGCTATACGGTTCCCATTCTCCTGGGAGCTGGGGCTAAAGAAAGCCCAGACAGTATCCAACCCAATTTCCTGCCTGTCTGTTGCCCCTTCCCATCTCCTTGACCAAGCAGCTTGAGGGAGGGGGGATGCCCAGACAGAGCCCCCAGTACCCAGCCCTGTTCAGCCTGCATGACAGCCCCTCCCTCACCAGACCTTAGTGTCAGTAGTAGCGATGGGGGAGACAGGGGTGGGGGATGATTCAGAGCTGTGACTGCAGGGCGCTGACACCATTTAGCTGGCACAGTTTAGATTAAAATTAGAAATAATTTAAAGTACAGACAAAAAGATAAAGCCAAGGATGCCTCTGCCCCCAGGGAATGGTGATGGGGGTCTCCAGCTGGGGGAGGGGTTCACATCTGGGGAGCAGAATCTTTCTTAGAGGCTTGAGCTGGCCTTCAGAGAAAATGCTTAGGCCTTTCAGCCAGGAGACACAGAGTACCTTGCTACCTTTGCCATTTCTTCCTCCCAGGATATCTCCAGGCCTCAGTTTTTTCAGCTGTGTAATGGGCACAATAGTAATGTGAGAATCACCTGAACTGTAAGGCACAAGAGATTAAAAAATGTCACTCTTCAGTCTGGGCACGGTGGCTCACACCTGTAATCCCAGCATTTTGGGAAGCCGAGGCAGGTGGATCACTTGGTCAGGAATTTGAGACCAGCCTGGCCAACATGGTGAAACCCTGTCTGTACCAAAACTACAAAAATTAGCTGGGTGTGGTGGCGCGCACCTGTAATCTCAGCTGCTCAGGAGGCTGAGGCACGAGAATCACTTGAGACCAGGAGGCAGAGGTTGCAGTGAGCCAAGATCGTGCCATTGCACTCCAGCCTGGGCGATAGAGTGAGACCCTGCCACATTAAAAAAAAAAAAAAGTCACTATTCATTTGGCATTCTCAACATGAGTCCAGCACAGGAGCTGGCACGCCACATCATTGGAACCTCAGAACCACCTGGGGAGAAGAGGCTAGTAGTTTCCCCATTAAAAAAACTGAGGCTCAGGGAAATTGCACCAGGACATAAAGTGGTGGTACTTTGTTGCACCCTAGGACTCCTAAACCTGCAAGGCAACCTCCCACAGACAGGAGGGTCAGGAACAGGTTTTTGCTGTGTTATTGGCTTCCTCACCAGGCTGGAAATGTGCTCAGGGCAGGGACACAGTGTTCCAGCCCCTACCATGGAGTGGACAAATAGTGGTGCCCAGGAAAAGTTGGGCCCAACACCACATTTCAAGGAAGGGAAAGCCACATCCAGAGAGACCCGAGGTTTTAGGTCCAGGAGAGACTGAACTGGGCCCGTCAGCCATGCTGGGACTGGTAGACGGGGAGAGCCTGTTTGGCGGTGCCTCCCGGCTCAGCTGTTTCCTCCTGTTCCTACAGGTCTGCAGGGAACTGGCCAGGCAAGGGGGCAGGCCCGTTTCTCCTGGTGGTTGGTGCGTTGTAGCAGCAGCGGGAGCCAGGACTAAGGACAAGCAGGAGCTGGGAGCCCCAGGTAGGACTGAGTTCTCTTAGGCAGATGGATGGTGCACCGGTGTAGCCTTCCTCTCTGGCCTCTTTGTCCTTTGCTGTGGAACTGGATGGGGTTGGGCATGCATGCAGAGTCCTTGATCTGGTTGTGGGCCCTGTGTGCCCAGGGGCCGCAGCTGTTTGCCCTGTCTATGAGGGGCTCTCTGCTCATGAGGAACTTCCTGCCTAACCTGGCTGTGGCCCCAGAATGCTCTCACCTTGGAGCTCAGAGGCCTGGGGCCTACCATTAATTTGGGGCAAAAAGTAGTAACGCTTTTTTGGTCAGTTAGAGAGGGTGGCTCATGGGCCAAAGATTGAGGGTGGGTGTGTCAGCTTTTCCATGGCCCTGTATCTGCCTCAAACTCACCTCATCATCACACAAGGACACTGAAATTCCCCGTGGGCCCCACAGTGGGTTGGACACTGCAGGGGGATGGAATGGGGTCTCCAGCTCCAGGTACAGCTGAGCTGTCTTCCACACCCCAGGCCCCTCCATTTTCCCCAGCTTCTCTGGAGCCCGAGCAGGGCTCAGTCCCTCTCTTCAGCTTCCAGATTCAAGGGGAGCTAGGCAGAGTCTGGAACAATGCTGGGAAGGCTGCAGTCTCTTTGAATCCCCTCAGAAAGCTAGAAATTCCTTGTTTTGGGGCGAGCCTTGCCTCCTTCAGCCCTATTACCATGAAAACATTGCTGTGGGTGACTCCATACTCATTCCAGGCTGGTGACTGGGTGACCGGGCCCCAGTGAACAGGGTACTGGTGGTGGGTATGGGTGCTAATGAAGCTGGAGCCTCGGAGTAACAGTGGGGGGATAGCAAAGACCGTCTTTCCTCCAGGAGTGCTCCCTGAGCAGACCCTCACAGCCAACCCTACTGGCTGTTACGCACCTATAGGTCTGTGAGTAGAGCCATAAAGGCTGGGCTTCCTGGGCCTGACTCTGGGTTGGGGGCAGAAGGGAGGTCAGGGCCTTCACTCTGGGGTAGGAGTTGGGACAGAACAGGAGCAGTCTTCACTGGGCCTTCTGTGTATTGGACCTGTCCCTAAACCTGGTGTGGAGGAAGTAAAGCGCCTTTGGCTGTCTAGGGGCCTCTGCCACCTAAGTTCTGAAGAGCCAGCCCTTTCCGTCACTCAGCCTTGTTTTGTAAGGAGTTTGATTAGTCTTGGAGACAGCCCACTGTAAACCCTCAGACATCACCCTCCAGCTGCACAGACATATGCGTGCTCACACAGGGATATGGCAAGCTAGGCTGCAGTGGGCATGCACACCCACAGACTCATGAGTTCCTGTACGTGCACCACACATGTGGGCATGCAGGTACACAGGTGCTCACATGCAGCCACCCATGGCACACTCACACACACACAGATGCTCTCCCAGTTACCGTTGGCATCCATGCACTCAAATGCCTGCCCACACATACCGCACTGTGCCCATTCTGGGGTCAGGAAGGGGTCCCTGGTCAGAGTTACAGCCCAGTCAGGTCGCCTGCATCTGGCACCTGAGGGGCAAGTTCCAGGTGTGGCTGTGATCTCAGTAAGGGGGGCTGGGCCACCCTGGTAGGTGGGCTCTGCCCATGCATTCAGCAGCCACCCTGCCCACCTGGCCCCAGGCTCCAGGCCGACCAGGGATTGGCATGGGAGATGGGAGGCATGAATGCGGGGGAGAGGCTGTGTCAGCTGTGCCAGCACTGTGTGCCTGCTGCTACAGCAGAGGAAGTAGGCTGTCTGGCCATGGGGCCAAGGTGCTCACAGTGGGTGGGGGTCCTATCAACTCCTGTGTCCCCCACGGTGTCCATGCCTAGAGGGAGTGGAGTTGCTGGGCTCTAGGGACTGAGAGGTTGGCAGGGGCTGTCTGTTCACTTCCCAAAGCCTGGGCCTAGGAGAGAGGCCCATCTGTTCAAGGCGTTTCCGGAGGCTTACTTCCTCTGAGCTGCCCAGGAAGTGGTTTTGGAGTGGGACTGACCAGCCCTCTGTCAGTGGCTCTACGCCTTGCTCCGCCCCTGCCTTGCCTGCCCAGGGGAGCAGCGTCTGGCCACCGGGTTAGGCTGACTGACCAGGCTTTTCACTGCCAGGGCTGCCCAGGCCTTTTTGGGGGGCTCTAGGAGAAGGGCAGGGGGCAGGTCACGAAGTCCCCTGCAGTCCCCACAACCGTGGCTCCTTTCTTGCTCTGAGCCTGTAAGCCGAGGCTCAAGAGCATCAACTCTGGTAGGCATGGCCCCCTTGAGAGAGGTGATGGCTGGGCTGCATCTTAGTGACTAGGCAGCTCCCAGCAGCTCTATGAATGAACCTGGGCAAGTGGCTCTGCCGCTCAGTGCCTCAGTCTCCCCCTGACAGATGAGATAATGATAGCATCCATCTTGATGAGGTTGTGCGGAAATGACAGATAACATATGCAAAGTAGCTGGCATCGTGCTTAGTGCATTGTCAGAGTTGAATGAGTAGAAACTGTAGTTATGTAAAGCATTTAGAGCCCAGTTCATGGGAACTATTCAAAAAATAGCAAGTGGGACTGATGAGGGGGTATTATTATCTGATGGGCTGGGCACTGGCCCAGTGTTACATGGCCAGGTGGCTGTGGAGCCTGGCTGAGGAGCCAGGTCTCTGACTCCCTCATCCCCCTCAATTCTACCTCCAGTGGCAGTGCCCTACTTGTTCAGTAGGTTCCATGCCCTCCGAGGAGAGGAGCTCCTGTTGGAGCAGCTCCACCCACTCAGCAGTCCAGCCCCTGCCTGCTCTTCTCCCCCTCACTCCCTTTCAAAGGGAGAAAATAGATCTCGTGACAAATGGATGCAGGGAGGGGAAAGGCAGTCTGCAGCTGCCTGCTGCCCCCTCAGGGCTCCCCTTGGCCCTCTCCAGCTCTGGCCTCCTGCAGGACATTAGGCTGGGAGAATTGGCTGGGAACGAGGGGGTGGACGTAAGCCCTCCTGCCAGCCTGCTTACCCTTCAGACCCCTGGAGTCAGCCTGTGGGCTGGGGCAGGGAGTGGGCATCTGGGACTGATGGAAGCTAGAAGAGTAGGGGGAGCTAGAAAACCCCCTACACCCATGGCAGCTGGGGGCAGGGCCCAGCCTGTCCCAGGGACACGAAGAAGGTCAGCACAGTTAGGGTTGGGCTAAGCATTGGCCTTCACTGTGTGGGGCCCAGAGGCTGGGGATGAGGAGTGTTGAGGAGTGGTAAGGACAGTGATGCAAACAGCAGGGGCCTGAGGGCTGGAGAGCGAAAGGTGGATGGGCCTGGGCGGGAAGTGTGGTTGAGGGTATCCTGAAGGCTTAGGAGCAGGACTTCTGCAGGCATCAGACAGACCCTGGTTGAATCCTTGCTCAATATTTACTGGCTGTGCACACTTGAGCCAGGGACTGGACCGTTCCCCACTTGCCTCGTCTGTGAAATGGGCAGATCACGGGGTGTGGTGTCCTGTGAGACATGAACGATGGGAAGGAGCCACTGTGTGGGGTGGGGTGGAGCAGGAAGACGGAACAGCAAGCCCAGAGGCTCCTAAGCGGGAAGGAACTGGCTGCTTCGGGAACTGAAAGGGGTCAGCGTGGCTGGGGCACAGGAATGAGGGAAAGGCAGCGCCTGCCCGAGAGGTCAGGGAGGTAACGGTGATGGGGAGGGGGGTGGCGGGGGGCAGGCTGCATGGAGCAGGCTGAGGGGAGGAGTCTGGGCTTGTCAGAGGGGCAATGGGAGGCACTGGGGGCTTGGGCAGGGGGTGACAAAATCTGTCTGAAAAGCCCCGTCTGGTGGCTGGAACAGGGGGACTGTCGGGCCGGGGTAGAGGATGGAGAGCAGTCAGAAGACAGGTGCAGAGCCTGGGGATGGTGGTGGTGGGAGAAGAGGATTTGAGACTTGAGGACAGGCTGCAGCGGCAGACGGGATGGCCTTATTGTGTGGGGAGCAGGGGGAGCTGTCTGGCCTGAGCCACTGCCTGAGCTCGTGCACTCCTAGTGGATGAGGAGCGCTGGGAGGGGAACGGCGGGGGACTGGTGTGGGCAGGCTTGAGCTCTTCTGGAGTCATTCATGTGGTGAAGCCAGGGAGGCAGGTGGGGCCACAAGCCTGAAGTTCAGGAGGGTCTGGGCCCAAAGTAGAGACGGGAGCCTAAAGCCAGGATTGGGGAGGAGAGGGCTCAACAGGCCTTCTAAGGGGTGGGGGAGCATTTGAGAGGCCCACGAACAGGACTGGGATGGCTGTCCCTCAAAGGTCTCTGCCAAGGCACCCAGGAGGGCAGGCTTGTGGTGGCTGAGCCGCTGTTTTCACAACAGCTCCGGAAGCTTTGGATCATGTCTATGGCCGTGTTGGGTAAACAGGCAGAGCAGAGCAGGCAGTCGCCAAGGCCTGAGGCTAGATCAGATGTCTGCGTGGTGTAGGTTGTGGGCTGGGGTTGTTGGGGTGGGAGGAGGATCCCAGGGTCCTCCAGTGTCAGGGCTGGAGAAAGCTTAGAGGTCTCCATTGTTGAGACAGGGAGGCTGGAGCCCCGGGAGGGGCAGTAGCTGGCCAGCCTCTGCCAGTGGACTCATGCTGCCTGCTTCAGCCCAGTTCTGCCCAGAGCCTCAGGCCAGAACAGGGCACCCTGCGGCTGGGGGGCTTAACAGAGCCTCTTTTCCCACTTTCCAAGGAAGTCTGGAAGACACCAGAGCACTTGGGCCAAGATCGCGGAGCACCCAGGCAGCAGATCTGAGCTAGGCCTGTCTAGGTCCAAGCTCGCCGGTTCCTCTGTCCGCTGCCTGCTGTGGGATGGCGCACCATGCGGGATGGTCCTGCCTCTCTCCCAGCTTTCTCAATATCCCCAAAGTGGGGAAGCATCATGTGGATCCTGCCCAGATCCTGGGGATGACTGGCAAAAGGGTTAGGTGGCCATCTTGCCTTCTCCCAAACACAAAACGATTGTTTCCAATGGTAAACCATCTGGAAAATCGTGGGAACTCTGTGGGAGAAAGAAGGGCTAAGGAGTAGGGCTCTTGTACTGGGGGCTGATGGAGGAGCTGTTCCCATCTCCAAACACATACCCTCACCCCATTGGAGGCCAGATGGGCAGTTCTAGGACTAGAGCTGGAAGTTCTCTCCCCACTTCCCCCTGGGTCTGCCCCATTGGCTTTGTGGCTTTGGTTGAATTGCTCAACCTCTCTTTCGGTTTCTGCACAGTGAGCCTGGAGCTCAAGGAACTTGCTCCTGGGGTGCCCGGCTTGCTGCCCTACCAACATAGGTTCAAGCCCTCCCCTCCCCCTGCGCGCCAGGCCTGTGACTGCCACCTGTGACCTTCAACCTCCACCATAGCCTCAGGGCCCTGCAGGCAGGTGGGCGGGCGGGCGGAGGCCTGCCCAGTGATGTGCCTGACCAGCCCACTCCTTCCCTTACACACTTTAGACTTTGCTCTGGATCAAGAGGGACTTTCTTCGTCTCCCTGGGTGGAAAGGCCCAGCCTAGCCTGACACCAGCTGCCCTTCTGCCCCTCCTCCATTCCCCAGCCATTGTGCCTGGGGGCTGTGGTGGAAAAAGCTGCATTTGGACTTCATGGTGCCAGACTCTAGTCAGGGATGTGGGGTCCTTCCAGGACTGTATGTTTGTTTCTGTGTCTGCCTGGAGCATCTCTGTGCCAGTGTGTACATCACAGCTTGTGGCACTCCACGTGCGTGTGGAGCCTATGTGGTCGGGTGTGGTCTGTGTGGGCCCGGGTATCTGTTGAGATGTGAGAGCCGGTGAGTGCATGTGTGTTTCTGTGTGTGTGTGTGTGTGTGTGTACGTGTGCCCCTGTGTCATCACAGCAGTGTGTGTACGTACCTGTGGCTCCAACTGTGTGCGTGTGTGTCTAATGTCGAGTGGGGCTCCCTATGTGCTGTTTGGGTTGGCGAGTGTGCCTGTGTGCACACGTGTGGTTATTCGTGGAGAGGCCCGGCTGCATCCCCCACCCTGGCTCCTCACAGAGGCCCCTTGTCCTCACAGGATCTGGCTCTCTGGCTCCTGCCATGAAGGGGCCTTTGTTCCTCTCTCAGGGGTACCTGGGGCACCGCCCTCTGACTGAGCCCAGGACTCCTCATATCCTAGGGCTGGCTGGTGACTCGAGGCCTGTGCCTGGTGGCCTCCCTCCAAGGAGGCCCTACCCCACACAAGCTGGCAGAGGTGGATGTGAGCCGATGACAGCCAGGCTCCCAAGTCCTGCCCCTCTGAACCTTCCAGACCCTCTGGCAGGGCAGGCCATTATGCTCCTGCTGACCCCTCAGATCGAAGGCCCCCAGCCAACAGGTCCCTGCAGCCTCCGTTCTCCTCCAGCCCCCCTCACTCCCTGCTACTCACTGCCTGCGTGGCGCATCCTACAGAGGTCTTACCATCCTTTGTAATCACATATTTATGTGACTGGCTCCCACCAGGCTGTAAGTTCCATGGGCCTGGTGTGGCAGAGGTTACCAGTGGGAAAGCAGCTAGCTTCCTGAGAGGTGGGAAGGGTCCCCCAGGGCCAGCCTTCTGAGCTGCCTGGAAGGATCTGTGGGAATTCAGAAGGCTGTTCCAGCTGAGGGAACAACATCTGCAAAAATATGGGGGCTGGGAAATGAGACATATGTTCACAGAGTAGCCAGAACAGGGATTGAGGTAGAGAGCAGGACAGGGCCAGGGAGTGGGCAGTCTGGAAGGCCTGGAGAGGTCTGGGCTTTCTCCAGGGGCAGTGAGAGCCTAGGAGGTTCCCAGCTGTGGGAAGAATGGGTAGGGGAGGGACCAGAGATGGTGACAACCGGGAGGGAGCTGGGTAAGGGGAGGAGAGGCCACAGGTACTGGTTGGTCTGTGTGGGGTGAGGGAGGGGCCCAGGAGGAGCGCTGGCTGGGGGATGAGGTACCTGTCCTGGGAGGAGCAGGTATGGGGAGCATCCCTGCTCTGGGACTTGGCTGTGACCTGAGTCCATAGATCTGGTTCTTATCTCAGCACAGGGCTGGGCATGTGGAGGCTGGGGGATGGGCCCTGGTGGAGGAACCCTAAAGGGTCTTGCTAGCCTTTCCCCTCCCACCTCCTGTTCCTCTTGCTGAGCCCACTTCCTGGGTTGTGAAACCTGCATGGCCTCCTTGCCTTGTTTCCGCTGGGAAGGCCATCTAGGCAGCCAGCCTCCCAGCCCAGCTACCACCCACCTGCCTACCCAACCTGGCAGCTCCACCATGCCCGGCCCCCTTGCCCTGCCGTGACTGCCGGTACCAGTCCTGCACCCTCCTGCTGATCACACTTCCTCTCACTGTCCTTTCTGCCCCTGCCTGGGCCTTGGTCTCCTCCGCCCTCCTTTATTCATCCACAAGGCTCTGGCAGGCTACACTGTGGACTCCCCCAGGCAGAGTCTGCATCCTTAGGAGGGCCCTCACTTTGTGCCACCTGCCATGCAGTTGTGACTTCCGTGGCAGGTGTCAGGTGTGTGGGGGAGAAGGCTGCAGTAGGTGGCATGGGGGACATCCCCTGCTCCCCGGGGGTCTGTTCAAGGGAACCAGACCGCCCTATACCCACCAGGGGCTGCAACTGGTCTTTCATTGCCCTTGCTTTGACTGACCTCAGCCTGTCACCTCATTTCTCCCATAGACGTTTCTGAGGCAGCCTCCCTCTGCTCTCACACACCTCCCCGCCAGCAGCCTGATCAAGCCTCTTTCCTCCAGCCCAGCTTACTCCTCTGACCAACAGGCATCATTCTGTGGCCTGTGAGGCAGAATTGAACACCAGGGAAGGGGTGGGGTGGAGGGGACCAGGCCGGATCTGGGAGCCAGGGAACCTCACTGCAGGACCTTGGCCTTAGTTTCCTCCTCTGTACAATGAGGAGATGGGCATGTCAGTCTCTGAAGACCTATCTCTTGTGGAGAGATTGTTGGGGTTTTTCACCTTTGACAAAACCATTATCCAACAAGTTACATGTGATGCAGAAAAATTAGCAAATGCATTCCTGTTCCTGCTGGCGCTCCTCAGGCCATGTCCCTCACCCCAGCCTCCTGTGCTGGTATACATCAGCACACGTGTGGATGTGCAGCACACATACTTGTCTGCTGGAGGCAACCAGGACTTCTGTGCCCGGGAGCTCCAAACCCAAGGTCGCTCTGATCACCTTGAGGCCAGCCTTGCCCACTGCCGGGTACTGGCTGGGAACAGGTTTCCATTTGTCCCAGAGGAGGTGACCTGCCTTCTCTGGCCTGACCTAGCTACTACCTTTCCTTACCTCTGGGCTGCTGATCTGGGGCTCACATTCCCTGGGGCTGGGATCCAGTGTGTCCAAGCCTTCCCTAGGTTTTGTTTTTGTTTTATTTGTTTTTAGTTTTTTTCAGACAGAGTGTCACTTTATTGACCAGGCTGGAGTGCAGTGGCAAGATCTCGGCTCACTGCAACCTCTACCTCCCGGGTTCAAGTGATTCTTCTGCCTCAGCCTCCCAGGTAGGTGGGATTACAGGTGTCCGCCACCACACCTGGCTAAATTTTGTATTTTAGTAGAGAAGGGGTTTCACTTGTTGGCCAGGCTGGTCTTGAACTCCTGACCTCAGGTGATCTGCTCACCTCAGCCTCCCAAAGTATTGAGATTACAGGTATGAGCCACCATGCCTGGCCCTTCCCTGGGTTTTGGAAATGGAGGCTGGTCCAAGTGGCGAGGTCACGGGGGAAGACCACTGGTCAAGCATGGGGTACCTGTCTCTTGGAGCCCTTACCTCCCTGTTTTCTCTGTCTTCATGTGTGTTTGTGTGTGCTGATCTCCACCTCTACCGTCTTCCGTCCATCTCTACCCTTTTCTCTCTCTTTGTCTCTTCTTCCCAACATGGCATACTGGAAAGGACCTGGGCTGCAACATCGGGCAGGCCTGGATTTATCCTTCCATCACTTACTGGCTGTGTGACCTTTTGGAAAGTCACTTTGCTTCTCTGAGCTTTAGTTTCTTCATCAGTAAAATCCCTTCTGGATCCGCATAGGGATAACGTGAGCTAATGTAATTACAGAGGTAATCTGCGACATTGTCGGCCTCAGAAAAGGACTGTCCTTCTTGTAAGTGGAGGAGCCAAGATTCATACCTAGACACTGACCCTTAGTCTGGTGCTTTGTGCTTCATAAAGCTGCCTCTGCTGTAGGCTGGAGAAGCAGAATAGAGACTAGGAGCCCTTAGGCAGCTGGGAAAGGCCTGGCTGGCCTCAGCTGGCTCCAAGGAGCTTGTCCCCATGGAGGCTGTGTGGGGTCGAGCCCCCGGCACCCCCTGGCCCTGCAGAGTGGCCATGAGTCTGGGGCTGAGCCAGCGGCCTTCCTCTGGGGCCTCCGTGGCCCAGGTCCTATTTGCATGGGGGCTATAAATAGTCAGCACACCTTGCTTTTGTGCTGCTGCTTCACCCCCATCTCCCTGCCATACACTCTGAGAGGTAGGGGGCAGACTCTGACTCTGCTGTGCAGAGCAGGGACTTGTGGCTCAGAGAGGCCCAGGACCTCTCTGAGGGTCACACAGTGATGGAAGAAGATGTGGGGCTCTGGGTAGTACAAACAGGGACAGAGTTGGTGGCAGAACCTGGCCAGAGCCCATGCCCTGGTTTTAGTCTTAGGAGGTTGGGTCTGACGCTATGGTTACTGCTGGTTAGTCTCAGGGCAGCCCACGAAGACCATGGCTCCCCAGTTCTCATGGCACTGCAGCCTGGCAGTGCAGGTTTAGGGCTGGGGCCTGCTGTGTTTGTGGTTTTCCCTCCAGTGGCTTCTAAATGTGAGCAGCAGCTGCTCTGAGTGTGGCCTGAGAGAGCTGGAGGGCCACCCTTGGGTGGGCAGGTCCTGGGCTCTGCCTCACCCTCCTGGGGCTTCTCTGACCCACTGTCTCCTCCACCCTCCATGCAGTCCTGGGGTGGTCCCCACGCATACCTCCTGCTGGGCAGGCCGGGGGTAGGGGAAGCCATGGAGCCTGTGGGCTGTCAGGGCTGGGCCCCAAGGGTTGGTGGCTGGGAGGAGGACCTGGCTGGCCGGTGTTGGAGCATCTGGTGCTCCTGAGTGAGTTGTATGTTCATGGAGACCTGGTTTCCCTTTCTGAGCAGTGGGATCTGTAACCAGGACTGTCTTCCCAGGCTGCTGGGCAGGCGGAATGGATGCGGTGGGGGATGCGAGTGCGCTTTGTAAACTGCGAAGGGAGGTGCACAGTGAGGGATGGGTGCCGCAGTGAGGGGGGTGATAGTGGTAAGAGGAACCCCCTCCCCATGGCCTGTTGGGTTGATTGTAGCCCTTATCCTACGTGAGTTCTCATTATCCCCACAACCCTGAGCCAAGAGACTATTGCTCATCAGGAAATGGGGGGGCTGAGGCTCAGAAAGGTCAAGTGACCTGCACAGAGTCCACAGCCAAGGCAACGTTGGTGTCAGGATGCAGCACCCAGGCGGCCTGGCCATCATTTTGCCATATGTGCTGCCCTGAGCCTCTCTCCCCTAGGAGCCCAGGCCACCTGCAACACACTTGCTCCTCCTTTATCCCTGTGCCCCTGTCCCCTCAACCCTCATCATCCTCCGAGGCACTCAGAAGTTGCCTACTGCCCCATCTGGGTCTCCAGGTTTTCCTAACAGCAGAGCTGCATCTGCTGGGATTAGGCCCTGGATGTGTGGACACAGACCTGCCAATCATTCCAGACCCAGGGAGCACTCACCTGGGTGCTGGATCTCTTGGACCCTCAGGGACAAGCCAGGCAGCAAAAGGGGCAAGATGTCCATCTTGCTTACGGGTTTGGGATGCTCACCCAGATTCCTGCACATGTGCGAGGCCAGGCCCACGCAGCTTGCTTTTCACTCCAGTATCAACTGAGTGCCCACCATGTGCCACCCACTCCCATGGCTGTATATAATCACATTCCTGTAGACCCGTGCAACCTCACACACACCGATTCATGCATGCTGCAGCCTGGGGAGCAGCCAGCAGCAGCCCCCAACTGGCCCTCTCTCCCTGGCCCACCAAGAGGTCAAGGGCAGCTGGCCTGGCACACAGGCCACCTGCTGGTGTCAGGCTGAAGGCTTCGGGACTTGGGCTCAGGCATGAGCTTGCACACCCACTCTCACATCCACTGAGTAGGAGCCAGGGCCGGGCAAGGAATGTGGTGGGGTCTGCCCCTGCCCTGCCTGGGTCCTGCTCTCTGCTTTGGCAGCTGCTGGCCTCAGAGGGCTGCCTGGACTCACTGGGCTGGGCTGCAGGGTGAGGTCAGCATTTGCTGTGAGCTCATCTGAGCTGGGAGCTCCCAGCAGAGCTGGCCACTGCTCTGGCCACCTTGTGCAGGAGCTGGAGGAAGTCATCTGGGGCTGGGCAGCTGTTGTGTGTGCATGCACACGTGTGTGTCTGAGTGTGCCCCTGTGTGCTGGCTTATGTTCAGGATGGAGTGAATACATGTGCATGTGCACAAAATCGAATGAGCGCTCCCTCAACCAAGGCTATGGAGCAGCCTTGTGGGGCCTGGGCAGGAGCCAGTGTGCACATAGGTGCTTGCACACCTGTGTGTCCTTCACAAGTGGCAACCTGAGGAGCCCCTTGGAGTCACTTACTGTAGTGAACATTAACTTAGAGAATGGTGAGAAACCCAGGAGTGTGGGAGGCTGCTGTGTATGAATCTGCAAGGCACATTCAGCGTTACATTCAACATTAAAATACAGTTTGGGTTTTTTTTAATTTTTATTTTTCTGAGGCAGAGTCTCGCTCTGTTGCCCAGGCTGGAGTGCAATGGCGCAGTCTCAGCTCACTGCAACCTCTGCCTCCCAGGTTCCAGCCATTCTTCTGCCCTCAGCCTCCCAAGTAGCTGGGATTATAGGCATGCGCCACCACGCCTGGCTAGTTTTTGTATTTTTAGTAGAGATGGGGTTTCACCATGTTGGCCAGGCTGGTCTCGAACTCCTGACCTCAGGTGACTCGCCTGCCTTGGCCTCCCAAAGTGCTGAGATTACAGGCATGAGCCACCGCGCCTAGGCAGTTTGGGTTCTTTTTTTAAGAGATAGGGTCTCACTCTGCCACCCATGCTGGAGTGCACTGCGTGGCACTCTGCTGCCTTGAACTCTTGGCCTCAAGCGATCCTCTTACCTTGGCCTCCTGAAGTACCAAGATTATGGGAGTGAGCCACCATGCCCACCTGTTTTATATTTGGGGAAATAATTAGTTTGAAGGTGCAGGCAACCTTCCAGGCAAGCGAGAGGCACTCGACCCCAAGGGGTCAATTTAGAAGGGTCAGGCACACTGATGTGGGCAGAGCCTCTCACTGCCCTGATCCCTGAACAGAGTGGGTGCCAAGTTAGTGGAATGTCAGCTTTTGGTTCTGATTCTCTGCCTTAGGGTTTCAGTTTCCCCATCTGAAAAGTGGGGGGTGTTTATCTTGGCACTGCTTGTCTGCCTGGGTAGTTATGAAGAAAAAACCCCAAACTTAGAAAATCATGAAGGGCTGCATGGGGCAGGATGGGAGAAAGAGGCAGTACTGTCCTGTCCCCTTACCAGGTGACAATGGCACATACCAGGTGCCTGGCATGGAGCAGGTACCCAGCAATAGGGTACTTAGGGAGTCACTGAGTGACTCCCCAAATGAATATCTAGGGGTGACAGATGCAAATGCCACCAGGGCCCAGGTAGGAGGAGTGAAGAGAGTGCCCCTGGCCTGGGGTAGATTGATGGAGGGCAGCCATCCCAGTGCTAGCTGGCTGTTGCCCAGTGGGCCCAACATCACATTTTCCAGTTTTACCAGAGACGCCGCAAATCCAGACTTACATAAACCTCTCAATATTTTTCTTTTTCTTTTTCTTTTTTTTTTTTTTTTGAGACGGAGTTTGGCTCTTGTCACCCAGGCTGGAGTGTACTGGTGCGATCTTGGCTCACTGCAACCTCCGCCTCCCGGGTTCAAGTGATTCTCCTGCCTCAGCCTCCCGAGTAGCTGGAATTACAGGCATGCACCACCACACCCAGCTAATTTTTAGTAGAGATGGCTTTTCACCATGTTGGTCAGGCTGGTCTCAAACTCCTGACCTCAGGCCATCTGCCTACCTTGGCCTCCCAAAGTGCTGGGATTACAGGCGTCAGCCACTGCGCCTGGCAAACCTCTCAGTTTTTAACACTGGCAACTGAGACTAGTGTGTGTGTGCATCATGTGGGCCAAACCCAATCATAGCAGAGCCCTGGGGGAGCGGGTCCCTGAGTGCTGCCCGTGACTGTTCCCGCTGGTCCCGCCCGGCCGCCTGGCCTCACCCCTCTGTGTGCACAGCCCCACTGCAGGCCCCACCATGGCGCCGTTCCTGCGCATCGCCTTCAACTCCTATGAGCTGGGCTCCCTGCAGGCCGAGGACGAGGCGAACCAGCCCTTCTGTGCCGTGAAGATGAAGGAGGCGCTCAGCACAGGTAGGCCTGGAGGCTGGACCCTGGAGAGGGGCTGGGAATCTGGGCCCAGCTGGAAGGACTGGAGGGGGCCTGGCCTTGTTCCCTGCAACCTCTGAAGGATTCTGCTCTTCCTCATCCTTGACTCCCTGCCCCACTCAGCTATGAAGGCAGAGGCCACTGAGTCGCTATAGGGCTGCAAACACTGGCCAAATTGAGCCCTCCTTGGAAGGCTTGGAGTTTCTGGTTCCTCCTCCCTGGTTGTTTTACCCAGCAATTTTTACATGTCCATTTGTGCCAGGGCCTGTGCGGGGCACTGAGGATACTGTCATGCTCCAGGACTAACCTGGCCCTGCCCTCATGGGGTTCATAGTCAGGTGGGGAAACCAGGCACGTCAAAAAGCAGTGAGTCCTGCAATAGGGAAGCCCAGAGAAGGCACCCTCTGAACCTGAGGTCAGGGAGGACTTCCTGGAGGAAGCACATACCTCACATCATTCCCTCTTGCTTTTGCCCTGGCCTGGTGAACCCCTATTTGTCCCTCAGGTCTCGGCTGAACTGTTCCTTCCTCTAGGAAATCTTCCCTGACCCTTAGGCTTGACCCTGTAGCACTACCAGCCTTGCCCTCTTCAGTCTCATCACAACTGTGACTTAACAGTTACTTGAGGAAGGAGTTGGTGCATTCGCCACCCGGGCCTGGGGATCCAGGAGGACAGGCCCTGGATGTAGCTTTTCTTTCAGCTGTGTTCTGCGCCTCGAATATTATGGCTGGCATGCAGGAGCTGTCAGCCCATGTTCCCTGCATGAATGCATAAGGGCAGGCGACATTTAAATGGAGCTGGAGCAAGAGGATCAGAGGAAGAGGGAACAGCAGGAACAAAGGCCTGGAGGGAGGACCTAGCAGGGTGCCCAAGGTAGTTCTGTGCTCTAGAGGACACTGGGGAACCACAGCAGGCCCTCAAGGCAGGAGAGTCGGGCAGATTCTGCCAGGGGAAGGCCGTGGAGGTCTACGAGGGAGGGACAGAGGGGCCATGGCCCAACCTTCTCTGCCTGGCCTTGTTGCAGAGCGTGGGAAAACACTGGTGCAGAAGAAGCCGACCATGTATCCTGAGTGGAAGTCGACGTTCGATGCCCACATCTATGAGGGGCGCGTCATCCAGATTGTGCTAATGCGGGCAGCAGAGGAGCCAGTGTCTGAGGTGACCGTGGGTGTGTCGGTGCTGGCCGAGCGCTGCAAGAAGAACAATGGCAAGGCTGAGTTCTGGGTAAGGGGCGCACGAGCCGTGCCGTGTGTGTGTGTGTGTGTGTCTGTGTGTGTGTGCATGCGTGCATGTGTGTGCGTGCACACACGCGGGCTTGGTCAGTGAGCACAGCTGAAGAGCACCGGGCCCTGTGCTGGCCACCAGTCCAGCCCTGTGGCCAACATGTCCTGGGTGTGAATCCTGGCTCTGCAATTCACCAGATTCCCAGCCTCTCTGAGCTTCTGCTTCCGCATCTGTTAAGGGAAGGCGCTACTAAATGTGCCTACCTCAGGGTCAGTTGTTCAAATGAAAGGAGCAGCTGGATGTACAGGGCTTATTGCAGAACCTGACACATAGCAGGTGCTAAAGACGGCCAACTTCCTTATTGTGACTACTTTTTCCTTTTTAATTTTGGAAAGGCAGGATATGCACATAGTAAAACATTTTTAACTGCATGAAAGGGTGTGTCCCTGCCCCAACACCAGGCCACCAGGCCTCCTTCCCAGAGGCACCCATTATCCCAGTTCTTTTTGGAATCTTCGCATATATTCTAGGCCTTGGCAGCCATTGAGGGGGCAACATAGTGATCTTTAACAGCAAGGAGGTGGGAGAAGGGGAGGCTGACGGTCTCATCTACTTACCTGCTGAAATGGAGACTCTGCACAAGCATGTGGCCACTTGGCCATGTGCAGCTGTGTGTTCTGGGTGGCCACAGGATGCCAGTGCTGGCAGAAGTCCCCTGGGGTTACATGTGGGATGTAACCAAGATGTCTCCACCAGGAAAGGCCCTGTGACCATTGGAGGCTCTGATCAGCCTCCTGCGAGGGGTGAGGGGGCTGGGATGGGAGAGAGGTTAACACAGGGCTGTACTGACCCTTGGCCAGTCAGGCAGGGACACAGAGGGGCCTCTGGCTGTGCTGTCTCCGCTCCCCCAAGGGAGGATATCAGTCACCAGGTCTAGGTCTTGGGGGAGGTGAGGGGATAGAGGCTCAGGTCCCACCCTCGAGACTGTCCAATCTGCATGAGGAGCCCTCGGCACAGAGGGAGGAGCAGCGTGTGTGCACGAGGATGAGTGTGTCTGTGTGTCTGTCTCTCTCCGCATGTGCACACGGGTAGGGGCCTCCATTCTAAGATCCTTGCTAAGGGAGCTGCAGCGGGTAGGGGTGGGGAATTTCCCTTCCCGCTCTATTCCCCAGCTATGTGTCTGGGCTGGGTGTGGGCTGGACCCTTTCACTTCCCTAAATGTAATAATACCCCTGGGTACAGGGTGGGGGTGGGGCTCAGGAGTGGGGCTCAGGCGGGGCCCTGCCCACACTGGGCAGACAAGTGTCTGGCTAGGCCTTGGGGGGCTGCCTTGGCCTTGGGGGACCAGCCATGGGGGTGGGTTCTGAGTTTGGCCTGGCCCAGGCTGCCCTCACTGACCTTGTTCTCCCCTGGCCTCTGGCCCCCAACAGCTGGACCTGCAGCCTCAGGCCAAGGTGTTGATGTCTGTTCAGTATTTCCTGGAGGACGTGGGTAAGAACTCCCTGGGGGTGGAGGGCTCCCTTGCCGGGTTCAGAGGCAGAGCCAGCACTGAGGTGTAGGGAAGCTGCTCCCTTCGGCAGAGCTGTCCAGGACCACCCTGGGAGGGACTGTAGGGGTGCCACCCCTTCCAGATACCAGGGCTGACTTCCCTACTCCATGGTCACCAGATTGCAAACAGTCTATGCGCAGTGAGGACGAGGCCAAGTTCCCAACGATGAACCGCCGCGGAGCCATCAAACAGGCCAAAATCCACTACATCAAGAACCATGAGTTTATCGCCACCTTCTTTGGGCAACCCACCTTCTGTTCTGTGTGCAAAGACTTTGTCTGGTGAGAACCGGCCATGCCCACTGGTGGTGGTGCAGGGTAGTGGGGGCCGATCCCGGTCCCCGCTCACTCACTTTGCCTGGGTTTTGCCTTTCAGGGGCCTCAACAAGCAAGGCTACAAATGCAGGCGTAAGTGTCTCCACAGGCCAGTTTGTACGTATGTACCCATGTGTGCTCACGTGTGCCAGTGCCTGTGTGTATGCCAGTGCCTGTGTGCGCTCAGAGAGTGTATGCACGTGAGTTTTCCCAGTGTAGATACAGCAGCTGAGTTCAGTGAGTGCTGGGGCTGGCTTGCTGCTGCTCTGGAAAACCAGTTCTGCGCATCTCTTCCCAGCTCCGCATTCAGTGACGGGGAGTTGGTGGATGGCAATTGGGCACAGTAGAGTATTCACGCAGAAACCAGCCCAGGCCATGCACCAGGCCTCTTTTCCTCGGAGAGGCAATGATAGGTCCTTTACTGGCACATAGTGGCTGCATGTGCTTCTGTGTAGATGTGGGTGTCTCTGAGTACACAGGTGTGAGCACACTCTGTCCCTGAGGGTGTATACACGAGGCGCCGCAGGCTGGAGTCAGACTGCCTGGGTTTGAATCCCAGCTCTACCACTTCCTAGCTATAGGGCCTTAGGCAAAGTTACTTAACCTCTCTGTGCCTCAGTTTCCTCATCTATAATTTTTTTTTTTTTGAGACTGAGTCTCATTCTGTTGCCCAAGCTAGAGTGCAGTTGTGCGATCTCAGCTCACTGTAACCTCCCTCTCCAAGGTTCAAGCGATTCTCTTGCCTTAGCCTCCTGAGTAGCTGGGATTACAGGCGTGCACCACCATGCCCGGCTAATTTTTGTATTTTTAGTAGAATAGGGGCTTTGTCATGTTGGCCAGGCTGGTCTCAAACTCCTGACCTCAAGTGACTCACCCACCTCAGCCTCCCAAAGTGCTGGGATTATAGGCGTGAGCCATCGTGCCTGGCCCTCATCTATAAATTAGATATAACTATAATGTATAATAGGGTCATTGTGAAGATCAAATGGAATAAGATATGTAAAGCTGTATTTTAAGTGCCTTCCACTGGTAGCCGCTCTGTGTAAGAAGTCTGTTATCATTATTACACATGCTTTGTGTGTATGTACAGGTGTCTGTTTTGAGGCGTGTCCATGTGCATGTGTAAGAGAGGGCATTTAGGAGCCGTTTGCTATCCCAGGGCTTGGAAGAACTGCCCCCGCTTCTCATATTGCGATGCCCTGTGCCCGCTAACTTCTGCCCACCTCCCTGCCCACTAGGACTCCTTCTTTCTAAGCCCCTGCAGATTGGCCTGTCCTCTCCGCCCCGTCCTCTCCAGGCTCCTCCTTCGAGGGCTGGCAGGAGGAAGACTCAAGCGCTGGGCCTCTGCGGGGTGAGGGTGTGGGCGGTCAGGAGAACGGTGGCTTTGTGTAGAGGGCTAGACTGGTCGGCAGGCACCAGCTCATAGACTCTGCCCCTCCCGGTGCTTTCCCTTCCCCCTCCTGGGCCTGTGCCTCTTCAAGAATGTAACGCTGCCATCCACAAGAAATGCATCGACAAGATCATCGGCAGATGCACTGGCACCGCGGCCAACAGCCGGGACACTATAGTGAGCCTGGGTCCGGGGCAGGGCTGGGGATCTGGGGGGCTTGGCCAGATGGGAGGGATTTGCACCCTCTCCCCACCCTCCCTGGGGAGCTTACCCTCCCTCCCCATTTTTCTTAGTCTTTCCTTGCCTCTCCCAGTGGAGCTCTCTTGGGATGTTGTTGTGCCCAGGGTTGGGGGAGAGCTAGGGGTTGAAGAAGAGGCTGGAGCTGGCACGTGACCCTCAGCCTGTGATACCCCCACCTCCAGTTCCAGAAAGAACGCTTCAACATCGACATGCCGCACCGCTTCAAGGTTCACAACTACATGAGCCCCACCTTCTGTGACCACTGCGGCAGCCTGCTCTGGGGACTGGTGAAGCAGGGATTAAAGTGTGAAGGTGCGTGCCACCCCGCCCCTGGGCTGCAGGAGGGGCACTCCCAGCTGGTGCTGCTGTGAATTCCAGCCACCTCACGCCACCCTCGCCTCCTCACCTGGAGACGGGCACCTCATTCAGGGACCTGATGAGGGTGAGGCCTTGGTGGACCCTCCCCACTGGCCTGACTGGCTCTGCCACTTACCTGCTGTGTGACCACAGGTGGGCGGCTCCACCCCTCTGAGCCATTTGGAGGAGAAAAGCAGGACCTAGAGAGTCCCTGTGAGGGGCCAGTGGGCAGAGGGTGCTGAAGCCAGGCCTGGTGCACACCGACAGGCGCCCAGACAGGCCTCCCCTGCCCTCTGCTTCACTTAGAGATGAGACAGAAGACCCTGGAGGGAAAGCGGCTTAAGTTGACCAGATGTTCTTTAAAGGGTTTCGAATTAGGTCCCTGTCTTCTGGTTTTTCCTTTTTCTTTAAATCATGAAAGATTGGCTGGGCGCGGTGGCTCACGTCTGTAATCCCAGCACTTTGGGAGGCCGAGGCGGGCGGATCATGAGGTTAGGAGATCGAGACCATCCTGGCTAACATGGTGAAACCCTGTCTCTACTAAAAAAATACAAAAAAATTAGCCTGGCGTGGTGGCGGGCGCCTGTAGTCCCAGCTGCTCGGGAGGCTGAGGCAGGAGAATGGCGTGAACCCAGGAGGCAGAGCTTGCAGTGAGCCGAAATCATGTCACTGTACTCCAGCCTGGGTGACAGAGTGAGACTCCGTCTCAACAACAACAACAACAACAACAACAACAACAACAAAAATCATGAAAGATTGAAATGCTTGGCCGGGCGTGGTGGCTCACACCTGTAATCCCAGCACTTTGGGAGGCCGAGGCAGGTGGATCACCTGAGGTGGGGAGTTCGAGACCAGCCTGGCTAACATGGAAAAACCCCGTCTCTACTAAAAATACAAAATTAGCCGGATATGGTGGCGCATGCCTGTAATCCCAGCTACTCAGGAGGCTGAGGCAGGAGAATCCCTTGAACCCAGGAGGCAGAGGTTGCGGTGAGCCGAGATTGCGCCACTGCACTCCAGCCTGGGCAATAAGAGGGAAACTCCATCTCAAAAAAAAAAAAAAAAGAGAGAGAGAGAGAGAGATCGAAGTATTTATGATGGCTTCAGATCAATGTTTTCCTAGAAACTGGAACCCAGCAGACCCCACTGAAGCCCTCCTTTCTCTTGCTCTCCTGCGCCTCTCCTACACTGCCCCCTGCCCTTGGCTGAGCTCTGAGACTGACAGCCCCGCTTCTCCCTCACCCCAGACTGCGGCATGAATGTGCACCATAAATGCCGGGAGAAGGTGGCCAACCTCTGCGGCATCAACCAGAAGCTTTTGGCTGAGGCCTTGAACCAAGTCACCCAGGTGGGCAGGTGCCATGGGGACCCTGGACACAGGGCAGTGGGGTCAGGGACAGTCAAGGCTTACAGCCACTGCTGGGGAGCCACAGACAGCCAGGATATATTTAGACCCAGGACTCTACTTCGGGAAGATGCAACTCAAGAATTTAGGCAGCAGAGGGAGGGGGGCTTTTTTTCATAAGAAATTCATTATTCAGGCAGTTCTTTACTTGAGGGTGAACCTGGGGACCACAGGAGTGGGTGTTGGAACACTTTGAACTAAGACTTTGGGTGTGGACGTTTGTATGTGGGGGGGGCTTGAGGGATGCCACAAAACCTAAAGGTAAAATTTTAGAATCAATCAGAAATGAAGCTAAATAGTCAAATAAAATCTATCGAGTGAGTGGTTGGGAAGGTAGGGTTCCGTTTACAAAACTTCTGTTTGTAATCAGAGCCTTTCAGACCACCAAGGCTTCTCTGGGCTCCTGGAAGAGTGCGTGTGTGTACACGCAGCCCGAGTAGGGGGCCTGGGCTGTGCCCCTGTTGTCTCCTCTTGGTGTTAAGGGTGGAGTTATACCTGGGAGTCTTCCTTCTGGGCTGGGAGTTCTGATAATGGTCTGACCATCTGGCCCCCCACCTCTGCTCCCTCCCCAGAGAGCCTCCCGGAGATCAGACTCAGCCTCCTCAGAGCCTGTTGGGATATATCAGGGTTTCGAGAAGAAGACCGGAGTTGCTGGGGAGGACATGCAAGGTGAAGCTGGGTCCATTGCCCCATTACGGTTTTTATTCCCCCTGAGGCCAAAGAAAGGGGACTGTCCTCCCTTCCATTGTCAAGTGAGACATGGAAGGAACCACCGGTCCTGGGGAGCGAGCCCCTTCCTCTCTGAGGCCCCTTCCCCCAGCCTACCCCAGGCCCCGGGGGAGGGGAGTTGTGTAGACTGAGACCCCGATCTGAGGAGGTGCCATCTCTCGGGCAGACAACAGTGGGACCTACGGCAAGATCTGGGAGGGCAGCAGCAAGTGCAACATCAACAACTTCATCTTCCACAAGGTCCTGGGCAAAGGCAGCTTCGGGAAGGTGAGGGCTGTGAGCCGGGCACCTGCTTCCCACCCCACCCTGGCTTCTTCCCGCTTAGGTGGCTGAGGTGGGAGTCTGTGAATCGGGCTGTGGCCCCTGCCCCGTCCTCACCTGCTCAGCACCCGTGTCTCCCCATCAGGTGCTGCTTGGAGAGCTGAAGGGCAGAGGAGAGTACTTTGCCATCAAGGCCCTCAAGAAGGATGTGGTCCTGATCGACGACGACGTGGAGTGCACCATGGTTGAGAAGCGGGTGCTGACACTTGCCGCAGAGAATCCCTTTCTCACCCACCTCATCTGCACCTTCCAGACCAAGGTGCCCGGGCCTCCTGCCGTCACCACCCCATGCCACAGCCATGTCCCACAGCTCCTCAGCCCCCCTCAGTCAGGGCTGTGTCTCCCCTTCAGGCCACTTAAGGCAGGGCCATGCTTTCCCCCCTCATGCCTCCCAGGGCAGAGTCGTCCACCTCAGCCAGGGCCTGTCCCTGCTGTTTCCTGTTGGGGCTTGGCCCCAGTGGCCCTCAGTGAGGGAGCCTCCTGCCTATTCCTCACCCCTGCTCACCACCCTTCCCACCCCAGGACCACCTGTTCTTTGTGATGGAGTTCCTCAACGGGGGGGACCTGATGTACCACATCCAGGACAAAGGCCGCTTTGAACTCTACCGTGCCACGTACGTAAGGGCCATGGTGGGGAAGGGCCCAGTGTGGAGGAAGGGCTACTGGCTCAGAGCCCACTTCCAGTCTGCCCTCCATGCCTTCTTCCCTCTCCCTAGAAAAGCCAGCCTGGGCTAGAGCGGCAACTGGGGAGATGTGGGGGTAGCCTGGGTCGGCACCACACAGGAAGCCATGGGTGGCAAGTGAACTGCGGCTGGGTGCGCAGCGCAAATACTCTGGGTCCTGGCCGCTCCGTGGGCCACAGCCAGGGCAGCCTTGCAAATGGTGGTCCTGCATGACACAGGACACAGGACCCTGGTGCGTGGCCCCCAGACCTGCTTCTCCCCATTCACATGCCCCTTACCCCAAACTAACCGTGTATGTGTGTGTGTGTGTGTGCATGCATGCAAACACATATGTACATGCATGTAAATGCATACACTCTTAGAGAATTGGCTCACTGAGAGCTTTCCCTTCAGAACTTTCTGCCTGGGCTGCCAGCCCCCACTTGCCTGATACAAGATGTACTTGATCATGCTCAGGTGGTCCATGGAGTTATTTGCAGCATTTCTTGCTCCTGGAAGTGGGGTTGAGGGCCCGAGGAGAAGCAGAGGCTGCTCGGCAGAGATCCCGGAACACTTTATCCCTCTCTCTTGCCCAGGTTTTATGCCGCTGAGATAATGTGTGGACTGCAGTTTCTACACAGCAAGGGCATCATTTACAGGTGCGGGGGTGAGGGCAGCGGGGGCTCTTGGGAGGGGAGGCTCCAGCCCCATCATATCTTCTGAAATGCTCCAAGCAGGATCCCCCCAACTCCAGTTCCTTCTCTGCTGGAAATCAATCTTTAGCTGGGTATTTGCCTATGCCTCCCACCCTGGTGTTAGCATTCCTGTGGCCACCATTTGAGGCTGGCTCAGCTTCAGGAACTAGGAACTCACTGCTCATATTTGACACCATCGCCCCACCCATCCTTGGAGCCGTCAGTCTCGCTCTGAAGCCCCATCGAGTCATCTAAGCTTCTGCCAGAAGGGACTCCTTCCATAAAGTCTCATCTAATAAGTTATGATTCCATCCTATGGTGGGAACTGTACACCCACCAAAAAGGCTGAGGTCAGGCTCTGTATACTGATGTGGGATAATGCCAAGATATGTTGTTAAGTGGAAAAACAACCTGTGGGAAAGTGTATATCGAATATTAGCATTCAGCCTTTAAAACGTGGGAGGGAGACTGAGCGCGATGGCTCACGCCTGTAATCCCAGCACTTTGGGAGGCCAAGGTGGGCAGATCACCCGAGGTCAGGAGTTCGAGACCAGCCTGACCAACATGGTGAAACCCTGTCTCTACTAAAAAATACAAAAGTTAGCTGGGCATGGTGGTGGATGCCTGTAATCTCAGCTACTCAGGAGGCTGAGGCAGGAGAATTGCTTGAACCCGGGAGGCGGAGGTTGCAGTGAGCTGAGATCATGCCACTGCACTCCAGCCTGTGTGACAGAATGAGACTGTGTCTCAAAAAAAAAAAAAAAAAAAAAAAAAAAGGTGGGAGCGAGCTGCATGCTGCCATATGCTTGTCCACGCCTAGAATTGCTCTAAGGAGAGCCTCATGATTGAGCTCAGTGGAAGGTAGACTTTGTACTGTTTGCCATTTCTAGTTCCCATATGCATTAAGTATATACTCAAATGACTAATTACTAAATATAGACATGGTCTCTGCCTGTGGGAAGTAGACAAACCTGAACCTGGGGGTCACTTCTGCTGCTGACTGCTAGGGGACCCTGGGCGAGTGACATCACCTGTTTGAGCCCCATTTGGGCTTCAGGAAGTAGGGCAGTGTATGCCCAGCGTTTAGCACACAGTAGGGGACTTGCAAGAAGCACCTGTTTTTAGGATCTCTTTCTCCTTCTGCTTCCTTTTCTGTTTCTCATTCCCTTGTACCCTTGGGGACAGTCCTGGACTAATACGGCTGAAAATTAGGACATGGGGGGCAGGGTTGGAAGGAGAAGAAATGTCCCCTGCTGACTCTTACCTGTCCCCTGTCCTTAGGGACCTCAAACTGGACAATGTGCTGCTGGACCGGGATGGCCACATCAAGATTGCCGACTTTGGGATGTGCAAAGAGAACATATTCGGGGAGAGCCGGGCCAGCACCTTCTGCGGCACCCCTGACTATATCGCCCCTGAGGTGAGCCGATACCCTTCCAGCCCCCCGCTCAGTCAGGCACCTTGCCTCCCCACGGTGGGCCAGGGAAGGATTCCCAAGGGCAGTGATGTCCAAGCCAAAGCCCATAGGCTGAGGCGGCCTGGCTAGGCTTCGTGCCCAGGGGCCCCTCTCAGCCTCAGCACCTCAGCTCCTGCTGACCTGCTGCTCTCCCCACCGCCAGATCCTACAGGGCCTGAAGTACACATTCTCTGTGGACTGGTGGTCTTTCGGGGTCCTTCTGTACGAGATGCTCATTGGCCAGTCCCCCTTCCATGGTGATGATGAGGATGAACTCTTCGAGTCCATCCGTGTGGACACGCCACATTATCCCCGCTGGATCACCAAGGAGTCCAAGGACATCCTGGAGAAGGTGGAGGCCCTGGGCTGGGCTGGGCTGGTCTGGGCTGGGCTGGGGCAGGGGCTGGCAGACACTGGGCTTTGGGTGAGGAGCTTCCTGTCTCTGGAATGGCAGCCTCAGTGGTGCTGCAGTCCTAACATACGGGGTATTGCTCTCTCACCATGTTCCCAGGAACTCCTGTCTGAGTCCTGTGCATAGAATCAGCCTGACATGGTGACTAAGGGCCCAGGGTCAGGAGACAGACCCGAGGCCAAATGCTGGCTCTGCCTGGGACTAGCTGGTCACTTAACCTCTCAGAGTTTGTCTCCTTATCTGTAAAATGGGGCTATGAGCAGACTTGACTCACAGAGTTGTTGGGAAGAAAATAGAAACATATGATGCTCAGCTGTGGGCCAGGCAGATAGTAAATAATAAAAAGTTCCACCAGCAGAGTCGCAGATGTCCAGCCCAGAGCCTGTCATCTCCGGGGGAGCTGGGAGCACTGCAGGCCAGAGTGGCCTCCCTCAGCCCCACCGTTCCCCAGGCTGACTGGGGCTGGGGCAAGCCTGGCTTTGCATCCCTGGGCCTGCTGGGGATTTGCTGAAGCTCCAATTTCCCATGGCCCTTGGGTGCTAACCAGGGTCCCTGCTGGGTTGCAGCTCTTTGAAAGGGAACCAACCAAGAGGCTGGGAGTGACCGGAAACATCAAAATCCACCCCTTCTTCAAGACCATAAACTGGACTCTGCTGGAAAAGCGGAGGTTGGAGCCACCTTTCAGGCCCAAAGTGGTATGTGATCCTGCCCTGTGCTGCCTTCAGGCTGAGCTACTCCTCTCCTGCCCTCCCTCTCTCCTGCATCATTCACACGCTTTCCACCTCTCCCTTCTTCCAGCAATCTCCATAGCATGTTCAGTCACAGCCGCTGCCCTTGTATTCTCATCCTCTCCCTCCTGACTCAGTCATTCAGCACACACTGGGGACTGTGGATCCCACTGTATGCAGAGGACCCTGTTTTGGGAAATAGAGTTAAGACCTCACTTTATCGCTCCATTCAATCCATTTTCCAATACATATGGGGAATCCTGAGTCCCTGTTGAATGCAGAGCACAGTGCTGGGCTGCACAGCAAAGTGGGAGATGCAGTCCCAGAACCGGAGGAGCTCTCAGCTAGTTGGAGAGATAAGAAACTTGCACACCTATGACAATTTGTGATACGAGATGACAGTATAAGAGATGCCCCAGGACACATGATCCGTTGCTATTGAGTGGGTCTGTCAGCAGGAACCCAGGTGGCAGAGAAGAGGGTGGGTCTGAGAGGCCCCGTTGGAAGAAGTGAGACAAGGGACAGCTGGGAGGCATTCCAGGTGGAAGAGGGGCTGGTTCACTCACAGGCCCAGAATCTACAGGGCTACCAAGGAACCAGCCTGAGAGCAGAGGCAGGTGGGGCCACTAAGAAATTTGGGGCTGTGTGGCCCCTCTGTGACCACAGTTCTTCCTTCCCACTCCCCTTCTGTCCTTTGATTCCCCTCCTCCACCAGGGCACACAGTTCCCACTGGGCAGCCTGTGTAATGCGCCCCACATTTGTGCTTTGAGGCTACAGAGCACTTCCCCTACACCAGGGACCTCAAACTCAGACGTGTCCTGGCTGAGCATGTAACTGACAGGCTAGGCCAGCTGCAAGAAAATCACACAGCCTGCTTTCAGTCTCACTTTTGATAGATTTCCTTCTCCGCACTAAGAAACACAAAGCAGGTGTGATGTACCCCTTGTCAGTGGGGCAGGGGCTGTCCAGGGGGCTCTTAGCACCAAGAGTGGGCAGGAAGTGGGCCCAGGGCTGCTTTAATCTGCCAGTTTTCAAAAGAAGCTGGAAATCTGGATTTTTAGGTTGCATTGCTCAATTTTAAAATATAAGTTCAGGCCGGGCACAGTGGCCCACACCAGCACTTTGGGAGGCTGAGGCAGGCAGATCACCTGAGGTCAGGAGTTCGAGACCAGCCTGGCCAACATGGTGAAACCCCGTCTCTACTACAAAAAATACAAAAAAAATTAGCCGGGTACGGTGGTGCACACCTGTAATCCCAGCTACTCAGGAGGCTGAGGCAGGAGAATCGCTTGAACCCAGGAGGTGGAGGTTGCAGTGAGCCGAGATCGTGCCACTGCACTCCAGCCTGGGCAAGAGAGTGAGACTCCATCTCTAAATGAATAAATAAATAAAAATAAATAAATAAAATATAGGTTCAAATTCCATTAAAACCCAGTACAAGCCGAAATGATTGTACTTGCCAGTTCAGTTTGGCTGAAGGGCCACCAGCTTGCGGTCTTTCTATATTACCATCCCATCATATCCTCAGGAGCAGAGAATCAGCAAATTTCTCCTGTAAACAGCCTGATAGTATATATTTTAGGCTTTTCAGGCTTGATGGTCTCAAAGCAGGCATAGACAGTATGTCAACAAATGGGCATGGTTGTGTATTACAAAAGCTTTATTTATGGAAAGTGAAATTTGAATTTCACCTAATTTTCATGTCATGAAATATTTTTCTTTTGATTTTTTTTCCAACCATTTAAAAATGTGAAAGCCATTCTTAGCTTGTGGTCCCCACAAAAACAGGTGGTAAGTGAGCCTCCCTGGGCTGTGATTCGGTGGTCTCTGAGCAAGAGGCTACCACCTCTCCTAACCCAGGCCCAGAGCTCCCTGGTCACTTTCCTCATCCTCTTGGGGAAATGGCAGCCTCCTTCCCATGGGGCTCCTTTCAGGCTGCTAGGGGAGGCTCTGTCTTCTGTTCTGGGTGAGGACAGCTCTGGCCTGGCCCAGCCCTGCAGGGACTCCAGCCTGGGGTGTCTGGAGGGCCATTCCCTAGGTCCTGTTCGCTCACCCCTGCCCTCTGCTTGTAGAAGTCACCCAGAGACTACAGTAACTTTGACCAGGAGTTCCTGAACGAGAAGGCGCGCCTCTCCTACAGCGACAAGAACCTCATCGACTCCATGGACCAGTCTGCATTCGCTGGCTTCTCCTTTGTGAACCCCAAATTCGAGCACCTCCTGGAAGATTGAGGTTCCTGGACAGATCAGGCTAGCCCTGCCCTCCACCCACACCTGCCCGCTCCCCACGATAAGCACCAGTGGGACTGTGGTGACTTCTGCTGCTGGCCCCGCCCCTGCCCCCAGAGCGTCCTTGGCTGCCGTCTGGCCGGGCTCTCATGGTACTTCCTCTGTGAACTGTGTGTGAATCTGCTTTTCCTCTGCCTTCGGAGGGAAATTGTAAATCCTGTGTTTCATTACTTGAATGTAGTTATCTATTGAAAATATATATTATATACATAGACATATATATATATATAATAGGCTGTATATATTGCTCAGTAGAGAAAAACCATGGGGGACTGGTGATATGTTGATCTTTTTCAAAAAAATATATATATGACAAAAAAAAAAAAAAAGGAGCACAAGCTGTTTGAACCACCAGGTTTATTTGTGTGTCTAAATAAACACCAAATAGTACCAACCTGGTTGTCAGGACACGTTTGTCCCAGGAAGCTGGTGGTGGCCACTCCCACTTTTGGCAGCACTGGCCCGGAAGCCAACTGCTGGGCCTTCATGCAAATGTGTTTGTATTTATGGGTTTCCTCTGGCCCCAGGACCCTGGGCCTAAGGCAGACAGCTTTTCTGGGTGGCGACAGGGAGCCCCAGATGTCTCTGTGGGGTGATGGGACCAGCTGTAGCTGTCTCTGGAAGGGCAGAGAAGTAGAAGACATGAGCAGAGGCTTTGAGGCTGGCTCCAGATGAGGGAGGAGGACAAGGGAGAGGAAGAAAATACAGCTCAGGCTTCAAGCATATCTGGATTTAAATCACAGAGTAGCCAAAGGATGTGGGCACGTCACTTGATCATTTTAAGCCTCAGTATTGGGTGGGCGTGGTGGCTCACACCTATAATCCTAGCCCTTTGGGAGGCTGAGGTGGGAGGTCTGTGTGAGCCCAGGAGTTTGAGACCAACCTGGACAACATAGCGAGACCCTGTCTCTTTAAAAAAAAAAAAAGAAGAAGAAGAAGAAAAAGAAGGAGAAAAAGGCTCAGTTTCCTCTAAAATGGGGACAAGGCAAGGAGACCATAGCTGTAACTCCTCATCTCATTACCATTTATCCCTGCCTTTGCCGCAGAGGAGTCTGTGTCTAAATTCTAGAATCTATATCATAGCAGCTTTTGCCTACCTGGGGAAGGAGAGACAGGCAGGGTGGGAGAGAAAGGTGGAAAAATGCTGAGTGACTGGGCCAAGGTTGACAGACATGCTCCAGTGTGCCTGTCGTGCAGGTGAGGAATGGCTCCAGGAGACCAGGAGGTGCCGGCATCCCCCCAAGAGTGCACAGCTGGAGACAGTGTGTCTGCTCTGCCCTCCTCCCCACCGTTTCCATGTCTCCCCCTCTCCTGGCTTTTCATTGCTTCCGCCTCCCTCGCTACCTCTCCCTCTTTCTGTTCCCGCCCTGCTGTCTGGGACACCGGTCTCAGGCAGAGCCTGCTCTTCAGCCCCTCTGGTCCAGCCCTGGCCCTCTGTCCCTAGAGGGGGGCGAGGCACTCCTAGCACCGGATTGGCTGGCCTGGGCAGCCAAGCAACTGACTTCCAGCAAGTTCATTTTTCTGGGCTGAGGTACAAGTTTCCACAACCGGAGAGGGTGGGATGGTATGGGGCTGGTGCTGGCCCAGGGAGGGGGCTGCAGGGATGGGGGCCAAACTCTCCCCAAAGAGACCAAATGTCCCCTTCTCCTCCCCACCTCCTATCTTCTCAAGGAACCTTCCTCTTGAATTCCTGCTCTGCCTTGGGCCAGCCTGGGTGTCCAGGACAGCAGGGAAAACCTCAGAAAGTGCTTGTCCTGTGGGATCACACGTGGAGGAACTGGCAGCATGGCATAGGCTCTGTTCTGGGACACTGGGGCTGTAGGAGCCCAGAGGAGGTGCCTGGAGACCCCCTGTTCCCTGCCTCTGCCACAACACACACATTCCCCAAGAACCCTCATGGAGCCATTCAGAGGGAGGTTAGAACAAAAACGTGGTTGGTGTCTGAACTCAGAGCCTCCCAGCGTCCTCCTGAAGCACCAAAGCGGAGCCTTGTAACTCGAGCCGTTTCCTCCCGTGTGGAACCGGGGAATAGGTTGTTTATCAGCCAGAGGCAGTGGAGGGTGGTGGGAAGAACATGGTGCCTGGAATCAGAAGCCTGGGGTTTGAATTCCACTCCGCTACCTACATACCAGGCACTCGATGAGTTCCTTCATGGGCCTCAGTTTCCTCATCTGTAAAACCAGACCATTAATCCTGCTGCCTCATGGAACTGACTCTGGCAGGCCCTTGTAGGACTGTTGGTCCACTACTCAGTGGTGCCAGGCAGAGCCCAGGAAAGGACAGGGGCTGGGCCCGTGAGGTCCACCTCAAGCAGCCCAGGACAGGAAGCAGCTGCTGGGGACACTGCCAAACTGCCTGGGAGGCTACACCATTCCAGGCCCATTCCCAGCCATTGGGTGGGTGCCAGGCTTGACCCAGCAGCCTCAGGAAATGCCTCTTAAGGCTGGGCCCTGAACCACACTTTCACTAGGACCTGGGGACCCTGAAGCAGGCAGACTGCCCTCTGCCTCCCACCTGCCAAGTAGGTATTTGAGCAGCAGCCAGCCTACCCCCGACCCTGCAAGGGCCAAACAGAGCTGGGTGCCCCATCAGTGCTGGGCCGAGCAGCATGGATACAGGAGGGCCTGGAGGCAGGAGCATGAGCTCGGCTACTAGACAGCCCTGGGTTCGAACTGTGCATGTCCCTGGTTGTGTGACCTCAGTAAATGACTTAACCTCCCAGTGCCCTAAATTCCTCTACTGTAAAATGGGGATTACCATGATGGCTGCCGTGGACTGTGATGATGTCTCTAAGTGCAGGGCATGAGCTCAGCGTGCACTAGGTGCATAGGAAACAGCAGCCACTATGACCCCGTGCCCGGGTGGGATGAAACATGCTCAGGAGAGCAGGCCTGTCCACTGCACACTGCACTTCGAGTGCAAGTCCTCTAACTGGACCGCAGGTGGGCGGTTAAATGCACCCGCCTCATGACCCAGTGGTGCCTTTCAGGCAGAGCTACCTGGGAACTTCACCCAAGGGCCCCAGAAGGCTTGCCAGGAAGCCCACCACTGCATGGATTAATGGAAAAACTGGAAGCAAGCAGAAGGCCCAGCAGCCGGGGAACTGGTTAAATACTCTCCTGGCGTGGAAAGTGGTGCAGGGCCAAGTGATCGGCAAAAAGAGACATTGAGAGAATCAAAGATGCAGCCAGATTCTACCCTGTGGTTCCACAGGCCAGCTCGTGAGGGCATCCAAGGTCTCAGGCACAGCAAAGAGCTGCAGAGATGAAGGATGGATGGAAGGATGGATGGATGAATGAATGGATGAATGAATGAATGAATGAATGAATGGACTGCCGAGACCCCAAGTCCCTTTAAGGCAGTGGCTCCCAAATTCAGCGTGTGTTGGTACCATGTCAAGTTCTAACCAGCGGGTCTCAGCCCTGGCTGTCACTGGAAGCCGATGCCAGGCTGCCCTGGTCTACTTACTCGGTGATCTGTGGAGGGCCGGGCATCAGTACTTTGAAAGCTGCCCCTGCGGTCCCACCTGCGCAGAGCCAGTTGGGGAATCTGCATTTTGCCCAGTCATCCTGGTGAAGCCAGAAAATGCTACTCTGAACAGGCCACACCCTGGAAGGCGAAGTCACCTGCCTGTATGGCCCAGTCTTGGCCCGCAGAGGCCCGAGCATCCCCTCCACAACCTGCGCCCCGCCTGCGCAAGGACCACGGGCGGAGGGTTGGTGGCTAGGGAAGAACGGTGCGGAAAGCACGCGGCCCCAGCTGGGCTACAGCGCCCTCTGGCGGCCAGAAGGCTCGCGGGCGCTGAGGCCGCAGACCCCAGGAGGGGAGGACCCCCGTGGAAGGGAGCGCCGGCTTTCTCACTTCGTGTCACTACTCCCTGGGGAAATATTTCAATAAAGAGGTACTGGGTGACCATTTTGGAGAGGTTCAGAGACGTGGAGGTTACAGCTAGACAGCCCCCTGGTATTTTTAGGATCTCCGGACCGCCCTAAATTCAACCATTCCAACGTCACAGCCACATTCCCCCATTTATTATTAATTTATTTAGAGACAGGGTCTTGACCTGTCACCCAGGCTGGGGTGCAGTGGTGCCATCACAGCTCACTGCAGCCTCGACCTCCTGGGCTTGTCAAGCAATCCTCCCACCCTCAGCCTCCCGAGTAGCTAGGACCACAGGCATGTACCACCCTGCCTGGCTAATTTTGTATTTTTGGTAGAGTTGGGGTTTCACCATGTTACCCAGACTGGTCTCAAATTCCTGAGCTCAAGCAATCCTCCCACCTCGACCTCCCAAAGTGCTGTGATTACGGGCGTGAGCCACCGTGCCCATGAGCTCACCATGCACCTGCCCCTTCCTCGGCCTCCCTCAAAGCTGGATGGGATCTTCAGCTCCCCCCTGCACCCTGACTGTGCCCAGCACGTGATCCCGGACGACTGTGGTGTCAGAGGCTGGGGAGCTGGTTGTGGTTTCCTGAGTGCTGACCATCCTCCCAGGCACTTTATCTCCTTAGGCTGGGGCAGGGGGAGATACATGCAGCTGAAAATACAAGACCTGGCAGCAAAGGAAAGGAATGGGGACAAAGGCCCCCAAAGGTGAGAGCCAGGCCTGAGTCAGCACAGCCCAGATCAGGCCAGACATGTGAGGTTTGGGGCACTCCTTGAGTCTGGTCGTCAGATTGAATCAGCCCTTCACATAGCCTCAGTGATTTAAGTCTTCAGAACTTGAACGCCAGTTCCTAAATCAGGCTTCTTAAGTGGGGCTTAGAAGATTGATATGGTTTGGCTGTGTCCTTACCTAAATCTCATCCTGAACTGTAGTTCCCATAATCCCCTGGTATCGTGGGAGAGACCCAGTGGGAGGTAATTGAATCATGGGGGCGGTTACCTCCATGCTGTTCTCATGACAGTGAGTTCTCACGAGATTGGATGGTTTTATAAGGGACATTCCCCGCCCCCCCCAACTTCACTCTGCACTTCTCCTTGCTGCCGCCACGTGGAGGACGTGTTTGCTTCACCTTCTGCCATGATTGTAAGTTTCCTGAGGCCTCCCCAGCCATGCAGAACTGTGAGTCAATTAAAACTCCTTTATAAATTATCCAGTCTCAGGTATGTCTTTATTTTATTTTATTTTTTATTTATTTATTTTTTTGAGATGGAGTCTCACTCTGTCACCAAGGCTAGAGTGCGATGGCGCGATCTTGGCTCACTGCAACCTCCACCTCCCAGGTTCAAGTGATTCTCCTGCCTCAGCCTCCTGAGTAGCTGGGATTACAGGCATCTGCCACCACGCCTGGCTAATTTTTGTATTTTTGTAGAGATGGGGTTTCACCATGTTGGCCAGGCTGGTCTTGAACTCCTGACCTCAGGTGATCCTACAGCTGTGGCCTCCCAAAGTGCTGGGATTACAGGCGTGAGCCACCGTGCCCGGCCTTATTTATTTATTTAGAGACAGAGTCTTGCTCTGTCTCCCAGGCTGGAGTGCAGTGGTGCAATTTTGGCTCACTGCAACCTCCGCCTCCCAGGTTCAAGCCATTCTCCTGCCTCAGCCTCCTAAGTAGCTGAGATTACAGGCACCTGCCAGCACGTCTGGCTAATTTTTGTATTTTTAGTAGAGATGGGGTTTCACTATGTTGGCCAGGCTGGTCTCGAATTCCTGACCTGAGGTGATCTGCCTGCCTCGGCCTCCCAAAGTGCTGGGATTACAGGCATGAGCCACTGAACCTGGCCGATATGTCTTTATTAGCAGTGTGAGAACAGACTAATACAAAGACTCCTAATTTCTTCTCTGTCTCTGTCCTGAAATACATAACTCTGAAAGCCCTGACATTTGCTGCTCAGCCCACATTAAGTACTGGATAAAGCTCAGAGCTTTGGGGAAGGTACTTTTCCTTTTTCTTCTTAGGAGAGGGGAGTTTAGCTTTCTATCAGTTTCACCTGGGGTGGTAGATGCAGGAGCTGTGAGTAGGGTGGGCAGTGCTGCGCTCTGTTCCCAAATTTGTATATTCCTTCATGGAACAGGTGGCTGCTGTGTGCCAGGACCTTGACGAGCATCACTCAACAGGCATGACTGTGCCTGGCACTCATGGTGTGTGGCCTGAGAGCCCATGTCAGAACACCCTGGGACAAGCACTGTGCTTGATGCTTTTCCTGCATGGTTGCCTGCAGTTCGTCGTCACAACAGCCCCGTGAGGAAACGGCTGGGACTCTCTCCTTTTACCGGTGAGCAAACCCAGGCTCTGAGAGGTTGAGTGATGTGGCCTACAGCTCTGGAATGGGGGCTCCTTCCATCTGCGAGTTGGTTCCCTTGTCATGTTTCCTGTAGAGACAACAGGACATTCTCCCTTCTTTTCCTGGGCTTGCTCAGGAACTGTCAGAGAACACGAGGGCTCCCTACCCTGGTCCTGTCCTCAGAGGGTCCAATAAGAGAGAAGTGAGCCAGTGGCAGGCAGGGACAGCAGAGGGCAGCAACGATGGGCACAGGCAGGCTGACTTGGAGCTGGAAGGACCCTTGGAGATTATGGGTCTGTAGTGAGGATATCCATGGATTCACAGTGGGGAAGCTGAGGCCAGAGAGGAGAAGGGGTTGGGCCAGGGTTGCACAGGAAGGTAGTGGCAGGGATGCAGGGAGACCCTCAAAGAGAACAGCCAGCTGGTCCCCAACATGCTACCTCCTAGAGGGCAGAATCCTGACTCAGTGTCCTTTGCACCCACTGCAAGCCCACAGTGAGCCCAGCACGTGGTGTGTGGCCAGTCAGTGTTGAGGAATGAGCACAGGTGAGTGAATACCGAGTGTCCACTGAGTGCTCGCTTCACCCCAGCACAGCCTGCCTCTCATTCTCTTTTCCCCTCCCCTGCTCTGGTATGAGGAGGGACAAGGATAAGAAGTAGGTAAAGTTAGGAGTGGCCTCTAGTGCTGCCTGTGGCACTAACGGTGGCAGATAACCAAAGCCCAAGGCCTTAGAGTTCATGTCCTCCAGCAGGTGGGTGGTGGAGGCCAGCCGCCCCAGCCGAGGGTGGGGACCCGGCTCAAGAGCAGGGCAGTGGCTGGGCATGGTGGTTCATGCCTGTAATCTCAGCACTTTGGGAGGCTGAGGCGGGCAGATCACTTGAGGTCAGGAGTTTGAGACCAGCCTGGCCAATATGGCAAAACCCCATCTCTACTAAAAATACAAAAAAAAAAAAAATTAGCCAGGCATGGTGGCAGGCGCCTGTAATCCCAGCTACTTGGGAGGCTGAGGCAGGAGAATCCCTTGAACCCAGGAGGCAGAGATTGCAGTGAGCCAAGATCGTGCCACTGCACTCCAGCCTGGGCGACAGAGTGAGACTCTGTCTCAAAAAAGGCAGCAGCAGGAGGACCCAGCCCATTAGGCAGCCCACTGCCATCAGTAGCATTGGCAAGACCTCTCCAAGCCACTTTCTGTGTTGTAAATCATGAGTTGAGAAACAGTTAAGCCAATTTAGACACACTTTGCATGAATAATATGTTAAAAATAATATGCTTCACAAAATATTTGCATTGAATCAAAAATGAATTTTGTTAGCTTAATTGTTCTTGAATACCCTGTCCGGAAAAAAAGGTATGTTTTGAAAAAAAAGTCTTTAAACCTAGCTCACGTTTGTCAATTGCTTGATATCAAATGCCCCTGTTTATAATGGACCCATATGCATACTCTGCCTGGCATGTGCCAGGAGGTGGCAGTGCTGATGGCCAAACCATGGGACGAGGGCTCAGAGTCAGATCTGGGTCTACACCTGCCTGCCCCATCCCAGTTGTGTGGCCCTGAGCAGGCTGTTCAGCCTCTCTTAGCCTCAGTTTCCTCATCTGCAGCATGTGCATAATAGTATATGGTTGTTAAGAGGTCAATGCATGGAAAACTCATACTGCAGCCAAGCACCCAGAAATGTAAGAATGTGATTCTTAACTCCATGAACATTTTGCATGTCATCATACATGATCTCTTCATAACAATGCTGTAAGCATAAGGAATTCTGTGGGAAGGGGACACACTTTTCCTAGCATGGGAGTGGGGTACAGAGCCCTGAGTCATGAGTCAGCAGTGGGCTCCAGTCCCTGAAACAGGGGCCTTCACTCTTCCTCTCACTGTGGGCTTTGGGCCAGCAGCCAGCTCCACAGCAGAAAATGTGTCTAAGATTGGTAGGAATAGCAAGTGAGCCTCATGTGAGTTTAAATTGCGAGAAAGAAAATTTGAACGTCAAATACCCCAGTTCTCAGCACAAATTAAAATCAAACCCTAGGAAAGGCGGTAATTACCACTGTCACAAAATTCCATGGAAAGTTGCAGCAGCAGTAGAAAGAACAGCTGACACCTGCGACATGGCCCCCTTCTCTCCCCCCATTTGGTTTTACAGCCCATGCTGAGCTCCCTGCCTCCACCCTCATGATCCTCCCCAGCCTATTCCAGAGGCTCAGCTGCAGAGCCACCTGGAGACCCCCAAATGTAGCCCCTACTGGTAGCGTCTGGGGCATGAATGTGCAGGTTGAGCTGATGTTTCTTGAGCATCTACTAAGGGCAGATCTGGTACTGGAGGCTTTAGTGCATTAGTGGTCTTGACCTTGAAATGAAGGCTGGACTCATTAATTCACTCTGTGATGGCATGTTGGGGGCTCTGCAGGATGGTGGGAAGCTGACGCAATCAAGGAACAGAACTCATGCCCTCAGTTGGGAGGCAGGTGCGTAAAGACGATCACAGTACGTGGTGGTGTGGGGACGAGGGGTGCCCACAAAGGCTGTGGGCATACAGAGGCGCTGGCTCTTCCTGGGTGGGCTGTGGCAACCAGGGAAGGTCTCCTGGAAGCGGGTGAAGTAGGATGTGGGACTCGGACACTGGACCAAATTGAGGACTAGCTAAAACAGGGAGGGGGCAAGCAGTTTTCTGTAATATGCAACCGCGGGTGTGCCATGTCAGTTTACTGTTGCCACGGCAACACCCAGATGTTACCACCCTTTTCCATGGCAATGACCCAACGACCTGGAAGTTACCACTCATTTTCCTAAAGCTTTCTGCATAATCCACCCCTTAATTTGCATATAATTAAAAGTGGGTATAAATTTGACTGCAGAACTGCCTCTGCGTGGCTACTCACGGCACAGTGCCTGTGGGGTAGCCCTGCCCTGCAAGGAGCAGTGCCTCTGCTGCTGCTGCATGCTGCTGCACGCTGCCGCTTCCATAGAAATAGCTGTCCTCCAGGTGCGGTGGCTCACACCTGTAATCCCAGCACTTTGGGAGGCTGAGGTGGGTGGATCACCTGAGCTCAGGAGTTCAAGACCAGCCTGCCAATATGGTGAAACCCCGTCTCTATTAAAAATACAAAAACACAAAAATTAGCCAGGCGTGGTGGTGGGCACCTGTAATCCCAGCTACTTGGGAGGCTGAGGCAGGAGAACCATTTGAACCCAGAAGGCAGAGGTTGCAGTGAGCCAAGATTGTGCCACTACACTCCAGCCTGGGCAACAAAGGGAGACTCTGTCTCAACAAAAGAAATTGCTGCCTAACACCACTGCTTGGCCTTGGATTCTTTTCTGGGTAAAGCCAAGAACCCTCCGAGGCTAAGCCCCAGTTTTGAGGCTCATCTGCCCTGTATCAGGAGGAACATGTAATCCTGAGACCCAAAGAATGAGTAGCTCTCACAGTCAGTCTGGCAAAACTTTTCAAGTCTGATAATACCCAGTGCTGGTGGTAGGTGTAGGTGTTGGGCAGGGCGGGGTTATGGGGGAGGCACTATTCGCAGCAGTGGGAATGTAAGTTGGCCCCATTCTCCTGGAAAGTCATTTGGCACTCTGTGGGCACTGAAGACCAGCAGTGTCTCTGCTGGGGACAGCCTTGGTGGCCTCAAGAGTCACACAGATGAGGATGCTCGTTGTCTATTTTAGTCTCTGTGCTTGTCTCTGTGTTCCAAATGATCCATAATTTTTTAAAGTGTCTTTTAAAGAATATGTAGGTGTTCTGACTCTTGATCTGATGGCTGGTTACCCAGGCGTCCTTTTATAATAATTTGTTATACTGTTCTTTTGTTCTATGTGCTTTTCTTTATGGATATGACATTTCACAGTTTTTAAAAATTAGAAAGAATGAGTAGGCGAGACGCTGGGGTCAGGCAGTCTCAGGCAGAGGAAGCAGCCTGAGCAAAGCCCGGGGAGCTGGGCAAAGGCAGGGGTGTGCATGACCCTGGGAATCCTGGCCCAACAACCAGGCACCCTGGCCCAAGGACATGCGGTCCCCTGAGGAACAGCATCTCTGCTCCCACCTCTGGCTAGCCATTGGTGCAGCACCTGCACTGCCGAGGCCAGGCCTAATTTAGTCCCACTTCAGCCTGTGTGAGGCTGGATCAAAAGTGAGCTCTCAGTGAGGGGGAACCAGTAGAGGTGAGATGATGGGTTTAATAAAGTAGTTTAACCACCGCCACTGGGTGTGCTAAGAGGCGGTTGCTGTGGCCAGCAGGTGGAGGTTATAATGAGCCTGGCAGTTGTTGTTGGAGGCGGCAGGCAGTGGCTGTGCTGATGGGAGAATTCGTGGCAGTGGCAGCTTGACAACCTGTCTGGGGAGAGAGGGCGGAGCAGCGGCCACCGGTGGAGGCACGGGGGCAGCTGTGCCCACAGGGGTACTACTGATGGCTCCCCAACCAGCTCCACAGCCTTTTCCGGGGGCTTTTAGAAGGTTGGAGGAGATGGAGTACAGGCAGGGGTGGCAGGAAAGTTGTTTTTTCAGTGGAAGCCAAAGACAAACTTCAAGAGAAGAGGAAAAGTTGTTTGTTAAACTCTCTAGTGGTTTTCTGCATTGGCGATGGGAAGTCAAACCAAAGCACTGGGCTTTTGGCCTCAGCGGGGTGCTGCACCTGCAGGGTACGGAAGGGCACCTGGCATGAGGGAAAATGAGTGATTTATCTAACAAGTTGTCTTATTAGGAAAACATGGTGGCTCACTCCTCTAATCCTAGCACTTTGTGAGTTGTGATATGATTTCCAGGTGGGAGAATCACTTGAGCCCAGGAGTTCGAGATCAGCCTAGGCAACATAGTGAGACTCTATCTCTTAAAAAATTAGCCAGGCATGGTGGTCCACCTGTGGTCCCAGCTGCTTGGGAAGCTGAGGCGGGAGGATCGCTCGAGCCTGGGAGGTCAAGGTTGTAATGAGCTGTGATTGCGCCACTGCACTCTAGCCTGGGTGACAGAGTGAGACCCTCTCAAAAAAAAAAAAAAAAAAAAAAAGGCTGGGTGCGGTGGCTCATGCCTGTAATGCCAGCACTTTGGGAGGCCGAGGCGGGCAGATCACGAGGTCAGGAGTTTGAGACCAGCTTGGCCAACATGGTGAAACCTCATCTCTACTAAAAATACAAAAATTAGCCGGGTGTGGTGGCGCACGCCTGTAGTCCTAGCTACTCAGGAGGCTGAGGCAAGAGAATTGCTTGAACCCGGGAGGCGGAGGTTGCAGTGAGCTGAGCTCGTGCCACTGCACTCCAGCCTGGAATCTGTCTCAGAAGAGAAAAAAAATATCAGAAAACATTCAGACATTTAAAAAAGTATAGTGATTCTGTTCCAGATGAAGAAACAAGTAGAGATAAAATTGCAGCCCCTAGGCTGGGTGAGGTGGCTCACTCCTGTAATCCCAGCAGTTTGGGAGGCCAAGGCAGGTGGATCACCTGAGGTCAGAAATTCGAGACCAGGCTGGTCAATGTGGTGAAAATCTGTCTCTACTAAAAATACAAAAATTAGTTGGGTGTGGTGGCATGTACCTGTAGTCCCAGCTAATCAGGAGGCTGAGGCAGGAGAATTGCTTGAACCCAGGAGGTGGAGGTTGCAGTGAGCCAAGACTGCACCACTGCACTCCAGCCTGGGCCACAGAGCAACACTCCATCTCAAAAAAATAAAAAAGAAAAGAAAAAGAAAAAATAGCTGGGCACGGTGGTGGGCAGGCACCTGTAGTCCCAGCTACCTGGGAGGCTGAGGCAGGAGAATCGCTTGAGCCTGGTAGGCAGAGGTTGCAGTGAGCCAAGATTGCACCACTGCATTCCAGCCTGTGCAACAGAGCAAGACTGCATCTCAAAACAACAAGTAAATGGAATCATGTAATACGTGGTCTTTTGTGGACTGGTCAAGTGCATTTCTTTTAACGATTGAATGGCATTCCATCACATAAATTTACCACAATTTATTTATCCAAATAAATGGTGTGGAATTTTGCTTTCAGTCAAGATGGAGTAAAAAGGGGACTGTATTTTCCCTCCTGCCTGAAAAACTAAAACTCCAGACAAAATGGATGAGACAGCAGTTCTGAAGATGCTGGACATCAGGAACAAAGGACAGTGATCTGAGAGATGGGAAACGAGGGAGCTGAGCCCTGACTGCCCCAGCTCTACTGACTGCAGAGGGTCTCCAGGCTGTGGGACAGGGAGGGGGGATCCAGGTGGAGGCCAGTGGACTCCCAAGTTGAGTAGATGAAGCTGGCAGTCCAGGCAAGCCAAGGTGGCTAGAATTCACAGTGCATCCTACTGGGGACAAGAGAGCGAGAGAGAGAGAAAGAAGGAGAGAAAGAAGCCTGGAACCTGCAGAGACGCCTCCTCAAGTCTTCGCTGAGTACTGATTATTGCATGCATCTGAGGAAACCACCCAAGGCTGGGGAGAAAGCCCTCTAAATGAATTAAAGTGAACAATCCTCAGAACTCACACAGGGTTAGGAACAATGCCAGACTGGAAACTGTATAAATTTAAGGTATCACTGTTCAGAGCACCCAGAGAGGTTTTGCCTCAGTACCAGATAAAAATTAACCCGCAGCCTAGGCAACATAGCAAGACACTGTCTCTACACAAAATACAAAAATTAGCTGGGTGTGGTAGTGCATACCTGTAGTCCCAGCTACTCAGGAGGCTGAGGCAGGAGGATCACTTGATTCCAGGAGCCCAAGGCTGCAGTGAGCTCTGATTGCTACTCTACTCTAGCCTGGGCAACAGAGCAAGACCCTATCTCAAACATGAAAAAAATGTAAAATTAACCCTAGACTAAACACTGTTCTGGTCTTGCCTAACAAAGCTTAGAAGCAAGACCCAAAAGTATTAAACTATTTCCAAGAAATCATTGTAGAACTAAGCCTAAGAATATTTATGAGAACACAAAAAATATCCAGCACCCAATAAGGCAAAATTCACAATGTCTGGCACCCAATCAAAAATTGCCAGGTATTGGCCAGGCACTGGCCAGGCACAGTGGCTCATGCCTATAATCCCAGCACTTCGGAGGGACAAGGCGGGCAGATCACTTGGGGTCAGACATTCAAGACCAACCTGGCCGACATGGTGAAACCCCACCTCTATTAAAAATACAAAAATTAGCCAGGCCTGGTGACACATGCCTGTAGTCCCGGCTACTCAGGAGGCTGAGGCAGGAGAATTTGCTTGAACCAGGGAGGCGGAGGTTGCAATAGGCTGAGATCACACCACTGCACTCCAGCCTGGGTGACAGAATGAGACTCCATCTCAAAAAAAAAAAAAAAAAAAAATTTCCAGGCATTAAAAGAAATAGGAGAAATAGGCTGGGCATGGTGGCTCACACCTGTAATCCCAGCACTTTGGAAGGCCGAGGCGGGCAGATCACAAGGTCAGGAGATCGAGACCATCCTGGCTAACACAGTGAAACCCCATCTCTACTAAAAATATAAAAAATTAGCTGGGCGTGGTGGCGGGCGCTTGTAGTCCCAGCTACTCAGGAGGCTGAGGCAGGAGAATGGTGTGAACCCGGGAGGTGGAGCTTGCAGTGAGCCGAGATCGCACCAGTGCACCCCAGCCCGGGCGACAGAGCAAGACTCTGTCTCAAAAAAAAAAAAAAAAAAAAAAAGAAATAGCAATAAATTAAAACTGACCTAGAAACAACACCAATAATAGAATTAACAGACAAAGGCATTAAAACAATTATAACTATATTCCATATGTCAAAAAGTTGAGACATGGAGGATATAAAAAAGACCCAGATCACACTTGTAGAGATAAAATCTGTGATATCTGAGATAAAAAATATGCTGGATGGGATCTATAGCAGATTAGACATTATAGATGAAAAGATGAGTCAACTTGAGTACATAGTAATAAATACTATCCAAAATGAAATCTAGGAAAAAAGAATATATATATTTTTTTTGACAGAGTGGAGTCTCGCTGTGTCACCCAGGCTGGGGTGCAGCGCCGCGATCTCAGCTCACTGCAACCTCCACCTCCTGGGTTGAAGCAATTCTCCTGCCTCAGCCTCCCATGTAGCTGGGATTACAGGGGTGTGCCCGGCTAATTTTTGTATTTTTTTTTTTTTTTTTTTTTTTAGTAGAGACAGGGTTTCACTATATTGGCCAGGCTGGTCTCAAACTCCTGACTTTGTGATCTATCTGCCTCGGCCTCCCAAAGTGCTGGGATTATAGGCGTGAGCCACCGTGCCCGGCAGGAAAAAAGAATTTTTAAAAATGAACGGAGCCACCAGTGAGTGGTGGTACAATTTCGAGCAATCAAATATATTTGGAATTGGAATCACTGAAGGAGGAAGGGATGGTACAGAAAACTTGAAGAAATAATGGCAGACAATTTTCCTAATTTGATTAAAACTGTAAATCCACAGATTCAAGAAGCTCAATTAGTCCCAAGCACAATAAACACAAGGGAAACTATATCAGAGTATATCCAAATTAAATTGCCATGATAAAGAGAAAATCTTGAGGCCAGGTGCAGTGGCTCATCCCTGTTATCCTAGCACTGTGGGAAGCTAAGGCAGGAGGATCACTTGAGGCCAGGAATTCAACACCAGACTGAACAATATAGGAAAACCCTATTTCTACAAAAAATTAAAAAATTAGCCAAGCACGGAGGCATATGCCTGTAGTTCTAGCTACTCAAGAAACCGAGCCAGGAGGATTAGTTGAGCCCAGGGAGTTGAGGCTGCAGTGAGTTATGGTTGCGCCACTGCACTCCAGCCTGGGTGACAGAGTAAGACCCTGTCTCAAAAAACAACAACAAAAAAAAAAAAACACAAAGGAAAGCTTAAAAGCAGCCAGCACCCAGTAAAAAAAAAAAATCATGCTACATACAGAACAAAAATAAAGATTACAACATTACAATAGGTTTGTCTTTGGAAACAATGCAAGTTGAAGATAACGGAGTAACATCTTTAAAGTACTAATGCAAAAACCAAAACACCTGTCAACACAGAATTCTATAGCTAACAAAAATACCTTTCAGAGGCCAGGCACAGAACCCAGAATTCTATGGCTAACAAAAATATCTTTCAGAAACAAGGATCTCATAAAGGGTTTTTCAGACACCCAAAGCTGAAATCATTCATCTCCAGCATCTGTTAAAAATGTTAAACGAAGTCCCTGGGCAGAGGAAAAGTTATTCCCAATGGAAATAAAGATCTATACAAAGGAACAAAGGAGACCCAAACAGTAACTACATGCATGACTGGTGTATTAATGAAGTAATGAAGCTTCAGCAAAGTCTTATCTGAAATTGCAAAGGCAGGCAAATTTGTTCCAGAGGTCACAAGACTTAACATTCCATTATAAAAGTAAATGTTATTACTGTTACAAGAGTATACGCAAGGCAATAAAACTGATTCTGTATAAATCATGAAATTCAGGAAACCTTCAGCAGTGCATCTGTACATGAAACTTTCTCAACCACAATAATGAAGTTGTCTCGGGTTAATGTATTATCATTTGCAACTCATTTTTCCAGTTACCCACTTTATCGAACAGCCATTCCTGTGGCACCTGCCCCATATAAAACACTGTGCCTGGCTATGGGAAGAAAATAAAGATGAGCCTGTAATCCCAGGACTTTGGGAGGCTGAGGCAGGTGGATCACCTGAGGTCAGGAGTTCAAGACCAGTCTGGCCAATATGGCGAAGCCCTGTCTCTACTAGAAAAAAAAAAAAAAAAAGCCAGGTGTGATGGCATGTGTCTGTAATCCCAGCTACTCAGGAGGCTGAGAAGAATTGCTTGAACCCAGGAGACAGAAGTTGCAGTGAGCCAAGATCATGCCATTGCACTCCAGCCTGGGTGACAGAGCAGGACTATCTCAAAAATAAATAAATAAATAATAAAATAAAGATAACCAGAAAATGAACCAGGCTTTAAGAATTTCACAATCTATAACAAATTGCCATCATAGGAGGGAATAAATACAGAGGAGGGATGGAGATATTTCTCCCAACCAGAGATGTGAAAAAGACCATTACCTAGGTAACCTCCTAAAGCATGAGAATTTAGAAATATTTAGTTAAGAAAGGCTGCAACTTGTTTTTTGGCAACTTCTGATTAAAATAGTAAATTTCTGGTTAAAATATTAAAATGTCTCTTCTGTTTCATCTCCCTGCCTTCTGTCACTCTACTGTCCTTGAAACTGGAGAGAGAGAGAGAGAGGAACAGCAGAGTGGAGGAACAGCCACCACCAATATCTAGATTAACTGTTTCCAGAGGGTTGGTAATAAGATGTGTTGTAACCACCCAGTGGGTTTATTTTGCCCACTGCCCAGATACAGCTAATTTATCGAGACAGGGGAATTGCAATAGAGAAAGAGTTTAACCCTGCTTCTACTAAAAATACAAAAATTAGCCAGGTGTGGTGGCAGGCACCTGTAGTCCCAGCTACTCAGGAGGCTGAGGCAGGAGAATCACTGGAACTTGGGAGGCAGAGGTTGCAGTCAGCTGAGATCACACCATTGCACTCCAGCCTGTGCATCAGAGTGAGACTCCACCTCAAAAAAAAAAAAAAAAAAAAAAGAGTTTAATAGAGCCAGCTAAATGGGAGACAGAGTTTTTTATTATTACTCAAATCAGCCACCCCCAAAATTCAGTGTTTTAAGATAGTTTGGTGGGCAAGAGGCTAGGGAATGTGTGCTGCTGATTGGTTGGGGATGTAATCATAGGGGTGTGGAAAAGCAGTCCTCCTGCACTGAGTCCACTTCTAGGTGGGTACCACTAGAGGAGTTGCTAGTCTGGGTAGGGGCCATCTGGTTGTCAGAAATGCAAAAGCCTGAAAAGAGGCAGGGCATGGTGGCTCACACCTGCAATCCCAGCACTTTGGGAGGCCAAGGCTGGAGGATCACTTGAGGTCAGGAGTTCGAGACCAGGCCAGGCACAGTGGCTCACACCTGTAATCCCAGCACTTTGGGAGGCAAAGGCTGGTGGATCACTTGAGGTCAGGAGTTTGAGACCAGGCCAGGTGCAGTGGCTCACACCTGTAATCCCAGCATTTTTGGAGGCTGAGGCAGGAGGATCACTTGAGGTCAGGAGTTCAAGACCAGCCTGGCCAACATGGTAAAACCCTGTCTCTACTAAAAATACAAAAAAATTAGCTGGGTGTGGTGGCGGGCACCTGTAATCCTAGCTACTCGGCTACTCCACCTCCAAGCTGAGGTGGGAGGATCACTTGAACCCGCGAAACAGAGGTTGTGAGCAGAGATCATGCCACTGCACTCCAGCCTGGGTGACAGAACAAGACTCTGTCTGGAAAAAAAAAAAAAGCCTGAAAAGATATCTCAAAGGGCCAATTTGGGGTTTTACAATGGTGATGTTATGTACAGGAGTAACTGGAGGAAGTTTTAAATCTTGTGGCCTCTAGAATAATGGCTGGTAATCATTTAATTAGTAGGTTGGTGCAAAAGTAATTGCGGTTTTTGCCATTACTTTTAACTGCAAAAACCACAATTATTTTTGTACCAACGTAATACTATTCTTAGCAGAATCCAGGCCCCTTTCATCCTCCTAACTTGGTGGCCTTTCATTAGTTTTACAAAGGTGGTTTAGTTTTGGGAAGGGCGATTATCATTTAAACCACAAACCAAATTTCTCCCAAGGTTAGCGAGTCCCATGCCCAGGAATGACCAAGGGCAGTTTGGAGGTTAAAAGCAAGATGGAGTTGGTTAGATCAAATTTTGCCTTCATGATTTTCTCGCTGATATAATTTCTGCAAAGGCAGTTTCAATGTAGCCTTGGAAATTGAGACTCCGCTTTAGGCTTACATGCAGATTTTTCAGGTTTATGCGAGATGTGAACAGAAAGACACTGTTTTGGTTTGGGAAGTTTAGAAATTGGTGGAAAGTCTGATTAATGTTGTACTTTGGGTACTCTGTAAGTTTATTTTCTTTGTTTGTTTTCTTTTGGTTTAGTAAACCGTTTTTTGAGAATTTCAGCCTGTCTTTTCTATGCTAAAGAAAGCCACAGAAAGGTTTTGTCTTGGACCTAGGACTTGCGACATGTGGAGATTCCCCATTCTGGCCGGGCATGGTGGCTCATGCCTGTAATCCCAGCACTTTGGGAGGCCAAGGCGGTGGATCACTTGAGGTCAGGAGTTTGAGACCAGCCTGGCCAACATGGTGAAACCCTGTCTTCTACTAAAAATACAAAAATTAGCCAGGCATGGTGGCGGGCACCTGTAATTCCAGCTACTCGGGAGGCTGAGGCAGGAGAATCACTTGAACCCAGGAGGCAGAGGTTGCAGTGAGCCAAGATCATACCACTGCACTCCAGTCTGGTCAACACAGTGAGACTCCATCTACAAAAAAAAAAAAAAAAAAAAAAAAAAAAGATTCCCCATTCTGTTCATGAGCCAGGCTTGGGGAATTGCTGGCCTAGAGGACATGAACTAGGGCGTGTTCATTTTTGCGTTCCCCTCAGCACAGGACTTTGGCAATGGAAATTATTCAATATAAAGTTGGAAAAGAAAAAGTTCCTCTTCTGCAAAGGTGAAATTAAAAGTCTCTTCAGTCTTTTCAGACATAGTTAGGGACTAAATTAATGAAGTTAGCTTTGGTTAGCTGAAATTTAACAAATATTTGTTCATTCACTCAACAACCACTTGTTCTATGCAAGTTCATGTATGATTTTATATATATATATATATATATATATATATATATATATATATATGAAAGAATAAAAAATTTTGATTCCAAATAATTTCAAATGAATTTTTTGTGAGGTAAAATGTACAAAATATAAAATTTACCATTTTAAACATTTGTAAGTGTACAATTCAGTGGCATTAAGTATATTTCATGGTGCAACCAATCCTAGCACTTCGGGAGGCTGAGGCAGGAGGATCATTTGAGCCCAGGAGTTCAAGACCAGTCTGGGCAACATGGCAAAAGCTTATCTCTACAAAAAATACAGAAATTAACTGGGCATGGTGACACACACCTATAGTCCCAGCTACTCGGGAGGCTGAGGTGGGAGGATCACTTGAGCTGTGGAGGTCGAAGCTGCAGTGAGCCATGATCACACCACTGCACTCGAGCCTGGATGACAGAACAAGACCTTGGCTCAAAAAGAAAAAAGAAAAAAAGAAAGAAATGGCAATGAGACTGGGCAATGTAATTTATAAAAAAAGAGGTTTAATTGGCTTACAGTTCTGCAGGCTACACAGGAGGCATGGTACCTGGATCTGCTTCTGGGGAGGCCTCAGGAAGCTTACAATCACAGTGGAAGGCAAAGTGGGAGCAGGCACATCACATGGCCAGAGCAGGAGCCAAGAGAGCCTGTGTGGGGTGAGGAGAGGGCCACACACTTTTAAATGACTAGATTTCCTGTGAACTCAGAGTGTGAGCTCACTCATCAACAAGGGGATGGCCCAGGCCATTCATGAGGGATCTGCCTCCATGACCCGAACACCTCCCAACAGGCCCCACCTCCAACACTGGAGATTCCAATTTGACATGAGATTTGGAGGGGGCAAATATCCAAACTCTATCAACTACCATTCATCCTCCAGAACTTTTCATATTCCCAAACTGAAACTGTATTAGATAATAATTCTCTATTCTCCCCTCCCCATGACCTTGGCAACCAACATTCTACTTTCTGTCTCTATGATTTGACTATTCTAGGTACTTCAGATAAGTGAAATCACAGAGTATATGTCTTTCGTGGCTGGCTTATTTCACTTAGTGCAATGTCTTTGAGGCTTATCTTTGTAATATGTGCCAGAATTTCTTCCCTCTTTAAGGCTGAATAATATCCCCTTGTGTGTATGTACCACGTTTTGTTTACCCGTTGATGGACTCCTGGATTGCTTTCACCTTTTGGTTATTGTGAATGATGCTGCTGTGGACCTATTTAAGTTCCTGCTTTCAGTTCATTTGGGTATATTCCTAGCAGTGGAATTGCTAGGTCATATGGTAATTCTATATTTAACTTTTTGAGGAACTGCAACACGGTTTTCCACAGCGGGTGCAGCCTTTTTCATTTATATTTTACATTTCTTCAATGTACACAGGTTCCAGTTTCTCCACATCCTCGCTAACACTTGTTACTTTCCGTTGTTTTTTTAAAAAATTAGAGCCATCCTGCCGGGCATGGTGGCTCATTCCTATAATCTCAGAACTTTGGGAGGCTGAGGCAGGTGGATTGCTTGAGCTCAGGAGTTCAAGACCAGCCTGGGCAACATGGTGAAAGCCCGTCTCTACAAAAAATACAAAAATTAGCTGGGCACAGTGGCCTGTGCCGGTAGTCTCAGCTACCTGGGGAGGCTGAGGCAGGAGAATCACTTGAACCCTGGAGGCACAGGTTGCAGTGAGCTGAGATCGCTCCACTGCACTCCAGCCTGGGTGACAGGAGTGAAACCCTGTCGCAAAATAAATAAATAAATAAAATTAAAGCCATCCTAGTGAGTGTGAAGTAGTATCTTATGGTTTTGATTTGCATTTCCCTAATGACTAGTGATGTTGAACATCTCTTCATGTGCTTACTGGCCATCAGATGAATTCAAACGAACTGTTAAGTGGAAGACTCTGTTTATGTTGATTTAAATTGGCAAGTCAAACAGTCTGAATGAATGAGATAAATGTAATACAGATTGAGTATCCCTTATCCAAAACACTTGGGACCAGAAATGTCTTGGATTTAGAATCTTTCTGGACTTTGGAATATTTGCATTATATTTACTGGTTTAGCAGCCCTCATCTGAAAATCTCTAATCTTAAATGTTCCAGTGACATTTTCCTTTGAGCATCATGTCTGCACTCAAAAAACTTTGAAATTTGTGGGGTTTTTTTTGTTTGTTTTGAGACAAAGTCTCGCTCTGTCACCCAGGCTAGAGTGCAATGGCATGATCCCGGCTCACTGCAACCTCCGTCTCCCAGGTTCAAGTAGTTCTCCCGCCTCAGCAATGGCCTCCCGGGTTCAAGCGATTTTCCTGCCTCAGCCTCCTGAGTAGCTGGGATTATGGGTGCGAGCCACCATGCCTGGTGTGGTGGAAATGGAAGTGTGCTATTGTAAGGATCTTATACTATGCATGATGTGGTAGTAACATCACTTGAAGGTAGACTGACAAAGTAAAGATGTATGCTATAAACTCTGAGGCAGCCACAAAAATAACACAGCAAAGTGTTGTGACTAATAAGCCAACAAAGGAGTAAAAAGAATCACAAAAATACTCAATTCAAAAGAAAGCAAAAAAAAAAAAAAAAAAAGAGGAAAGGGGAACAAAAAATCAGATGGGACAAATAGAACCCAAATAGCAAGATGGTAGATTTAAACCCAACAATACCAATAATCACAGTAAAGGTAATTGGTCAAAACACCCAGTTAAAAGGAAGAGACAATTAGACTGCATTTAAAAAGCAAGACCCAACTCTATGCTGACTGTAAGAAATCAGCATTAAATATAAAGCTGGGCACAATGGCTTGTGCCTATAATCTCAGCATTTTGGGAGACTGAGTGGGGAAGATCCCCTGAGACCAGAAGTTTGATACCAGCCTGGGCAACACAGTGAGATCTTGTCTCTAAAAATAAAAAGTAAAGGCCGGGCTCAGTGGCTCACGCCTGTAATCCCAGCACTTTGGGAGGCTGAGGTGGGCGGATCACAAGGTCAGGAGATCGAGACCATCCTGGCTAACACGGTGAAACCCCATCTCTACTAAAAATACAAAAAAATTAGCCGGGTGTGGTGGCGGGCGCCTGTAGTCCCAGCTACTCAGGAGTTTGAGGCAGGAGAATGGTGTGAACCCAGGAGGCAGAGCTTGCAGTGAGCTGAGATCGTGCCACTGCACTCCAGCCTGGGCAACAGAGCGAGACTCCATCTCAAAAAAAAAAAAAAAGAAAAAGAAAAAGTAAAGGGGCTGGGTGCGGTGGCTCATGCCTATAATCCCAGCACTTTGGGAGGCTGAGGTGGGTAGATCACCTGAGGTTGGGAGTTCGAGACCAGCCTGGGCAACATGGAGAAATTCCATCTCTACTAAAAATACAAAAATTAGCTGGCCATGGTGGTGCATGCCTGTAATCCCAGCTACTTGGGAGGCTGAGGCAGGGGAATCGCTTGAACCTGGGAGGGCGGAGGTTGCGGTGAGCTGAGATCACTCCATTGCACTCCAGCCTGGGCAACAAGAGCAAAACTCCATCTCAAAAAAAAAAAAAAAAAAAAAAATAGCCAGGCATGGTGGCATTAGGCTGTAGTCCCAGCTATTCAGGAGGCTGAGGTGGGAGGATCGCTTGAACCCAGAAGGCGGAGGTTGCAGTGAGCCAGTATCACACCACTGCACTCCTGCCCAGTGACAGAGCCAGATCCTGTCTCAAAAATAAATAAATAAATAAAAATAAATGAAAAATAAATGAAATAAATAAAAAATACTAGGCATGGTGGCATGTGCCTGTAGTCCCAGCTACTGAGGAGGCTGAGGCAGGGGGATCACTTGAGCCCCAGCGTTCAAGGCTGCAACGAGCCATGATTGTGCCACTGCACTCCAGCCTGAGCAAGAGTGAGACCCCATCACTTTTTTAAAGAAATAAAATATACATACAAATAGTGTGAAGCTAAAGGAACAGAAAATTATGCACCATGCTAACACTAATCTAAAAAAACTGAAGTGGCTATACTAATATCAGATAAAGTAGATTTCAGGACAGAGAATGTTACCAGGGATAAAGAGGGTCATTTCAAAATAATATGTCAATTCATCAAGAGAACATAACAAATAACAATTCTAAAAACCCAATAATCCTAATAATCTAGCAATTCAGCTGCTCTGCCTACGGAGTAGCCATTCTTTATTCCTGTACTTTCTTTTTTTTTTTTTTTTTTTGAGACAGAGTCTTGCTCTGTTGTCCAGGCTGGAGTGCAATGGCACGATCTCAGCTCACTGTAACCTCCGCCTCCCGGGTTCAAGCGATTTTCCTGCCTCAGCCTCCTGAGTAGCTGGGATTATGAGTGCAAGCCACCACGCCTGGCTAATTTTTGTATTTTTAGTAGAGATGAGGTTTCACCATGTTGGTCAGGCTGGTCTTGAACTCCTGACCCTCGTGATCTGCCTGCCTCAGCCTGCCAAAGTGCTGGCATTACAGGCGTGAGCCACCGCGCCCAGCCTCCTTTACTTGCTTAATAAACTTGCTTTCACTTAAAAAAAAAAAATCTAGCAATCCTAAAACCTAATAACAGCTTCAAAATACTTGAAGCTAAAATGAATAGAACTACAAGAAGAAATAGACAAATTCACAATTAACTTTGAAAATTTCAGCACCCCTCTCTCAATAATTAATAAAACAGGTAGACAGAAATCAATAAGGATAGAGAAGATTTGAACAACACTATCACTGAGTTGACTCAATAACAGCAGAATCCACGTTCTTTTCAAGTACACATACTCTGGGTCACAAAACAATTCTCAATACATTTAAATGAATTCAAGACACACAAAGTATGTTTTCTAACCACAATGGAATTGAATTAGTAGTCAGTATAGAAAGATCTCTGGAAAGTCCCCAAATATTTGAAAACTAAACAATATACTTCTAAATAATCCTTGGATCAAAGAGGAAATCAAATAGGAGATTAGAAAGCATTTTGAAAAGAATGAAAATACGACATTTCAGAATTTGTGGGATGCTCAGTACAGATTAGATGAAATGAACAAATTCCTTGAAAGATACAAACTTCAAAAACTCACTCAAGAAACATAATCTAAGCTGGGCGCAGTGGCTCACACCTGTAATCCCAGCACTTTGGGAGGCTGAGTCAGGTGGATCACCTGAGGTCAGAAGTTTGAGACCAGCCTGGCCAACATGAGGAAACCCTGTCTCTACTAAAAATAAAAAAATTAGCCAGGCATGGTGGTGCGCACCTATAATCCCATCACTTTGGAAGACCAAGGAGGGCAGATTACTTGAAGTCAGGAGTTCGAGACCAGCCTGGCCAACGTAGTGAAACCCCGTCTCTACTAAAAATAAATTAGCCGGGCATGGTGGCACGCACCTATTGTCCCAGCTACTCAGGAGGCTGAGGGAGGAGAATTGATTGAACCTGGGAGGCAGAGGCTGCAGTGAGCCAAGATTGTGCCACCGCACTCCAGCTGGGCAACAGAGCAAGACTCTGTCTCAAAAAAAAAAAAAAAAAAAAAAAAAAAAGCCTGAGACTGGGTAATTTATAAAGGAAAGAGGTTCAATTGACTTGCAGTTCTGCATGGCTATGGGAGCCTCATGAAACTTACAATCATGGCAGAAGGGGAAGGGGAAGCAGGCACCTTCTTCACAAGGCAGCAGGAGAGAGTGAGTGTGAGAACAAGGAAGTGCCACACTTTAAAACCATCGGCTCTCTGAGAACTCACTCACTATCATGAGAACAGCATGGGGGAAACTGCCCCTATGATCCAATTACCTCCCACCTGGTGCTTCCTCTGATACGTGGGGATTACAACTTGAAATGAGATTTGGCTACACAGAGCCAAACCGTATCAGCCCATGTCTGTGAAAGGAATTGGATTTGAAGTTAAAAGCCTTCCCACAAAGGAAACTCCAGACCTAGATGGCTTCACTGGAGAATTCTATTGAACATTTAAGGGAGGAATAATACCAAATCTATGAATAAGTGATGCAAAATATTATTTTTATAGTAAAACTGGATGTTATAGAGCAGAGTGCAAAATCTGCAGGAATTTTAAGTTTACCCTTAAAATCCTCGGAGGATTCCTTGGAGATATCTTGAGCCTGGGACAGGCAGCTTTGGGCTCTTACCAGATGCCTGGGGACTCTGTTTCTTCTCTCTCTTGGGGACACCAGGACAAAAGAGGGCAGGACATACTTGGGATCTCTCAGTGGTTGGTGAGGAAGCTGGGACTGGCCCTCGGGGTGGCTAACCAGGCAGCCCTGGCTCAAGTCTCTGCCTGTCCATCACCCCTATCCCAAATGTGTGTTTAGTACCTTGAGATCTGGCTTGAGTATTATTTGAGCTATAAAGTGTGCAATCTTCTGTAAGGTAGGGACTGTGACAATATCCTGCCTTTTTTTTTTGAGACAGGATCTCACTCTGTTGCCCAGGCTGGAGTGCAGTGGCTCAATCATGGCTCATTGCAGCCTTGACCTCCCAACCTCAAGCTCTCCTCCTGAGTAGCTGGGACCACAGGTGTGCGTCACCACATCCAGCTAATTTTTGTATTTTTTGTAGAAACAGGTCACCCAGGCTGATCTTGAACTCCCAGGCTCAAGCGATCCTCCCACCTTAGCCTCCCAAAGTATTGGTATTGCAGACATGAGCCACAGTGCCCTGCCAACAATATCTTGTCTTATCAGTGAGGAAGCAGAGGCCCTTCTGATGGGTGGGAGATTTGCCTGAGGCCACCCGGGGTTGGAATCTGATTCCCTGTGACTGACCAGGTTCTAGTCCCCTGGCATTCAAGGCTCCGTCTCCCACACTCATTTCATTGTCCCCTACACCTGCCTTCTAGTCAAACTAGATGTTTGCTGTTACCCAAATAGGACTCCTCCTGGAATGGGTACCCCAACTCCAACCCCAGCCCCCCACAGCTCACTCTCAGACCCCCAGTCCACACCTGAAGCCTCGGCTTGGATGCCCTCTCCTCCCAGGAGCCTTTCCTGACCCCCCTTCCCACCATACCATCCAGCCCTCTCTTTCCCATCTTGGGTCACCATTCTTCCTATTGCCAAACCAACTTTTGTTTTCCTCAGTCCTAAGCATTCGGGCACCAACTCAGACTGGGGGGTGGTGGGTAGGCAGAAGAGGAAGTGAGAGAGACCATTGAGGAACTAAGAGGAGCTGGGCCAGAGCTGGGGTCTGGGAAGTGAGGAGGAGAAGATTTGAGATGAGGCTGGAAAGGGTCAGAAAAGGCTTCATCCACTGGCAGCCATGTGTGAGTGGGGATGTGTGAGCAGAAGAGCCATTGTGTCAGGTTCTAGAAGTTTCTGTGGGGCTGCTGTGTAGAGAATGAGCAGGGAGAGCAGGGAGATCAAGAGGCAACTGGGAGGCCATTGACTGCTCCCTCTCAGGAGAGATGATGGAGGTCTGGACCAGGATGAGGGCAGAAGGTGGCACGTTTGGGATCATTTAGGAAGTAAAACCACCAAAGGCTGGTTAACAGATATGAAAGTACAGCTAGGTCAGAGGAATAAGTCCTAGTGTTACATAGCACCGTAGGCTGACCATAATTAACAATTTATTGTTATTGAATTATATTTTAAAATAGCGAGAAGAATGGATTTTTTTTTTTTTTTTGAGATGAAGTCTCGCTCTGTTGCCCAGGCTGGAGTGCAGTGGCACGATCTTGGCTCACTGCAATCTCCACCTCCCTGGTTCAAGTGATTCTCTTGCCTCAGCCTCCTGAGTAGCTGGGATTACAGGTGCGAGCCACCATGCCTGGCTAATTTTTTTTATATTTTTAGTAGAGACAGGGTTTCACCATGTTGGTCAGGCTGGTCTTGAACTCCTGACCTCATGATCCGCCCGCCTCGGCCTCCCAAAGTGCTGGGATTACAGGCGTGAGCCATTGTACCCAGCCAAAGAGTGGATTTTGAATCTTTCTGACACAAAGAAATGATAAGTGTTTGAAGTGATGGATATGTTAATTACCTTGATCACTAAACATTGTATACATGTATTAAAATATCACACTGTAACCCATAAATATATACAGTTATTATGTGTCAATAAAAAATAAAAGCAGGCGGGGCGCGGTGGCTCACGCTTGTAATCCCGGCACTTTGGGAGGCCGAGGCGGGCGGATCACGAGGTCAGGAGATCGAGACCACGGTGAAACCCCGTCTCTACTAAAAATTCAAAAAAAAAATTAGCCAGGCGTGGTGGTGGGCGCCTGTAGTCCCAGCTATTCGGAGAGGCTGAGGCAGGAGAATGGCGTGAACCCGGGAGGCGGAGCTTGCAGTGAGCCGAGATCGCGCCACTGCACTCCAGCCTGGGTGACAGAGCGAGACTCCGTCTCAAAAATAAATAAAAGCAAACTGGGTGCGGTGGCGCACGTTTGTAGTCTCAGCTACTGGAAAGGCTGAGGTGGGAGGATTGCTTGAGCCCAGGAGTTCGAGTTTAGCCTTTTAAAAAGTAAAATTTAACTAGCCTGGGCAATATGGTGAAACTCCATCTGTACAAAAAACACAAAAATTAGCTAGGTTTGATGGCATGTACCTGTAGTTCCAGCTACTCAGGAGGCTGAGGTGGGAGAATCACCAGAGCCCAGGAGGTCGAGGCTGCAGTGAGATCATGCCACTGCACTCCAGCCCAGGCAACAGAGTGAGACACTATCTCAAAAAATAAAATTAAATAAAATTTAGAAAAAATAAAATAAGGAAAAAGTAAAATCAATGAACTCCGGTGTCATTGGAAGAGAGCCCTGCCTAGTCTCACAGGGAGTGAGCCTGACATCTTTGTCCCAGCATGTACCTTGCAGTTTCAGTTGTGTGTGACAACGACCAGGAGGCACTGCTGCAGCCAGGATCTCTGGTCCATGAGTCCATCCCTCCCCAGCCCTACAGGTGGCGCTGCAGGCTCCTCTTCCATGCAGGCCACTACCGCCTGCAAAGCAATGCAACGTGGGCCTGTGAGGATGAATGGACAGGCAATTGCTGAGATCTATGTTGCAGAGATCAGCTCAAATGAAATTCCTGGTGGGGTGGAAATGTCAAAGCCCTTTACCCCCCACCCCTGGGGAACCTGGGCTCAAGCATGTGCAGAGGTCTCTGCTTGTCTCCAATTAAACTCTTAAAGGGATAAAGCGCCTTATCCAGTTCGGGGATTTCTCAGTCTTTTAGACATACAGGAGTGGAGATGGAAACTTCCAGAATTTAAAGTGTGGTGTATGGATGGGAAGTTTTTGTTAAAACTCTGGTCAGTAGGCCGGACGCAGCAGCTCACACCTGTAATCCGAGCACTTTGGGAGGCCAAGACTGGTGGATTGCTTGAGCTCACGAGTTCGAGACCAGCCTGAGCAACATGGGGAGACCCTGTGTATACAAAGAATACAAAAATTAGCTGGGTGTGGTGGTGCACACCTGTAGACCGAGCTTACTCGGGGTGACCCTGTGTATACAAAGAATACAAAAATTAGCTGGGTGTGGTGGTGCACACCTGTAGACCCAGCTTACTCAGGGCTGAGGTGGGAGGTTCACTTGAGCCCTGGAGCCGAGGCTGCAGTGAGCCAAGATCACACCACAGCACTCCAGCCTGAGCCACAAAGTGAGACCCTGTCTCAAACAAACAAACAAAACAAAAACTCTCTGGTTGGTTGTCCCTTCCTCCTGTGAAAACATGTGAAAAACATACGTATAGAATGTTCAGATCTGAAATCACTAAAAACATAAAAACATACCATGTACAACTTGCTGTACTAATTAAGACTACCTGAGGTACTTTGATGAAGACTTGAGGCAGAAACCCACATTTGCCAGTGTTGGAAACTTTGTTGTTGTTGGGAGGTGAGACCCAGATCAAGGAGGGGGATTGGGGTTTTCTCCTGCCCTGGACCTGGACGTGTGTGGAGGGGTGCTCAGTGGCCTGCTGATGGGTTTCTGCTTTTTTTTTTTTTTTTTTTTTTTGAGACAGAGTCTCGCTCTGTCGCCCAGGCTGGAGTGCAGTGATGCCATCTTGGTTCACTGCAACCTCCACCTCCCAGGTTCAAGTGATTCTTGTGCCTCAGCCTCCTGAGTAGCTGGGATTACAGGTGCACACCACCATGCCTGGCTAATTTTTATATGTTTAGTAGAGACGTGGTTTCACCATGTTGGTCAGGCTGGTCTCAAACTCCTGACCTCAGGTGATCCACCTGCCTCGGCCTCCTAAAGTGTTGGGATTACGGGTGTGAGCTACTACACCCGGCCTCTGCTCCCTTTTTAAAGAACCCTCCTTCTTTCTAGCTTTTATTTATTTTTTGAGACAGGATCTTGCTCTGTTGCCCTGGCTGGAGTGCAGAGGTGTGCTCACAGCTCCCTGCAACCTCCATTTCCCAGGCTCAAGTGATCCTCCTACCTCAGCCTCCTGAGTAGCTGAGACCACAGGTGCATGCTGCTGCCTAGCTAATTTTCGTATTTTGTGTAGAGATGGGGTTTCTCCATGATGTCAGGCTGGTCTTGAACTCCTGGGCAAAAGTGATCCTCCTGCCTTGGCCTCCAAAGTGCTGGGATTACAGACATGAGCCACTGCACCCAGCCCCCTCTTCTCATTTAAATCTCAAGATAGTTTCATTTTTCTCTTATACTTCAAGTTCCGACATCCAGAATAGTGTGCCCCTGGGAGAGAAGTGAACTGTGAACTTGGCAGATTTGAGGGCTGCTATGGACTGAGCTGTGGCCCCCAACCAAACCCAAATTCATAATTTGAAGCTCTAACCCCTAATGTGACTGTATTTGGAGACAGGTTCTGTAAAAAGTTAACTAAGGTTAAACGAGGTCCTAAGGGTGAAGCCCTGATCTGATGGGATTAGTGTCCTTATACTATAAGACGCACCAGAGAGGGCTCGATCTTCCTGCCCCCAGCACACACAGAGGCAAGGCCACCTGCAAGCCCAGAAGAGAGCCTTGCTGGAAACTGAAGGGGCAACATCTTGATTTTGGACTTCCCAGCCTCTAGCACAGTGAGAAGCACACTTCTGTTACTTGAGCAACCCAGCCTATGGTACTGTCTCATGGCAGCTTGAGCTGACTGGGGCTTCGGCAGCTTTCAGGCCCAGGCTGTGGGGCAGCGGCAGGACCCCGGACCCTAGGGCAGCCCTTTCCTGTCTTGCCAGCTGAACCAGGAACAAAGGGCTCATTCTTCCCAAGGTTGTGCCTGACCTAGAATAAACCACCAAAACCAGCGTGAATACAGGCCCTGGGTGTCCAACCTGGGTTGCCAGCACCCCCTGGGCCCAACTCAGAAACTTTCCTCATCTTGCCCTTAGGGCCATGTCTGGGCAACCCCCCTTCTCTGGAGTGAAGACTGGGGTAGGAGACGTAGCTTTGGGTCCTCCCTGAGCAGGGGAAGGAGCCTGTAGTCAGCAACATTATGTTCTGCTGTGCTGTTCCTTTCCCCATTTTCTGTGTGTTGGTGTTTTCATGATTCATACTGCAGATCCGTGTGTCCGTAAAACCCAATCCCTGAGCGTCGGTTTCTGGAATCCCACCCAGCGCAGTGGCCAACAGCCTTCACCCTCCTCTCCCCTCTTCCTCCTCCCAAAGAGGACCAGCGAGGACACATGGGCCCCAGGTCCTGCAGGCAGAGCCTCGCCCTTGAGGTGGGAAAGCAGGACAAGCTGTTTGAAGTGGTTTTTTCCCTTCATGGCAGGACCCAGATCCTGCCCTACACACACCCATCTTGGGAGGGGACCTTTGGTGGGAGCAAGGGGACAGCTGTGATCCCAGCTCTGCAGCAAGAGGCATCTGTGTGGCCCTCAGCAGAGGACTGATAGAGGGTTCCTTTTGGGGATGATGGAAATATTTTGGAATTGACTGTGGCGTTGTTGCACAACTTGGTGAATATATTAAAACCCACTGAATAATATACTTCAAATAGGTGAATTGTGTGCTATGTGAATTATATCACAGTGAAGCTGATAACCAACAGGTCAGGGCTGTGTCAAGGACAGTTATGATCAAGTTGAACAGCTGTGTGCTGGGCCACCACCCCTGAGAGCCAGGCCCCGACTGCCCAGCATGGGCTGCTACGGGCAGAAGTCTGTGCTTCCTAAATGTCTGTAGTCACACAACGCACAGTGACAAAGGCGCCCCCCAGCCAGGTGGCCCTGCCTGTGAACGGTTAGGAATTCCAACTTCTTCTGAGCCCGTATCTGCCTAGCAGTGTTCTAAAGGCATTAACACTTCTCTTATTTCATTCTCACAACAGCCTTGTGAGGCCGTCATGATTCCCACTGAACAAATGAGGAAACTGAGGCTTGGGGAGAGGACTGCCCCATGTACTGAGCAGAGGGTGGTGGGGGTGGTTTTGGTCTGGGGAGTTTGCCCCCAGCCCTGCCCGCCCCTATCAGGCTCAGCTGCCACAGCCTTTGCCCAAGTGGGTAGGGACGTGAGGGGTCACCAGCACGCCCTCCTTGCAGCTGCATCCCGGCTCCTGGCTGTGTGGATTGTAGCCTCAGCATCCCCTTTACCAGCAGGGGTGGGAGGGGCTTTCCCTGGTGCCAGGAAAGTTTGTCCTAGGCTGCTGGGGGGCCATGCTGCCCTCCTGCTCAGCTGTCTATGCCATGAGGCACCGCCAGGCCTTGCTAGCTGACAGGTCAGGCCACACCAGCCTCCAGTCAGGCCTCAGGCACTGTCTTGGCTTCCCGTATTTCCTGAGCAGGGGCTGAGGGAGAAATGACAAGTTCGTCAGGCTCCCATGAGGACCCAGTGATGGCCTCCAGCACACTCCGCACCAAGCACGCCCTACACTAAGCACATTATACTCTAAGTCTTCTCGCCAAAAAGGAGGCAGAGTTTTTCAGCTCTGGGATTCCTGAATGTCCCAGCTTCCTGTAGCCTTGATGTCCCCGGACTGGGTCTGGGTGACTGGGTCAGGGTTCTTGACTCTCCTCCCTCATCCTGCCCAGGCCCCGGCGCCTGCTGCCCAGGCTCTCGTCTTCTTCTTCACAAGCTGTGTGGGCCTGGGAGAGGCCAGGCAGGCTGGAGGTGAGGGCAGCTGCCCCTCCTGTCCCTCTACTTTGGGTTAGCCAGGCCTCCCAGGTCCTTGGGGCATGGCTAGCCAGTGTAGATGGGCTCACCAGGCTGCTGGCTGGGCCTGTGCCTATGGCTCAGGTGTCCTTGTCCCAGTATTTGCCTCTAGATTCTCTGCAGGGGCCTGTGGGCTCTGGAGACGCACAGGACCTGAGCCCCAGGCTGTTCCCATCATCCTATGGGACCAGGGCCCTCCTGGGAGCCTACTGCATGATTCCTCTTTTGAGGGCCCTAGGGGCAGTAGGGTACAGAAGGTGGGATCTCTAGACTCACAGAGACCCAGGTTCCAATCCCAGGTCTGCCCTCAACACACTGGTGAACAGGCATCAGCCCAGGGCACCCCCCTGGGACCAAACCACATCACCCCATGCCTGGTCCCTCTGGAATTGGTGTTGAGGCAAACACAGGCACAGCCTCTGGCACTGCTAGACCTGGCTGGGTAGCTAAGTGGGGGGCAATTGCCTGACCTTGGCTTTGACAGGTTTATTCTCTCCAGACGGTCAGGAGGACAGGTGGACGTGTCCACAAATGTGTCTCATCCTCGCAACAGCTCTGAGGATTTCCTGGGGACTCCACCAGTGGCCGGGGCACCCAGCCCTCCTCCCCCAGCACTAGTTTGTTCTTGGCCAGTATAAGGTTTTGCACAGTTGACCTTATAAGCAGGGCTGACCCCAGCTGAGCCCGAGCAGCAGGGGGAGAAATCCACTGTGGTCAGCAGTGTGAGGGCAGTCACCTAGGAACAGCAGAGCAGGTCGGGGCTGGAGCTTGGGACTGCAGAATTCTGTGTGACATCAGAAGCTCCTGGGCCAGTTGTCACATGGAGTCCCAGGCCCCATTGGCAAGACCCAGAAATCTGCATTTTAACAAGTTGAGGGGGACAGTTCCACACTTGGGATTGAGGACCTCTCATGCCATCCTGAGGGTCCCTTTTCCCCCAGGACGAAGGCTGCCCTGTCTCTGCTTCTCTGAGATGCCTAGTTAAAAGGATATGACAAGGACGAGGGACAACAAGCAAGTGAACCTCCCTATCCCAGGAGACCTGACTGCAAGGCTGTGGGGACTTGGGGGAGGTGGGGCGGCCCTGAGAGTGCCTGGTCAGCTTCCAGACTGAGGCAGTTCCCCAGCCCGCTCAGGGCCAGGTGGACTGAGGTCACAATGAGGGATGTAGGTCTCAGCCTCTCAGCTAGAAGGCAGGTTGCAGTCAAATGTCACCTGGTGATGAATGGGAGGCAGCGATAGTTCTGGAGGTTGAGGGCAGTTGCAGGTGATTCCAAGGGGACTTGGGACACCCAGGTCCTGGCCCAGGACCAAGGACACCAGCCTCCCTAGCGCACCCTCCACGCTTCTTCCCCAGAACCTGCACTGGCTGCAAACACATCAAAAAAGAAAACATTTCAGGGCCAATTCATTTTTCTCAAAACATATATTTACCCCTCCTCTCAGTACATCTTTGAGCACCTTTCCCAGAATCTCAGGAATGTATAGACCCCCGCCCCACACTTCATACCCGCCCTAGGCCTTGGTGATGAGGCCCCTCACAGCTTGTGCAATGGCATCCCTGTCGATACCAAACATCTTCAGCAGCTCAGCCGGCTTCCCACTTCTTGGTACCCGGTTAACTGCCAGGTGGGTGACAGTGATGCCAGGCTCGCCCACTACTGCACTGGACACAGCCTCACCAATGCCACCTAGAAATGAAAGGAGGGGAGTCAGAAGACGAGGCCTCAGGGTGAGCAGTGGTGGGCCCAGCCCTCTGTCAGCCTTAGTCAAGGATGGAGGAGGCTGCATATGCACTGCCTTTCTCCACCTGTAGCCATGAGCCCATCACATAACTCATTGATTTTTTTTATTTTAAAGAGACAGACAGGTATCACCATGTTGCCCAGGCTGGTCTCCCAACTCCTGAGCTCAAGAAATCCGCTGTCCTCAGCCTCCCAAAGTGCTGGGATTGCAGGTGTGAGCCACCATGCACGGCCCAGAACTATTTTTATAAGCCCAAATATGGCCTCTAAATGTTTGTTTCAAACACCATTGTTGGTGACCAGCCAGCCACTGTCCATAGTCCAATTATCTACATTTGACCCCAGAGTCAAAGCCCATCTCTCCCACTGGGGCCTCCTACTTAGAGAGGCTGGTGTGTACTTAGGGAGCCTGCTGTGTGAAGGACTCACAAATACCAGAAATTCTGCATTGCTTCCCAAGCTGCACCATAGCTTCCACCCTACACTACCTCAGGGACGCCACCATCCACCATTTAGCAGCGAGGTTGGAATCCTCACCAGCTTCCTGGGCAGCAGGAGCTCCACAGAGCTCATCAGCAGCTGTGAGTTAGCTAGGTCCCCAGGCCAAGCCTGAGGCCTTTTAAGAGACCACGTCCCAGCTGCTCTGAGGGACAGCTCTGGGTGTTCTGGGCCACAGCTGCCCTCCTGGGGCTCAGATAGAAGAGGCACGTCCAACGCTCGGCTCTCTGGCCCTGTCCCTTGCCCAGCCTGCCTGCCCCAGGCCTCCTTACCTTCATAATAATGGTCCTCCACGGTGAGGATCCTGCCCTTGGTGGCACGAGCGCTGTCGAGAATGAGTTTTCTGTCCAGGGGCTTGATGGTGAAGGGGTCCAGCACGCGGATGTTGATCTTTTCTGTGAGGGAGAGCACACGGCGTGGCTGAGGGGAGGGCTGGGCACCACTATCTGCCCTGGTGGGGGCCTGGTGGGACATCCTGAGGGCTGCGTGTAGCTAAGAGCTCAGCCTGCGGGCCTGTCCCTGTCCCAGGGAGAACCACTTGCCACCTCGTTCCCATGGCTGAGCTCATGCTTGCCAACCCCTTGCACTGGGGCATCTGGTCCAGCTGTGTTGCCCGCAGTATCCAAGAACCCAGAGCGGAGCGTGCAGGCCCTGAGCGCCTTCCCTCATCCTCCCACAACCTTGAAGACAAAGGGAATGCGAGAGAAAACACCCCAGGTGTCTGGCCTGATGGAAGGTGAGGCTTGATGTGGTGACGTTGGGGAGCTGCAGCCCGCAGAGTGATCAGAGGCCCACGTGCGGCCCCAGCAGCAGAGGCACCTTCTCAGAAGGACAAACCCACGCTTGCCAGGCCCTGCTTAAAGCTCACCCCCCTGGGTCTCCCCCTGCCTGGGGATGGACTCCTCTGGCTCCTCCAGCCCCATCTTGCTCCTGCCTGACCCTCCTCCGGCCTCCCTTCACTCTCCTCTCTGCTAATCAATTCCTACCCACTCTGAAGCCACTTTCTGGAAGATGCCACACCTGCCCCCTCTTTCGTGCTAAAACATGACATCTGCTGTGTGATTCTATTGCAGGAGAGGCCAATGCCTGTCTCCCCTACAAACCACTAGCCAACACTGTGAGCTCGCAGTAATAATAATAGAATACCAAGTCACATGCATGTAACCCTCAGGAGAGCTCTGAGGGCAAGGGGCTAGTATCTCCATTTTACAGATAGGAAAACAGGCATGGTGACAGTGAATAACTTACTTCCTTAACTAGTGCCTGGCTGAGTGATTCCAGCCCAGCTGGCAGGCTCCAGGCCACTGATCTGGCCACCATGCTGGGGGGGTCTCGACTTTAGAGTCATAGGGTAGGGACTGTGGGCACTGCAGCCCCAGGACTTAGCAACATGCCAGACAGAACAAGTGCTCAAAGGATGGCTATAATTGCTATCATTATTTAATGAAATGAAATGCTTTCTCTCTAGCTGTGAGCTCTTCAAGAAAGAACAGAAAGAACGAAAGAAAGAACCCCAAGACCTAGCATGCAGTGGCCGCTCAGTTGATGACTTTGGAGGCCCCTTCTCCTCACCTTTCTTCAGCAGTTCGGCAGCGGCCAAGGCCTCGTGCAGGGTCACCCCAGCCCCGATAACGGTCACCTGGTCATCCTTGCTCTTCAGGACCACCTGGGGGTGACACAGAGGGTGAGTAAGGCTCAGGGCCCTGGGGCAGGGTGTGCCCTGACTGCTGGGAGTCACAGCAGGGAGGGTCCAGGCAGCTCTGTGGGCTCCTGGGGCATGCGAGGCACTGACCTTGGCTTGTCCGACCTGGAAGTCCTCATTGTTGTTATAGATGATGGCATTTTCTGGGCGGCTGGTCCGGATGAAGCAGATACCCTGAGACCGAAACAGATAAACTGAGGATACAGGATGTGGCACACCCAACCTCAGAGACGAGGTCTTTCTAGAGAGGCCATCCCTTCCCATGGGAGCGTTAGTTACTGCATCCTGGCTACTCCAGCAGGGAAAAGGGCCTTGCTTGCCCTCTGCCGCCCGCACCCCACTTGAACACTCTGAGAACTGCCCACCACCTTGCAGCCTCAGACCGAAGGCAACTTTCCACCAGGTAGACTGGCTGCAGGTGGGCTACTCCCACAGACTGCACCAGGCAGAGGGGCAGGAACCACGCGCACTGGGTCTGTGGCATGCAGCTCCGGGCCTGGACCACAGGGCTCAGCTCATCCTTGCCTGTCTTGGAGAACCCAACTCAGGAGGGTGGAGAGGTGTCAACCGCTGGACCGGCCAGGGCTGCCAGGATTCTCAGCAGAGACAGACTGGCAATCAGTTGACAATGTCTGCCACGTGGCAGTAAGTGGGGTGTGTATTTCGTTTTTTCTTGTCTAACTTCCACAAGCTACACGAACACCAGGGGCAAGGTCAGGAAACACCCCCTGGGGCAGCAAGTGACCAGCTCTGGCCTCCTCTTCTGTTTCCCTTGGGAAGTGATGGCTGCCAGCAGGAGAAAGAACAGCCATGCAACCTACCTTTGTATTGGCGGCTAGTTCCACTGCCTTCTCTGTAGCAACGCCATCACTTGGGTAAAAGACAGTTGATGTGGGGACTGACCGAAACATAGCCAGATCTTCTAGGGCCATCTGGGAGGGCCCGTCTTCCCCTGGGGTGTGGGGGAAAGGATATGCAGAAATAAGACCCCTACCCCCCCATCCATGGGCTGGAATCCTGGCCCATCCCCCTCCCATACCTCCTGGTGCAAAAGTCAAGGGAGCTCCAGGTGTAAACACCCTGGCTAAACTCACCGATGGAAACGCCGCAGTGGGAGCCGCAGAGGTTGATGTTGCTCTCGGAGATGGCGGCCATGCGAATCTGGTCAAAGGCCCGCGTGAAGAAGGCTGCAAAAGTGCTGCAGAAGGGCACCGTCCTGTTGCGGGTGGCACAGCCCACCGCGATGCTCACCTGGGGGCAGGTGGGACAGGGTCAGCCCAAAGGGGCAGGCAGAGGGTGGTCGGGGAGCCTAGGACCCCTTTTGTGGAGAAAGCCACAATTTGTATATAGATTGTCCATCCTTTCTGGGCTTCTGAATATGTCCCCCACCACCTTCTTCTGCAGAGACCGGTCCTCCCAACCCCTCCCTGGGGTCCGAGGGCAGCAGCCTCATGCCTGCTGAGGCTCCAGGCCCCAAATCACTCATCCAGAAGCAGCACTGAGTACAGTCATCAGTTCCAAACCAGCTGCCCTTCAAGGCTCCAAAATCTGCCAGCCAACACAAGGCCTCTTTCCCTAGTACCTGGGACCTCCCCAGCCCCACGCCCTGCAGAGCAGTCTCTGGAAACCACAGAGAGAATTTCAGGTCCAGTTGGAAGAACTCTGGAGATCTGAGTGCCCTCCAGAGAGAGGAAGCTCCCTGTCCCTAGGGGCCTGCAAGCCAGGCTGGGCTCCTGGACCACCAGGAGGGGATATTTTGAAAACATGGACAAAACATTGTTCCTTACTTCACAACCTCAGTTCCTGACAAGGGTCTGCTTCCCCAAATGGGTACATGTCAGGGGCCCAGAGTTCCCTCATCTCTGCATCCCTCAGGGTGGCAGGGCCCAGAGCCGTGTGCATTACAGGTGCTCTACAGACTCGGGCTGCTAAACCCATCACGGCCCCACCTACTGGCCAGGCCTGTCCTCCACCTGGAAGAGACCCCATTCACCACCAGGCCTGGCCTGTACGCAGCTCCTCCTGAGAGCACCTGCAGTCCCATTCGGCTCCCCCATGTGCACACCTGTCCAGGACATTTGCACCTGGGCAGAACCTCCCAAACTGTGGCTGTTCAAGGTCAGGGGTTAACGCTGGGTCCTGGCTTTTCTTATAGTCTCCCTGGGCTGGCCTACAGCAGGCACCTGGCTCTGCCAACATGGCTGCCCCGCACCCCTCAGACCACAGCCCTCAGCCTTGGGTGGACCTGTCCCTGCCGGCCCCAGCACCTACCATGTTCTGCTCAGCAATGTAGCACTCGATGAAGCGGTCCGGGTGCTCCTTTTTGAAGATCTCCGAGAAGGTGGAATTTTTGGTGTCCCCATCCAGGGCGATGATGCGGTCACTGGCATGGCCCAGCTTGGCCAGTGCCTGCCCGTAGGCCTTGCGGGTGGCTATCTGTGAGGAAGAGAGTGGGAAGGCTCTGGACCCCTCTGAGGGTGAGTGCACACCTGCAGCCTGGAGCCCTGCTTTCAGAGAAGGATTAAAACGGGGCCAAAAATGGAAGCCCTGGAGCACAAGGTCCTGCAGAGGCTTTTAACTGCTGAAAGGTTGCCAACGACTACGGTCAATGTCTTGGGAGCCCCTGGAGCCCCGGCCCCTTCTGGCTGTGAAAGGTATAAGCTACAGAAGACACCCACCAGCCCCAACTTCCCGCCTGCTGCACCAGGTCCATGAACCTATTCCACTTTGCATGGGAACACAGAAGGCTTGGGAGTCAAGGCCAGGCACAGGCTGCATGGATGGGTTCCCTTGGGACAGAAACCTGGAGTGGGACAGCTCTGCCTAGCCTTTCCCAGGTCAGGTGGGGGTCCTGAGCTCAGGCCAAGGGTCCCTCGTGGACCAGCGATGCAAGAACTTGGGAGTGAGTCCTTGGCTTTGATCTCAGTTCTGTCAGTAGCTTGCTAAGCTTGCTAAGTGGGCAATTCCCTTGCCCGGTCTGAGCCTCTGCAGGTCAACTCCAGAGATGTCTGTCATTCTGAGGGAAGTGACAGGAACAACACCTCAGGGATCACTCCTCGCCCTAAATGAATCGCTCTCCTCCCTTTCCCAGCCCTCCAGAGGGTGTATCTGGGCCACAGACTTGGGAAACCTGAGAACTATGGGTTCAGAGAAACAGGCCCCACTTTGTACCTTGTCCCCAACTTTGTAGCTGGGCAGGCTGGGCATGCGGATGTTGGCAATGTCCACTGAGGGTGCGTCCTCCTGTGGAGGGGTTGCCAGGATCTTCTTTTTGCTCTGGATCTGGCTGTAGATCTCCTGGATGATCTGCTCAGCCATGTTTTTGGGGAGGGGCTTCCCATGCCAAGACTCCTTATCTTCTACCCCTGCAGACCCAACACGGGAGGACAGAGGAATGGGTAAGACAGAAGCTCCCAGAGGGCCAGGAGGCTGCTCCAGGAGACTGGCCCTCTACCTGCCGAGGGCAAGGGAGGAATGGCATCATCCCAGACAGGCAGAGCCCAGCCAGGCACGGGGGCCAGGAAAGGAGGGTCGCAGTGAATAGGATGGACTCCTACGTGCCCACCACTCACTGTCTACTGCCTGGTCCTTTGGGAGCTCACAGCTGAGTGGGAAAGGAGGGGCCAGACGTGGGCAGGTGTGTGTTTCTGGGCCCACTGCCCCATCCCTTCACCAATGTGTCCATTCTCTTCCTCCCCACAACCCCGCCTGCAGGGTCACACACAGGTAGAGGTGTCTGCTGCAGAAATACTCAGTTTGTCGACTGGGTTGGAAGGGACCCTGGCCATCAGAAGGGGAACCCAAGGCCCAGAACAGGGCTTCCAGGGTCACCCAATGCATCTGTGAGCAGCAGAGGAGTCTATAAGCACCTAGGCATGCCCACCCCATGGCACCTTGTTGTGTGCGGCCAGGAAGGCTGAATATCCCTCTCCCTGGAGGTCACCTCAGTAGTCACTAGAGTCTGGCCAGAGCCAAGAACAGACTGAACTCCCAGGTAGCACCCAGCAGCCCGAAAGACTAGCAGGAGCCCCCAAGAAGCTGCAAGTGGTCCAGATCCTGCCCATTTTTAACACCAGAGGGCAGTGCCAGGCAGCAGCACCAAAGCCATGACAATATCCCAGAGCCCTTTCCTCGACATCCACCCCCTCCCAGACACCTCCCAGCACTGCCAAACCCCCACTCAGAACATCCTCATATACCTGAGTCTACATGGGCAGAACAAGCCACAACCCCTGAGAGCAGGCAGGTGGGCAGCCAGGGGCATTTGGCAGGGAAGCCGACCCAGGCCCTGGGATCAGCCCCCCTCGTGCCATAGACTTCCTCTGTCCCCGGGCAAGTCCCTGACCACTTGTAGTCTCATTTTCCCATCTTTAAAATGGGTGAGGCCATCCCAGGCCTAGGAATCTGAAGCCCACACCTGGGTGCCAGGGAGTGACTTACGCCTGCCTCATTCTCCGGCCTGGGGCAGAACCCAGGTTCCAAACCCCCCAAGGCTCTTGGCCCACACAGGCCTTGCTCAGCATCTGCCATTGCTTGAGGAGTACCCCACTCACCTCCTGGAGGGAACAGTTCTCTCCGGGCCCTGCCTGGCTCTGTGTCGGCCCTTCAGCTGGAGCAGGTGGCCGGAGCTGGCAGAGCACACACAGCTGCAGCTCTGAAAGGCACCAGCCAGGGTGGGGCACGGGGGCTGCCTCACTCCACGACCTTCCTCTCACCCACAGACCCTCCAAGTCCCTCCTCTCCTCCTGCCTGTACATGCCCCCACCGGCAGAGGCCAGACGGATCTGAGTTTAAATCCTGGCTCAGCCACAGGGGTCACTGAGTCACAGCATCTCCCGCTCCCCTTCCCTGGAGCCTGGTGAGCTCAGTGAGCAGCAAGGGCTGTTTCCCTGGATGTGCGGGTCAGAGCTACGTAGCCACAGTGTCTGGGCGAGGGGTGAAGGTGGGGAGGGCGGCTTGTGCATACTGACCCGTGATCCCTCGGCCCTTGAAGGTCTTGGCAATGATGGCTGTTGGCTGGTGCTTGGCCTGGCCAAAGGCCTTGCACAGCTCCTCCACGCTGTGTCCATCCACGATGATGGCATGCCAACTGGGGACAGGGGGCAGAGAGTAAGGGGCAATTCCCAGGGGCCACAACACCGAGGAGCCTTCCAGGGAAAGGTCTGCCTTGGCAGCTGGGGTCTGCCCAGGCTCCACCCCACAACTGCGGCCTCAGCTGGAGTAGTAGAAAGCTTGCAACATTCCTGTTTCCAGTTTGGGTTTTTTAAATCCTTTTCTTTTTCACATTATTTTACTTCCTTTTGTTTGCCTCTGAACAGGTTTTCCTCCTCCTCTTAAGTAATCCAGAGCTCAGTTCCTTTATTGTCTCTTTCATTCCTGATCTGCTCATTTCCTACTGAAAGCTGTTCTGGGGTCAGCGCACTGGGTTTGGAATCTGTCTGCTATTAGATTCTTGATGAATTTTTTGGCCCAATTCTTATTTGGGGAACACATTTGATCACTCCACAGATGCTGGATGTGGTGCTGGAAATGTTTTTGAAATGAACCATGGAGTCAAATATACAGGAAGGAGCTGGGGCAGAGCACCCTTTCTCTTGAAAAGCTATCCTTTTGGGGACTCTTTTTGACATAAGAATAAAAATAGCACTTCTCAAACTGAGTGCCATGCCAACCACTACCCATATTAGCCCACTGAAGCCTCACCACGCCATGCTTGGGTGCTGAGCTGGCCCCATTGTACAGACAAATCAACTGAGACACCGAAGGTGGAGTAAGTAACGTGACCCACGCCACAAAGCAAGTTAGCGGTGGAGCCAGGACTTCAGGAATCTGGCTTGAGTCACGAGGTTATGGACACAGGTCCTGGGGGTGCTGCTGGGGTTGTACTCTGAGTCCCCAGATAGATGTGGCCTTGGGGAGGCCTGTGGGGTGAGGACCCTGTGGCTCAGTTTCCTCGCCTGTCCAACAGAGATTATTTCCTCCCTTCCTCCTCTCCCTTTCTGAGGTCAGTCATCAGGGAACACAGGCCTGCGTATGCTGTGCTACTGCAAGGTAACCCCAAGCATCCTGTTACTTAGTGTAGTCACAGGCATGGGTTCATCCGCAAAACGCAGTCCTGGAGGCCTGACCTGAGTCTCAAAGCCTTGCACGGCACCTGCCCTGCTCCCTCCCCTCCACAGCCTCCTCAGCCAATGCTGGGCCCCTGTGCAGAGCAGCTTGTGTTTGGCAACACCGGTGGAGGCTTTGAGGTGGAGCCCCTCTGGCTGACACCCATGCAGATTGACCTCCCTGCTTTGTGCCCTTTGACCCTGAATTTGTAACCAATCAAGGCCGAAGGGGGGCATCTGGAAACCCTATCTCCCATTTCACCAGGAGCCTGTTCCTCCTCCCCAGGCTGGGCGGGGCTGGGCACAGGACGTGGCCACCAAACTGAGGTTCAAACCTCTCCGCAGCTATACATCCTTTAGCTTTACCGAGCAAGCCCCCATCCCTCAAGAACCCTCCTTCCTCAAGAACAAAGCGAGCTGACGTGAGATGGTGTGTGGAAGCTCCGAGAGCCACCATGCCACAACCACGAAAACAAGGAAACTCACTTAAAACTGGGCCTGGCCCACATATCCTGAGCCATTAAGTCCAAATGCCTAGAGTTTGAAATTGTGAGTCAAATGCTAAAGAAAGGGACCTTTAGATGGTGCTTAAGGTCCCAGCTTCAGCTCCTGCACCTGCACCTGCAAAGCTGTGATCACAGACCACTCTCCCGTGCTGTGACCACACTCAGGCCACAGCCTCGTACATACCCGAAGGCCTCGCACCGCTTCTGGTAGATGTCCATCTGGTGCTGCAGTGGGGCCGGGTCACTCTGGCCCAGGCGATTGATGTCTAGAATGGCCACAAGGTTGTCCAGCTTATAGATGCTGGCGAAGGCCATGGCCTCCCATACAGAGCCCTCTGACAGCTCCCCGTCTCCCAGCAAGCAATAGACTCGGTAGCTGTGGACAGAGAGTGAATCAGGCCAGTCCCTCTCACCTGGACCCAGCTGGCTCCCACCCCCCCACCCATCCAAGGAGCCTGCATTCTGGGTAAAGGAGCAGCCACGCATGGATATGCAGAACAGATGGCATTTACACTCGAGGGGCAACAGTGTCACCAGGTTCCTGCAGCCTACCACAAGCCACACCCCAAGAGAAAATGGCATGAAGGAAGACGTCAGGAGCTCAGGAAGAAGTACTGGTTGTTAAGAAACAGAGGTCTAGGACAACAGGGATCTGGCTAATAAGATCTAGAAAAATGGGGGTTGTTGGAATGAGAGGAAAGTGAGGAAGGGTGGGTGAATAGGCTTGAGCCACCTGCTGCAGGGGACAGACCCCGCTGTGAACCAGAGGTTGGAGGAGGCCTTGGGACTGGCTGGGTGGGCCAGTGGGAAAGGGGAACCTTGGGAACCAAGCTCTGCTTCTGCCCGGAGGAGGGAGGTGGGCCAAGGAGGCCTGAGGCACTCTAGGCAACACCCTGGAGCAAGAGGGCTCTGGGGAGGATAGAGCAGAGGGCACTTGAGGACCAGGCGCTTCCTGGGACAGGCTCTCCCCAAGCTTCCAAGACTAGCTCTTGACCCCAAGACTGAAGCTGCACCTGGCTCTTTCTCTACCACAGGGGCCCTCTCCTCCCCTCAACACAGGCAACTGTGATCTTTTCAAGACAGTGAGACGTTAAAAAGAACACTGAACTTGGGATAAATTACCCAGCAAACAGAACGTTCCCGGCCTGGGAGATGTGAGGGGATGGGGGTAGCAGAGGGACGGCAGCAACAGACAGGACTTGTCTGAAGGTCGCGCTGTCAGGAAGTTGCTGAGCCAGGATTCAAACGCAGGTCTGACTGTAGCCTAGACTGTCCGCTCCTTGCCGTGCAGGCATGCAAGTAGGGTGAGGAGTGGTAGGACTTGGGGACCTCCCCTTACCCTGCCCAGTGTCTAGCTGTGTAGCCCTAGGAAATGAGGCTGGTGCCTGGTTGGGCTCAGAGGGGACATGGCTGCCCTCCTGCTCCTGCAGGAAAAGGCCCTCAACCCGGCTGCATGCTCAGCAGTCCAAGCCTCCAGGCCTCCCTGCCGCAGGGCCAAGGCAGGGGCAGCAGGAAGAGGCTGGGACAGCTAGCCACGGAGCTGTCAGCATGACTCAGCACTTCCACATGCCAGCAGGCCAGGAGCACTCCCTGCAGCCTCTCCTGCCTCATACTGCTCTTCTGTGGCCTCCACCACAGGAGGTGGTGCCCCTGTGGGGTACCATGGCCAGAAGGACAAAGCCTCAGGCCCACACTTCAGAGGCCCTATCCTGTCCCAGCCTTGCCTCCTCTTTCCCCTGTAGGTTTTGAGGGGGCCCAGAGACCCTGCAGGGACTCTGGTCTGGCACAGCAGCTCCAGAAAGGGGCCACATGATGGGGCTGAGCCAGAGAAGCCAACTCGACTTCCCAGAAAGGGATTCCAGGGAAGGCAACTGGCTGCCACCCCAAGCCCACACCCACTTCCAGGGAAGTCGAACCGAGGCTAGCACTGGAGGCCCAGCACAGCTTTGGCTTCGAGACTAGGGACAAGGCTAAGCCCTACAGGGCCATCAGGCTCAGGTCAGAGGGCGTGCTGAGGTCCCGAGGAGATGCCAAGGAAGGGGTTGTGAACAGGGAAGGGGCCTACAGGAGCCTGGGCTAACCCTGAGGCTTGGTATTGCCTGAGCTGTTAGAGTTAGGGGTGGGGGGCTGCAAACATCCATTCATGAACTAATTTGAAGAGAGGGAACCCTAAACAGAAGGTCGACATTTGTTGTAGAACGATTTGGAAACTACCTTACGTGTCCAACAACAAAGGACTGGCTAGATGGATTATAGCATCTCCATAAAACAGAATATTATGTGATCATTAAAACCAGCTCTCAGGATGTGTGCAGTGGCTCACGCCTGTAATCCCAGCACTCTGGGAGGCTGAAGTAGGGAGATGACCTGAGGTCAGGAGTTTGAGACTGACCATCCTGGCCAACGTCATGAAACCCCGTCTCTACTAAATATATAAAAATTAGCTGAGTGTGGTGGTGCGCGTCTGTAATCCCAGCTACTCGGGAAGCTGAGGCAGGAGAATTACTTGAACCCAGGAGGCGGAGGTTGCAGTGAGCTAAGATGGCACCACTGCACTCCAGCCTGGGTGACAGAGCAAGACTCCATCTCAAAAAAACAAAACAAAACAAAAAAAACCAGCTCTCCACTGTTAATATCAGGAGAAAAAGCTCATGATAGAAGGCTTGGTTTAAAGTGTAATACTAGATTTTATATTATACACACACACACACACACACACACACACACACACACACACTGGGATTACAGATTTGTAAGCTTTTCTCATGATAACATGGACAAAATACATCATTAGATTTAAATTGGGGGTGGGAGGCAGTGTGCTAAGAATAAGGAAAACATTGGTTGGGTGCAGTGGCTCATGCCTGTAATCCCAGCACTTTGGGAGGCCGAGGTGGGCAGATCACAAGGTCAGGAGATTGAGACCATCCTGGCTAACATGGTGAAAGCCCGTCTCTACTAAAAATACAAAAAATTAGCCAGGCGTGGTGGCACGTACCTGTAGTCCCAGCTACTCGGGAGGCTGAGGCAGGAGGAGAATCACTTGAACCCGGGAGGCGGAGGTTGCAGTGGGCCGAGATCGTACCACTGCACTCCAGCCTGGGTGACAGAGCGAGACTCCATCTCAGAAAAAATAAAAATAAAAAAATAAGGAAAACGTTCATTTCTTAATATCATTCTGTACTTTTTAAACAGGAGGGCAGGGAGAAACAGTGAGTGGAGACCAGTTTGCTCTATCAAGACGCTACCTCCGGGTGCCTGGCCTGACATGATAATCCCTGGATGCCCTGGCCCCTTCCCCCAGGTACAGTCAGGGGCCTAGGCTCCAGGCAACCCTGGCCCCAAGCCACCCTGGCTTCTGGGAACCCAGCTAAACTCCTTCTCCCTACACTGACTTGTTCCATTATGTTAGGGTCAGGAAATGCCCCTTCACAGGGAATTATTTCCAGCAACTGTAGGGAATAATTAACTCACATCTCTGGTTCTCTGCCAAATAAAATGCTCTTAAACATGCATCTCATTCTTTGTGTGTCTCTCTCTCTTTACTTCATGGTGAATCACTTCTGGGTGTAGCCAAGCCTGCCCCAAGGCTCACCAAGGAATGAAAGCAAACTGTGGTCAGGTGACACTGGCCTGAAGGGGTCTGGAAGGGACTGTGAGGCCTCCTTGGAGAGCCAGTCCTGGGGAAGGGCCTGCACACAGAAGGTGCTCCCTGCAGCCTCCTGTCCTTCAAGGACCCACAGTCTTCCCGAACCCCACTATGGCACTTCTGCTGCAGGAGTGGAGGACAGGGCAGTGGAGATGCCATCAGCTGCAGAACTGGGCCCTTCTCACACCCTGCGGGCTGGCCCCACTGGCCTTCCTCCTCTAGGAGGCTTCCCGCCCACAGGACTCCCCGAGCTCCTGTGGTGCCCTCAGCCTCTCCAAGAGCAGCCTGGGTACCTCCACCACCAACTGGATGGCCTAGGCCAGCATCTTGCCTCAGCTTCCTCACCTGTAAGACGGGTCACGGTTCTCACACCACTACCCAACTCACAGGGGGCTTTTAAAGGTGGAACCCAATACAGCACATGAGCACTGAGCACAGGGCCTAGCCCCCAAAGGGCAAAGGAACCCTTCTGATGAGTGACTGACATGGTTAGGCTCTGGGTCCCCACCCAAATCTTACCTTGTAGCTCCCGTAATTCCTACTGGTTGTGGGAGGGGCCCAGCAGGAGATAACTGAATCATGGGGACAGGTCTTCCCCATGCTGTTCTCGTGATGGTGAATAAGTCTCACAAGATCTGATGGTTTTAAAAACGGGAGTTTCCCTGCACAAACTCTCTCTTTGCCTGCGCCTTCCACATAAGATGTGACTTGTTCCTCCTTACCTTCCAGCATGACTGTGAGGCCTCCCTAGCCATGTGGAACTGTAAGTCCATTAGACCTCTTTTTCTTCCCCAGACTTGGGTATGCCTTTATCAGCAGTGTGGAAACAGACTAATACAGTGATTATTCTTTAAAAAAAAGAATAATTTTTTTTTTAAAGAGGCAGAGTCTCGCTCTGTAGCCCAGGCTAGGGTGCAGTGGCTCAATCATGTATAGCTATAATCTTGAAGCCCTAGGCTCAAGTGATCCTCCCACCTCAGCCTCCTATGTAGCTGGGACTACAGGTGTGTACCACCATGCCTGGCTAAGTTTTGTATTTTTTGTAGAGAGAGTCTTGCTCTGTTGCCTAGGCTGGTCTGGAACTCCTGGCCTCAAGCAATCCTTCCCTCAGCCAGCCATTATTCTTAACAGTTTACAACCTCATCCCCCCAGGCCATATCTGACCACCGCAGACAAACTTATGGCTAGAACCTTCCTGGGGGGCCGTTCCTACAAATCACCTGGTGGGCGCTAGAGCAGCACACCTTTCTGGTCAGGCTCATCACCCACCCTCTGAAGGCTCAATCTCTCAAATGTTTGTTTCTTCCCTGCTGATAGGAGGTGGCTTACAGGTATCCCAGAACCCCTCAGAACATACAACCCTCCCCTTTACCAAGATAAAGGCAAGTGGCTCAGGCCTGGGCTCCTGGTGCCTAGTCAGACAGGGGCCTGGGGGTGGGTCTTTCTGAGACTTCTGGGGTCTGGGCACAGGGCTGGGGGCAAAACAGGAAGTCCTCAGCCTAAGCACTCTGGCTGAAGAGCACATGATTGAGAGCACGCACTCTGTGCAAACCTGGCCCTGCCAGTCACTGCTGAGGGACCCAGGGCAGGTCCCTTAACTCCTGAGTGTTTCCTCATTTGTAAAGGGGGCCGGTCATGGCACCAGCCATAGCGGATGTTTAAAGAGCAAAAGAGGCCACGCATATGTATTACTCTGCCCTAGCCAGGAAAGAGGAAGAGTCTGGGGGCGATGGTGAAGGGTGGGTCACCCAAGGACCACTCCCCAAAACTACCCAGGTTGGGGGTGGGGAGTAGGTGTGTTACCTGGCCTTGTCGAAGTATTTGCCGGTGTAGGCCATCCCACAAGCGGCCCCGAGGCCCTGGCCCAGGGAGCCAGTGGCCACGTCGGTGAAAGCTTGTTTCTGTCATAACAGAAGGCCACCGTTAATCTGAGAGGAGAAGGGATCCTGGTCTCACCCGCCTAGGGAGCCACACTCCCACCCAGCCCAGCAAGCCCTTCCTCTGCAGAAGGTCAGGCCCCAGGATGGCCTCTACCTAGCATGTGACTTCTTCTCCTAATGAACTAATTATAATTATAGGTTCAAATCCCAGCCCTGCCCACTAGCCAGCTATGTGGCCTCAGGCCTCAGGCAAGGGACTGAACCTCTGTGAGCCTCAGTTCCCACATCACCCACTTCACAAAGTGCTGGGAGAGAGAATCATGAAAAAATTGACAGAACATTTGCCCCTCGTGGGGACCCAGACCATGTGACAGTTTTTGTGGTAATCCATGAAGTCTTAACGTTTGCAGGGATGCCAGATGGCACCCCAAGGAACAAACTGGGTCCCTTCCCCAGGGTTTCGCCAGCATCCTGCAGCCACTCCCTTATCGAGTCCCCTCTCTTCCCAAGCTGTAGCTACCTAGCCAAGGAGGCCCAGTGCAGAAGGGTAGCTTGGGGAGAGGCCCTCCCTGAAGTCATCCCAGAGCACCCTGGCTGAGGCCTCAGAAGGCCTTCCCCTTTGGCACCAGCTTGGGTTGAATACGTGTCCCCAAAACACCTGCTTCTTTCCTTCCTCAACTCAATGCCCTCCTCCGCCTTTCAACACCTTTGGCTTCTCAGTGGGCACCCCCTACCCCCGTCCCACATGTCTGGGAAATAGGAAGTGGAGGCAGAGGCATGGGAGGCTCTGGCAGGAGCACTTACCGGGACCGGGTGCCCGTCCAAGTCGGAGCTGATCTTCCTCAGGTTCAGCAGCTCCGCCTCGGCCAGGAAACCAGCTTCAGCCCAGACCGCGTAGAGGATGGGAGCTGCATGGCCCTGCCGGGAGATGGATGGTGGGGTGAGGTCAGGTGGGGAGCGGTTCTACTTCGGGCTGTGCCTACTTCACACTGACCCCTGGGGCCCGGCCGAGCCGGCCAACTGCAGCATCCATTTCAGGGGAGGAAGCAAGTGAAGGCCACTTCTCCCCTTTCAGCCCTCTTCAGCCTCTTGGTTTTCAGCCCAAAGTTCCCACTGCCAAGGCCAGGCAGGCACTAAGACAGGTGCAGGGGGCACAGCTGTGAGGCTGGACGAAGCCAAAACCCCAGCAGGCAGCCGGCTGCCCTAATCCCTGGTTTGTGGCATGGGAACAACTTGGACAGACTTCTAAGCTCTAAAGCCTGCCCGAGAGACCAAACGCCACGGAGGCAGGCCTGAGCACAGGTGGATTTCAGGGATCTGTGGCTGTGATTCCACCCAGAAGGGGGGGGTCAGGGGGTCCCCATCCAAAACCCTGCTACAGCACACCACCACCCCGAGGGGGCAAGCCGTGGCCTCGGGAGCGCTGGCACAACACAGATAGAGCAGGTAGGGAGCCACAACCCAGACCGAGATGCCAGTCCTGCCTGTCAACACCCAGACTGGGCAGAACACACAACAGATGTTTCCGTAGTCCCCTACTCCATTTCTTTGAGTTAAAGCGTTGTTTATGTACCTGGGCTCCATGGCAGAGCAACCCATCAATTCAGTCCTGTATTCCTTAGCCAGCTGGGTCAGCACAGAGCAGGACACTGAGGGAGAGGCCAGGACGAGCAGGGAGAAGGCACCTGGGAGAGGTGGGCCCAGCCAGGTCTCCTCAAAGACCACTCACCATTCCAGGGCCCGTGTGACCCTAGTCCCAGGCAAGGTGTGGCTGGCAGTGGGCAGCTGGGCTCTTACCTTGGAGAGCACAAAGCGGTCATTGTGCGGATTCCGGGGGTCCTGGGACTTGTAGCGCATGGTGTGGAAAAAGAGGACAGCCATGATCTCTGCGGCGCTGCAGCATGACGTGGGGTGGCTGTGGCCCAGGAGAGAAGACAGACACAGGCATCATGGCCCTGCACTCCTGAGCTATTGTGCTCAGCTGTACAGGGACCTGGGGGTGCATGTCCTGAGGAGTCACACAGGCCTGGCTTATCAGACAGCCACGAGCTCTTGTTCCCTGGGAGGGTGACACATGGTCTCAAGAAGGCCACTCCTGGCAGTTTGGGGCCTGGGCCAGCTAGTGGGTGCTGGGGACTGTTGTACCTTTCCAGGGGCATCAGATCCTCAGAATCACGGCAACTGAAAATATCTGGGGTTGGACTTGAGTAAGAAGGAAGGAGGGGCCCAGGAGAGATCTAGCACAGAAGACTCAGCCCAAGGCTAGCACTGCGGCTGGGGGCAGCTGCTGTCAGGTAGAACCCAGTTCCCACCTAGTGGCCCCCAGGAGTCTAAGGACTCAGCAGCCAAGGGGTGCCGGCATTCCTACGACTGACCCCACATCCTGACAGGACTGCCCGGACACTGCCCACTTGTGAAGGGCACCCTGCCCTCTCAGCACCCAGGGGTGCTGGGCCTCTGAGCCCATGGGGCAGGGAGGAAGGGACTGAGGCTCATGGAGTTACCACAGACCTCCCAGCAGCCTCCACGCATGGGGTGTGGTAGCCTGAAAAACTGGGCCTTGGGCTTTCCAATTGCATCACTGGGCTACTTGAAAGCTTTAGAAATGGGCAGTTTGAGGGCTGCTGTAGCAACTAGGAAACAGGCTTTTGTGTAGAATTTTCAAAGCAAGACACATAATCTCATCTCCTACAAGGCTACAATCATGTATTAATAAAAACCCCTTCTGCCTATGGACAAGGGCTGAGGAAGGGCTGACAAAGCAAGAACCTGCCTTCCAGCCTGGGAGTGGTGGGGCCACGGAGTCCCCTTGGCTTTTTAGACTTGTTTTAATCACTGAGCGGCTCCTGAGCAATAGAAAGCGTAAACTTTCTATTGCTTCCTGCTTCCCAGCAGGAAGCGCTGCAGGTCCTGATCAGCCCTGAAGCCCTCTGGTCCCAGGGTTTTGTTAAAAGTTCAGCCTCAGGGCACAGGCCTCCCGGGAGGGCCCCTCCACATGCAGCTCAGCTCAGCTCAGCTCAGCCCTCTCGCTGCTCCCAGAGGTCCTTCACACGAAGACACGCCGCATGCCAAGCCCAAGGGCACATGCACCATCTGGAGCTCACGCCGCCAGCCTCCCGCCCCTCCAATCAGCGCTCCCACCAGGTTAGGGGTGAGTCACGCTCAGTGCAGACAAGTTAGTAGTAGAGAAATCCAGAAAACTGTCCATGCTGGTTTAGTACCAACATTCTCGCACACGATCATCTTATACTTAACTATTTCTATGAACTCCCGGTCATGGGAAAAGACACTACACCTGAAAGAGGGAGGGGAGGACATGGTAAACGAGAAACCCTTTTCTGCCTGGCAGGGACCCTAATCCCACGCTCCCAGTGCCAGCTTCAACTGGAGGCCACCCTAATCCCACGCTCCCAGGGCCAGCTTCAACTGGAGGTCACCTCAGGCTGACCTCTCGTCCTTCCCACCTCCAAGGGCAGCCCCGGCCCTGAGGGGTCCTGTTTCTAAAGCCATGGTCCCATTAGGAGGGATCCTTGGTGGGAGAAGGATGTGGGTGGACACTGGGCCAAACTGTTCCGGGGAAGAACAAGGACGGTAAGTGCAGGGCTCCACCTGCCCCATCCACCTCGACACCCCGGGGTGACAGTCCCATTGGCCACCAGAAGGGGTTCCAGGGAGAAATGGTGTGGCACAGGCTCTTTCTGTGTGTGGCAGAAGCACACCCAGGCCCAGATAGAGTAAACGTGGAGAGAGGAAGGTCAGCTGCGAGGTGACCAAGGGTGAGAAGTAGAACGTGCAGCTGATTTTAAGCCTTCCTTGCTAGGCCTGCAGCCTTTCATTCCTTCCAAAGGCTGCATCCAGCCTGCTGCGGCCACTCTCTTCACTTCTACCAAGTAAACACGCACAAAAGAAGAACGCTTAGGAGCCAGGTGTCCCCGCACTCTTCCCCAGAGCTTTTGGGGCTCTCCCTCGGCAGAGCATCCTGGGTTGGGGAGGTGAGCTGTGCCACTTGGGCTTCGTGACTTCAACAAGTGCTTCGTCAACCCGGGGCTCAGCTTCTTCACTTGGGAGAGTGTCTGGGAGACACAGTGAGATAACGCAGCATGCACAGTACCCAGGTCTCTAGCAGCCGCCACCACTGCCAACCCTCTCAGCACCTGCAGCTCTTATCTACAGGCAGGGATGGTGACACCACCCACTCCTGCTGGCCACAGGCAGGCAAGAGGGGAGAAATACACCAAGGATTGAGACCGGGCTCTGCACACTGTAAAGCACTGAGCACACAGGAGACAGTTACTTTCAAGCTCAACTTCCTAGCGGGCCTTTGGGGCCAAAGGCATACATTTAAGCCTGTGGCCTCCTCAGGGCCAGAGTTTTTCCTGCCATTCCAGACTGCCTGCACAACTGCAGGTGGACGCCCCATCCCGTGGTGCTGTGTGTGACAACTCTGGGTGAACACTGGCGAGAGATGGGGTGAGGAGCACGGTGGAGGGGCTACAGGGTACTTACTGTATACCCTGACTCTGTGATAAACAGGGCTAACAAGCACACTTGACTGTTCAAAAAAAAAAAAAAAAAACTAACACACCCTGCCTTGACCAAAACAGTCCACTTACAACCCCAATTAGTTCAACCTGTGACGGTGGTGTGGCAAGCTTAGAGCTAGGCCCAAAGAAAGTCTCTTAAAGCCCCCTCCAGGCTGGGGGCAGTGGCTCACACCTGTAATCCCAGCACTTTGGGAGGTCAAGGCAGGCGGATCACCTGAGGTCAGGAGTTTAAGACCAGCCTGGCCAATATGGTAAAACCCCATCTCTACTAAAAATACCAAAAAATTAGCCAGGTGTGGTGGTGGACGCCTGTAATCCCAGCTACTCGGGAAGCTGAGGCAGGAGAATCACTTGAACCTGGGAGCCAGAGGTTGCAGTGAGCCAAGATTGCACCATTGCACTCCAGCCTTGGCAACAAGAGTAACACTCCATCTCAAAAAAAAAAAAAAAAAAGCCCCCTCTCCACTCCCCTCCAGGACAATATATATTCTTCCAGATGTCCCCTGGCCAGGAGAATCTCTGTCATCGCTTTAGTGCTCACTCCACCTGCTCACAGGTTTCTATGCAAGAAAAGGCCAGAGAGGCTCCCTCACCCTCCAGATGGGCTCCTTCAAGAGATAATGGATGTCAGGTTGGGCGCGGTAGCTCACACCCGTAATTCCAGCACTTTGGGAGGCCAAGGCAGGCAGATCACCTGAGGTCAGCGGCTCAAAGACCAGCCTGGCCAACATGGTGAAACCCCGTCTCTACTAAAAATACAAAAATTAGCCGGGCGTGGTGGCACATGCCTATAATCCCAGCTACTTGGGAGGCTGAGGCAGGAGAATAGCTTGAACCCCGGAGGCGTGGGTTGCAATGAGCCGAGATCATGCTACTGCACTCCAGCCTGGGCAACAGAGTGAGACTCTGTCTAAAAAATAATAACAATAATGAAAATAATTTACCAAAACTGACTCAAGAAGAAATAGAGAACCTAAGTAATCTTTCAAGCATTAAAAATAAACCAGATCAGTAGCCGAAGATGCACATCCCTTAACTCCCAGCAACTTCACCAGTAGGAACATACAGTGAAATGTACTCACATGTTCCACACATTCTACAGGAAACACAAACAGGCCGGGCACAGTGGCTCACACCTGTAATCCCAGCACTCTGGGAGGCTGAGGTGGGTGGATCAACTGAGGTCAGGAGTTCGAGACCAACCTGGCCAACATGGTGAAACCCTGTATCTACTACAAATACAAAAATTAGCTGGGCATGGTGGCAGGCACCCGTAATCCCAGCTACTTGGGAAGCTGAGGCAGGAGAACCACTTGAACCCAGGAGGCTGAGGTTGCAGTGAATCAAGATCGTGCCATTGTACTCTAGACTCGGTGACAGAGTGAGACTCCATCTCAGGAAAAAAACAACAACAACAACAAAAAAAAGGAAACACAAACAGGGCTGCCCCGCATTGTTTGCAATTGCAAGACCTGGAACTCACTTATATGTTTATCAATAGACGAGGTTAACTGGAATATATTAATATAATGGGATACTATACAGCAGTAAGAATGAGCGAGCTACACTTCACAAATCCGGTATCAATATTCTCTCCCAAATATAGTGTGAAAAAAGCACAGTGCAGAAGGATCTGTTTAACAAAGAAGACCATATTGATTTATGTACAAGTCTTTTTGTATATACTACAAGGAAAACAGGCCAGGTGCGGTGGCTCAAGCCTGTAATCCCAGCACTTTGGGAGGCCGAGGAGGGCAGATCACCTGAGGTCATGAGTTTGAGACCAGCTTGACCAACACGGATAAACCCCATCTCTACTAAAAATACAAAATTAGCCGGGCATGTGGCACATGCCTGTAATCCCAGCTACTCGGGAGGCTGAGACAGGAGAATCGTTTGAACCCGGGAGGCGGAGGTTGAAGTGAGCCGAGATGGCGCCATTGCACTCCAGCCTGGACAACAAGAGCAAAACTCCGTCTCAAAAAAAAAAAAAAGGAAAACAATAGAATGATAACAAACAAAAAATTCAGGGTATAGTTCTTTCTCAGGGGAAGGGAAGATGAGGATGGAGGGACCCACTGTAGTTCCAAAAATCACTGTAATGTACTAGTTCTTAATCCTGGGAGCAGCTACACACAGGTTCATTATTTATGACAAGAGTACATCATTTATCTTCTTCTTTATGCATATACTTTTTTTTTTTTAAATATTCAGGTGGCTCACGCCTATAATCCCAGCACTTTGGGAGACAGAGACAGGTGGATCACCTGAGGTCAGGAGTCTGAGACCAGCTTGGCCAACAAGGTGAAACCCCGTCTCTACTAAAAATACAATAATTAGTTGGGCATGGTGGTGGGTGCCTGTAATCCCAGCTACTTGGGAGACTGAGGCAGGAGAATCGCTTGAACCTGGGAGGCAGAGGTTGCAGTGAGCTGAGATCTCACCATTGCACTCCAGCCTGGGAGACAAGAGTGAAACTCAGCCTCAAAAAAAAAAAAAAAAAAAAATTTAGAAGAGGCCAGGGGCGGTGGCTCACCTGAGGCACCTGAGGTCAGGAGTTCAAGACCGGCCTGGCCAACATGGCAAAACCCCGCCTCTACTAAAAACACAAAAATTAGCTGGGCATGGTGGTGCGGGCCACTAGTCCCAGCTACTTTACATGGGAGGCTAAGGCAGGAGAATTGCTTGAACCTGGGAGGCAGAGGCTGCAGTGAGCCGAGATCGCACCACTGCACTCCAGCCTAGGCAACAGACTCCACCTCAAAAAAAAAAAAAAAAAAAAAAAATACTCAGGAGAGAATCCCAGGATGTCAGGGTGGAAATGAACATCAGAAGCAGTTCTTGCTCTTCCTGTGCCCTGAACTACCCGAGCTGGCTTCTGCCCGGAAAGAACCTCTGGCTCCAGACCTCAGGTTGTTTCTTCAGATCTCTGCCCCATGTCACCTCTTCCAAGAAGCCCTCCCTGACCACACTGTCTAAAATAGCTCTTCTTCCCCTCACTCATGCTTGCCACCTGACATTAGGTGGTTATTGCCTGTCTACCCTACTGCAATACAAGCTCCTTGAGGACAGAGCTTTGGGCCTTTCACTGTTGTATCCACAGGCTTGAATAGTACCAGGCACAAACTGAGTGCACAAATGAATACATGATGTATCCTAGTAACCTTGGGGCTGTAACCTCTTTGAGCCTCAGTTTCCTCACTATAAAACGGAGGTAAAAGAAGAATCTGACTAAATGATGTAGTGTGTATGTACAGAACGTGGCACCATGCATAGAAATTAGCAATTGCTCAGTAAATATTAGACTATGCTTCATTCGGAGGATGGGGCCACTAAGGTTCACAGAAAGTGACTTGCCTAAAGTCACACGGCCTGCCAGCAGCAGAGCTAGGATAAGAGCAAAATGCTAAGAAAAACTGGTGAATGGATAAACAAAATGCACTATGTCCACACAACGGAATATTCAGCCGTAAAAAGAAATGAAGGGCTGGGCGTGGTGGCTCATGCCTGTTAATTCCAGCACTTTGAGAGGCCAAGGCAGGAAGAGGACTTGAGCCCAGAATTTGAGACCAGGCTCAGCAACATACCCTGTCTCTACAAATAATTTTTAAAATTAGCTGTGTATGGTGGTGAGTGCCTCCCAGCTACTTAGGAGGCTGAGCTGGGAAGACTGCTTGATCCCGGGAGGTTGAGGCTGCAGTGTGCCATGACTGTGCCATTGCACTCCAGCTTCGGGACACAGTGGAGACCCTGCCCCCCACCCCCCAAAAAAAAGGAACAAAGTACTGATTCATGTTACAACATGGATGACCCTCTAAAAATTATGCTAAGAGGCCAGACCCAAAAGAACTCATTCTGTATAATTGCATTTATATGAAATGTCTAGAAGAGTTAAATTTAGAGACAGAAAATTAGATTAGTGGTTGCCCAGGACTGGGGGTGGAAATGGGGAGTGACAGCAAATGTCCAGAAGAGATCTTTTAGGAGATGTGGTAAATTTTTGTAGTAAATCTCTGCAAATTCATTAAAATCACTTACAATGTTATGATACGCCAATTATACCTTAATCAAGCTGCTAGAAATTTGTTTTTATTTTTATTTATTTATTTATTTGAGACAAGTTCTCACTCTGTCACCCAGGCTGGAGTGCAGTGGTACAATCTTGGCTCACTGCAACCTCCGCCTCCCGGGTTCAAGCGATTCTCATGCCTCAGCCTCCCGAGTAGCTGGGGTTACAGGTGCCTGCTACCATGCCCGACTCATTTTTTTTGTATTTTTTAGTAGAGACAGGGTTTCACCATGTTGGCTGGGCTGTCTCGAACTCCTGACCTCAAATGATCCACCCACCTTGGCCTCCCAAAGTGCTGGGATTACAGGTGTGAGCTATCACACCTGGCCTAAAAATTTGTTTTTAAAAGAAAAAGGGCCTGGAGCAGTGGCTCACGCCTGTAATCCCAACACTTTGGGAGGCCAAGGCTGGCGGGAGGATCACCTGAGGTCAGGAATTCAAGACCAGCCTGGCCAACATGGTGAAACCCCATCCCTACTGAAAATGCAAAAATTAGCTGGGCAGTGGTGGCATGCACCTGTAATCCCAGCTACTTGGGAGACTGAGGCAGAAAATCGCTTGAACCTAGGATGTGGAGGTTACAGTGAGCCAAGATCGCCGCCCCACTGCACTCCAGCCTGGGTGACAGAGCGAGACTCTGTCAAACAAACAAATAAATGAAGAAAAAGGTGCTAGGAGAGCTCAGTAGAGGAAGTTCTTGGGCGTCCACACTTCCCTTCCAGCTGTGTAGTCCTCGGAGATTCCACCCAGTGCACAAATGCAACTGACTTCTGAGCAACCCCCATCTGCAGGTGGGCTCACCCCAGCTCCCAGCACATCCTCTCTCCCCTACCTTGCCTCTCCATTCAGGGCAGGAGCAGAGCCTGCCTGAGGACCTAGCTCTGTGCAGGTCCCTGACCTCTAGAAGTGTCCCCAGCACCCAGGGCAAACTGGTCTGTGGCAAGAAGGGAGTTCCTGATTTTGTGGAACTAGGCGACAGTGACAACAAGCCTGCCACAAGAGACAATGAATGTTGAGGGGTCAGAGCCACAACAGGGGCCGGACATCAGTTAGAGTCCATAGGAAGCCACGACAAAGTCTCAGCCAGATCCTAACTAGGTGCTGTACTTCACTTCCAGTTTCTTAAAACACCGACCACCAGCCCTGCAGAGGAGAGGTCACTCGGGCAGAGAACCAAGCCACCCCAGGGTGGCCAGTGTCTTCACACTGAGTGAGGAAATGCTGCTGCTGGGGCAATCTCAACGGTCATGCTCTTGCCTCAGTCAGGGCCAGGATGGGTCCTGAGGCAGCCCAAAAACAGAAACAGGCCCAGAGAGGCGGAGCCACATGGGGCCAGAGACCCCAGGAGGCCCTCAAGCCTTCAGCCAAAGCACCTGGATGTCAGAGCTGGGTAAACTGGGATACAACCCCAGCCACTTTAAGGGCACAAAGAGCACCAGGATGTAAAATCAGCAACAGCGGGCGGTGGGACCCCGGAGCCCACTCACTCCATCCCCAGCCCTACTCCTGAGGCACCCAGTTTGAAACCACCTATCCATGAACCTCTCCTTTCAAGATGGAGAAAATGGCCTGTAATCCCAGTACTCTAGGGAAGCTGAGGCAGGTGGATCGCTTAAGCCCAGGAGTTTGAGACCAGCCTGGGCAAAATGACAAAACCTCAACTCTACAAAAAATACAAAAATTAGCCAAGGCATAGTGGCTCATGCCTGTGGTCCCAGCTACTTGTGAGGCTGAGATGAGGGCATCATTTGAGCCCAGGAGGCGGAGGCTGCAGTGAGCAGAGATCACGCCACAGCATTCTAGCCTGGGCAACTGAGAACCTGAGATAGGAAGGTTTTTTTGTTTTGTTTTGTTTTTTTAAGAGCCAGGGTTTCACTGTTGCCCAGGCTGGAGTGCAGAGCCATGATCATAACTCACTGCAGCCTTGAACTCCTGGGCTCAAGTGATCCTCACACCTCAGCCTCCCAAGTAGCTGGGACTACAGGCACATGCACAGCTCTTTCTTTTTTTTGTAGAGATGAGGTCTCACTATGTTGCCCAGTTTGGTCCTGAACTCCCAGGCTCAAGCAATCCTCCCACCCTGGCCTCCCAAAGTGCTGTGAATACAGGCATGAGCCACCGCACCTGGCCGGAAGGGCCTTTCTGACAAAGGCACAGCCACTAGGAACAGAGCCAGGGTTGGACTCATCTCCTGTGTCCACCAGCCAGGACTGGCCAGGCATTAACCTCCCCAAAGCTGTGGGTCAGAAACCCTGGGGGGACTTGTTGAAAGCACAGACCACCTTCCCTTTTGAATCAGGCCTGACTGTGATGGAGTCCTCAGATGACACTTGCACTGTTTGGATAACACCACAGTCTGGCCCTGGTGAGAACTGAGAAATCTTTGCCACCAGCCTCAGCATCCAGGCCACTTCTGACAAGGCCACTGGGGTTTTGTTTTTTTAAAGCCAGGATGAGCTGGACCCTTGCCATAATTCCTTCAGCCCATGGAAGGAGATGACCCCAGAGAAGCTCTAGCCACTGTGGGCGCTGCCTCAACAAAGAGCCTTCTGTGAGGTCTGTCCCTTCACCTCCAGGCCCAACTCCTGACAGAGGCCAGTGTCCCTGCTTCCTGGGCCTGGTGAGGTTCACTGCACACGGGTCAGCAATGGCATAGGAATGGGAAAGCTATCGAGAAACGAGCCTGGGTCCTCACAGAATGTACAAATCCTGTCTCAGTAAGTGGCCAGCAAAAGATTGGACCAAAGCTAGACATGGTAGCACATGTCTGTGGTCCCAGCTACCCAGGAGGGTGAGGCAGGATTGCTATAGCCTAGGAGTTCAAGACTGCAGGGAGCCATGACTGTGCCTCTGTACTCCAGACCTGGTGGGTGACACAGCAAGACCCTGTCTTAAAAAAAAAGAAAAAAGGAAAAGGGGCCAGGAGCGGTGGCTCACGCCTATAATCCCAGCACTTTGGGAGGCCGAGGCGGGCGGATCACCTGAGGTCAGGAGTTCAAGACCAACCTCAACATGGAGAAACCCCGTCTCTACGGGGTAAAAATACAAAATTAGCCGGGCGTGGTGGTGCATGCCTGTAATCCCAGCTACTTGGGAGGCTGAGGCAGGAGAATTGCTTGAACCTGGGAGGCGGAGTTTGTGGTGAGCCAAGATCGCACCATTGCACTCCAGCCTGGGCAACAAGAGTGAAACTCCATCTCAAAAGAAAAAGAACTGGATCAAAGTCCTGTGAGCTCCCCCAGAAAAGGGGACATTCTGACAAACTGTCACTTTAGCTGTGACTACAGCCCAGATTGGGCCAGGGCTTCCGGACTGAGCCTTCACTCTATGCCTCATTGCAGAGAGGGAACAGTGGGCCTCAAGATAAACATCTGGGGACAAGAAACAGAAGACTACCTGTGTCTCAAGTCTTCCTTGATTAGCTTTTGGGTGCAAACACACACATACTCTTGGCTCACAACTTTCAAAATATGGGTTGCATAGCAACGTTATTTCCTTCTGAAAAATAAGTTTTCCCTCCTTTTTTGCATATTTTAAACATATACATACACACACACAGTCACTGTATTTTACATATCCTTTTTTTCTTTTGCAAATGGATATTTTTTGAGTTCAGTGAGCTTCCCTCTCCAAGACATTACAATGTAAACATGGTGTAACTCTCGGACACCACAGTATGTTTCCGGAGGGGTAACGGCGGTGAGGAAATCAGACTTTGCCTAACAAAGAACTAGGAGACACACTTGACATTCCACTCTTTTGGAGCACCCTACATTTGTAAATCTTATTTCTCTCCAAGTGCCTTTCAGACTGACTAATATCCACCGCGGCTGTACCTGGCCTTCCCTTTCACCTTTTTCACCATTCTCCAGCCTGGCACAGACTGCTTGCCCAAGAGGCATTCTTTTTTTTTTTTGAGAAGAAGTTTCAATTTTGTTGCCCAGGCCAGAGTGCAATGGTGCAATCTCAGCTCACCGCAACTTCTGCCTCCCGGGTTCAAGTGATTCTCCTGCCTCAGCCTCCTGAGTAGCTGGGATTACAGGCGCCCGCCACCACGTCCAGCTAATTTTTTGTATTTTTAGTAGGGACAGGGTTTCACCATGTTGGCCAAGCTGGTCTCGATCTCCTGACCTTCAGGTGATCCACTCGCCTACACCTCCCAAAGTGCTGGGATTAAAGGGATGAGTCACTGCGCCTGGCCGAAACATTATTTATTTTTGGAGACAGGGTCTTGCTAATGTTACCCAGGCTGGTCTTGAACTCCTGGCCTCAAGCGAACCTTCTGCCTTGGCCTCCCAAAGTGCTGGCATACATGTAACACCATGCCCAACTATTTTTCTTTTCTTGGCCTTTCTTTCTTTCTCTCTCTCTCTCTTTCTTTCTTTTGAGACACAGTCTCACTCTGTCACCCATGCTGCAGTGTGTGGCATGTTCAAGGCTCACTACAGCCTCAACTTCCTGGGCTCAAGTGATCCTCTGCCTCAGCCTCCCATGTAGCTGGGACTACAGGTACACATCACCACACCTAGCCAATTAAAAAAAATGTTTGGCCGGGGGCAGTGGTTCACACTCGTAATCCCAGCACTTCGGGAGGCCGAGGTGGGTGGATCACCTGAGGTCAAGAGACCAGCCTGGCCAAGATGGTGAAACCCCATCTCTACTAAAAATACAAAAATTAGCCGGTGCGGTGGCGGATGCCTGTAGTCCCAGCTACTCAGGAGGCTAGGGCAGGAGAATCAGTTGAACCTGGGAGGCAGAGGTTGCAGTGAGCCAAGATTGTGCTGCTGCACTCTAGCCTGGGCGATAGAGCAAGACTCCATCTCAAAAAAAAAATTTTTTTTTTAAGCTATGGGGTCTCACTGTGTTGCCCAGGTTGGTCTGGAACTCCTGGGCTCAAGCAATCCTCCCACCTTGGCCTCCCAAAGTGCTGTGATTACAGGCATGAACCACCATGCCCTGCCAAGAAGCATTCCTGACAGCATGAGCCCCAACCAGACAGTACGGAATGGCCACCAATTCCCAGCCTGGGCAAGTAACTTAACACACTAGCCTCAGTGTTCCCGTCTATAAAATGTGAATACAACACAATCTATCTCACAGGGTTATTCTCAGGATGCAACAAACGATGATGCTGTGTCATACCAGATACCTACTTGGCAGCTCAGGAACCCTGTAAACATCTGCATGTTTTATCTAGCCCTGAAAGATGCTCAGATGTGCAATACTACTTAGTTGGGTAATTGCTGCCTCTCTCCAGCTAGACCTCAGACCCCCTGAAACGGCCAAAGGTAGCAGGTCCAACAGTACCAAATAAGCAATACAAGGCCTGCAGAGCTACCGTGTGCCAGGCTGGTGAAAGGGGAGCTGAGAGTAAGCCAGGTCCCTGCCCAGGCAGGGGATACCCCACATAAGTGGTAAGACTGACACAAACCCAGGAGAGCTAACAGGTCCAAAGTGTGCAAGGCAGTGGGTGGGGGAAGGGCTTTGAAAGACATCTAATCCCTTCTGAGAACAGGGTGTCTTAGAGGCACAAAGGGTGAATGCGTATCCACCCAGAAAGGTGAACAGATTTACTTCTTAATAATATATCCTGAATGAAATTGGCCAGAAGCCAGAATCTTGTCTGTCTGAAACAGAGCTTGTTTGGGAAGGTCCCGAGAAATCATCCATCACGCAGCCCTCACAACCCTGTCATGAGCCCGGAGCACTGCTGGCACTGTGGCCTCAAAGCAGCCTCCAAGTAGAGCACTGGAGTCCTTGAAACCACCCAGCGTGGTTAAGTGCCATTACTGTCCCCGCTTTACAGAGCGGGAAGCAGGCTCTGAAGTAATTCACTGACTGACCCCCTCACCCACCCCACTGGACACCTCCAGCTGCATGCACGGTGGCCCTCATTAATTATCCCTGTCTCCGCTACAGAGGAGGCTCCTTGGGTGTCCACCTTCTGGGCCAAAAGGGCTGGCCAGGGAAGGATCTTGGGGCCTAGGCACGCCAGCTCCTGCCTGGGAGATACAGCACCTGGTGGCTGGCCCTGCCCCAGGACGTCACTCCCGGCGCTAGGGCCCTGGAACTCCGTCCTTCCGGCGCTCAGCCTTCTCAGTCTCCTTGCCCTCCGCCTCCTCCCGCCCCAGGTCAAATCTTAGACCTCCTTTTCACAATGGATCCCAGGGTTCTGCACCCACGTGCCACCGCCCTCCTCCCCTCTTCCCCCAATCAGCCCCGCCGCTGCCTGGCGTCTCAGCAGCCCCCTGCTCCAAACTCGGACCCAACCCAGGGGTGGCAGGAGACAGGGGTAGGGGAGCGTAGTCTGAGGTGGGGAGAAGGCCGGGCCCCCGAGTCTCCTGCAAGAGGAATTAAAAACAGGGTCTCTAGAGTCGGACTGCTGGGGCTCAAATCAGATCTCCCTGTGTGTAACTTTGGGTAGCTGACTAACTCGGAGCCTCCGTTTCCCCATCTGGAAGGGGGAACACTCCCGGCGGCGCCCACACAGCCAGGTGGTGGAGAGGGTTAAGAGGGCCGCGTTCTGTAGAACAGCAGTAATGGTGGCCTTCCCGGCATCACCCTAGAGGGTACTTGGCGAGTCGCGAGCCCATCCCCCGCGCCACCATGCAGCTGCGCGGCCGGCGATCCGCGTGGGGAAGAGCCGGCCTGAGGCGCACGGAGGACCAGAGGCCCACGCGGCCGAGCCCGGGCGTAGGGCGAGTGTGCGGCGCAGCGGAAGCCGCCTGCAGCCCGGGGCCCTGCGAGGCGCGCGTCTCCGCCCTCCGACGGCGCCCGGGCCACCTTCCTCGTCTAGGCATCTCGCAGCGCGACCCAGAGCCCGCGGCGACTCTGGCCGCCGCAGACGCCCCCCGCCCCGCCCGAGCCGCGTCCCCGGCCGGCGCCGCGCACTCACCCAGAGCCCGCCGCAGTGGTGGCCTGGATGGAGCTGATACGTAGGCGGTTGGCCGTGTCCTTCAAGGCCTGCAGCTTCTGCTGGTCAGGCTTGTGGTAGCTCTCCATGGTGCGGCAGGCGGGGACCGGGCGCACACGCGGACACACAGAGATAGCGGCTGCTCCCGCGGCGACAGGCGGCTGCCGAGGCCGGGCGCGGGGCGGGGGCGCGTTAAGTCGCCGGGCGGGGCGGGGCGGGGATGGGAGAGGCGGGGCAGGGGGAGGAGGCGGGGCTCGGATCACCCCAGGCCTTCAGCCCCGCCCCGCCTGGGGCCGCCTCCTGCCCGCTCCCCTCCCCTAGGCGCTGGGCCGCTGCGGACTGCGAGGTTAGCAGTTAACCACACACACCAATAATAATAACATAACGAACAACTCAGGATTCGAGTCTGGGCTCCTGACTCGAAAGCCTCTCAGTCTCCCTCCTCCACACAGTCCTCCGTGGACTTGTCACGGCGAATCCCATTTTAGAGATGGACAAACTGAGGCTTGGCAAGGGCAATCAAGGTCACAAGGCTGGTGGGTGCCAGGCTTGGCCCCAGCCGACCAACCCCAGGCCCAAGAGACTGCAGGACTTAATTTTGAGACTGAGTTTCGCTGTTGTTGCCCAGGCTGGAGTGCAATGGCATGATCTTGGCTCACCACAACCTCCGCCTCCTGAGTTCAAGCAATTCTCCTGCCTCAGCCTCCCTAGTAGCTGGGATTACAAGCATGCGCCACCACACCTAGCTAATTTTGTATTTTTAGTAGAGACGGGGTTTCTCCATGTTGGTCAGGCTGATCTTGAACTCCCGACCTCAGGTGATCCGCCTCGGCCTCCCAAAGTGCTGGGGTTACAGGGGTGAGCCACCGCACCAGGCCCTATTTCTTTTTTCTAATAATTAAAAAACTTGTTTTTTCTTTGAGACGGGGTCACCCATGGTCACCCAGGCTGGAATGCAGTGGAGTGATTACAGCTGCCTGAAGCCTCAGCCTCCTGGGCTCAAGTGATCCTTCTGCCTCAGCCTCAAAAGTAGCTGGGACCATAGGTACACACTACCACGCCCGGCTAATTTTTGTATGTTTTGTAGAGATGGGGTTTTGCCACTTTACCCAGGCAGGTCTTGAACTCCTAGGCTCAAGCCATCTGCCCTCCTCTGCCTCCCAAAGTGCCGGATTATAGGTATGAGCCACCATGCCCAGCCACTCAGGGCTTTAGAGCCCTGCACAGGGGATGGGGATTATTGAAAATGAGAATAGGATAGTGGTAGCCATGACAATGCCAGGTGATGATAACTGAGAAATTACTAGGGGAAGATCCTTTACAAATTATTAGGGCCTAGAAACACTACTGACTTTTAGGGAGATTATTGGGTTTGCTTCCAGGTCTGTAGGGACAGGGGCACCCACCACTACTGTTATCAGACCCCATGGTTCCCAGAGGTATGAAGCTCCCCAGAGTGGGATTAGGGAGGGGACTTTCATCACAGACACTGTTTCATTCAATCTGCCCACCACACTTGGCCAGTGAGGTACATACTGCCTACAATGCCTATTTTACAGAGGAAGAAGCTCCATTTGACAGAGGAAAGATAAAGGCAAGACCCTCAAACGGATGGCTGGGCAGGGAGCTAAAACCCTGAGAGATCCAAGAGGCACCAGTGGCCGCCCTGTGTCCTCTGTGTCCTCCCTGCATTGCCCATACTCAGAGAGCTCTGGCTCATGAGGCGATTGACTGAATTTGAGTGAGTCCCCCAGCTCGCCTCCAGGTGCTCCTCTGCTGGCCTGACCCCCAGATGCCCAATCAGACCCTAAGTATGGCATCCCATAGCACCTGGCTCCTGCTGGCCCAGCCCGCAGAGGCTGGCCCTATGGTGTCTGGCTGGTGAGGGCTATGGGCTAGGATTGGAGGGGGGCCCCACAGTGTGCCACCCTCAGATGCCTGGCAGGTGCCACCTCTGCCCTCAAGCTGCTCACTGTCTGGAAAAAGGGCAAACCCTTGAAACCCTTTGAAAGCTCTGTGCCTTCCAACTCTGTGGCCCTTAGAGCAGTGGCTCCCTAAGGGAGTGGACTCCATTTCCCCATCTGCCTAATGGGACTCATCCTTATCACTCTGGTCTCTGACAATGGCACAGAACTCACCATGGCTCTGGGGACCTAGGAGTAATGGAAAGAAAATTGTCCCCTCCCCACCACCTGGAGCTCCAGGGACCTCAGGGAGGCTCTCTCTCCTCCTGGTGTTCCACATGAATGGGGCCTGTGATACTATGATATGCATATACAGGCCCCTGGCTTAGAACTGCCCCCAACCCTTGTTATACCACTGGGGTGCTTTAGACCTCAGGAGCAGACCCCAGAAACAGAGTCTCTCAGGCCTTCTCCTACCTTCCTTTCACCTGCTCCTTTCTCTCCCCATGGCAGGATCTTCTCCTGCCGGTCTGTCTTGGAGCTGGCCATAAGTAAGTTCTCTCACCTACCTCGTGTAATTGTAGGTCATTAGACCCCCATGAGAAGGGGTTCTGTCCCATACCCATGAGGAGGGAAGACCAGAGTGGGTGCAGAGTGATAAGGATGAGTCCCGTTAGGCAGATGGGGAAATTGAGGCCACTCCCTTAGGGAGCCACTGTCCTAAGGGCCACAGAGTTGGATGGCACAGAGTTTTCAAAAGGTTTCAAGAGTCTGCCCTTTTACCAGACAGTGAGCTTCACAGAGAGGTCAAGAAGAGTCAGGACACACAGGTCTTGCGGGGTTTCCCCACTCAGTCAGTTAGTATTAGATCATATACTTTTGGTCTAATCACATTTCCACAAGGTTGTCAATCATGTCTGTCCAATGAAATGTCCATGAAAGGCTCAAGAGGACAGGGTTCAGGAGCTTCTGGACAGCGGAACACGTGGAGGCTCACAGGAAGGTGAACAAGAACTCATCCACGTGCTGGGAGGGTGGAACATTCCAGCTCCATGGAGACAATGGCTCCTTCACTAGGGACCTTTCCAGGCCTCCGCCTATGTATCTCTTTGCCTAACTGTTTCTTTGTCTCCTTTAAAATATCCTTTGTAACTAACCGATAAATGTGCTTTCCTGAGTTTTGAGAGCTGCGCTAGCAAATTAATTGAACCCAAAGAGGGAGTGGTGGGAACCCCAACTTGAAGCTGGTCAGTCCCAATCTTGCGACTCATGGGAAGGAGGAGGTGCTCTTGGGGGACTGAATCCTTAACCTGTGGTTTCTGAGGCTATCTCCAGGTAATTAGCATCAGAATGGAATAGAGTTGGAGGACACCCAGCTGGTGTTGCTGCAGAATTGGTTGCTTGCTTGGTGCATGGGGAGAAACCCCCACACATTTGATCACAGGAGTCTTTTGTGTTAATTGTTGTGGTGTGAGAACAGAGGAAAAACAGAGTTTGAGTGTTTTCCCTTTCACAGGGCCCAAGGGTTCAGCCTTATTTCAAGAGCTCTTGGTCTTCCTGAAGGTCAGCTTCAGAACCAGAATCCTAGGCTAGCTGGAGGTGTTGCTAGCACCCAGTTTGTCCAGGGTGGTTCCCTTGTCCCCAGGTCCCAGGGTCTTTATTCGAACCCTCACGCCTCAGAAGTCACATGGCACTTGGAAGAAAGCCCTGGGATCCTGTCTGGCTTCCAGCTAACATCTGGCTCCCTGCTGCCCTCACACCCCATCCTCTCTCAGCCTCCTGTTCACCCTCCCCATGGCTGCCAGAGAAGTGTTCCTCCCCAGCTTAACTCCCATGTTGTTCTTCCTCCACCCTTTGGATATAATTCAGGTCCCCCAGCCCTACCCATCTCAGCCACACTGACCTCGCATTCCTTAAAAAATACCAAGCCCACTCCCTCCTAGAGGTTTTGCACAGGCTGCTCCCTGAGCCAGCAGAGCCCTTCCTGAGGCTCCTCACATGGCCTGGATCTAGAGCCATGCTGCCCATCACACTGCCTGTCTTGGTCTCTGCAGGGCTCTCTGCCTATCTGCATGATCTTTGGTCAGCTCCCGGAGAGCCGGAATACAATCTCTTGTCCCTGGCTCTATCCGCAGGGACTACAACTGGGTCTCATATACAATAGGGGCTCAATGAATGCCTGCAGAATGAAAGCATGAATGTCAAGTGATGTGCCTGAGGACACAGAGTCAGCAAGTGCCAGGGCTGCACCCAAGCCAAGAGGGCATCAGGGAGGCCTCAGGGGAGGGAATCTGGCCATTCAGACTGGTGTCCTTCATTCCGGCCTTTCCAGAAACCGAGACACAAAGGTGCTCTGTTGGAGGGTAGGAAGTGGCAGAAATGTCCTACTGCCGGCATCAGGTGCCAGCAGAGGCCACAGTGACCTGAGAGCAGAGCCACATTCTGGAATCTGAGCTGTCCCCCAGGACCCGTGCAGCACTAGGGAGAAGGTCACCCTTAGAGGAGCCAGAACAGTGTGAGTCCCCACGTAAGAGTCCCCCACAGCCACTCCCCAGGGATCTCCAGTATCACTAAAAGGGACCTGAGGGGGGTTGGGGTCCTGAGGGGTGCCATGCCACCCAGTATTGTTCCTGGGCAATGGCTTTGATCACCAAGGCAGTGCTGATGGATTGTACTGGCTGCCTAGAGTGGAATGTGAAGCAGAGAGTTCTGAATTGCCCTTCAGCCTGAAATGCCAGGACCGGTCTAGCCATACTGGGCAGGGGCACCTTGCATAAGAGACTGGCAGTGTCAGGAAGTCATGTCCCACCTCTTCATGTCCCCTGTACTTTGGGGACCCAGAGGGGGCTGCACTTGGGCCGGGCATGACGAATCCCAGATTGCAGGAACTGTTTGGCACACACACACACTGACACTCACAGACAATGCTCACACACCCTCTCACGTTTGTTGTTGTTAAGAGATAAGGTCTCATGCTATGTTGCCCAGGCTAGTTTTGAACTCCTGGGCTCAAGTGATCCTCTTGCCTCGGCCTCCCAAAGTGTTGGGATTACAGGCATGAGCCACTGCACCCGGCCCATAATACGTTGTTAATGGGGTAAAAGCAAGGTAGAGAACTGCAGATAGAGGGTGATCCTATTTCTGTCAAAAATAAATAAAAGCACACATGTGCCTTTGTGCACTTGTGCGCATGCTTGTAGGTGTGTGTAAGTTTACATGGGCATGCAGAGTCTGCAGGGACAGGTTCACAAACCGTGGGAGGCTTAGAGAGTGGGAATTGGGGACTTTCAGTTTTTTACCTACCCTTTTCTCTTTTGTTGGAATTTATTGGCAATGAACATGGTTGACTTTTTTTTTTTTTTTTTTTTTGAGACAAAGTCTTACTCTGTTATCCAGGCTGGAGTGCAGTGGCACGATCTTGGTTCACTGCAACCTCAGCTTCCTGGGTTCAAGCAATTCTCCTGCCTTAGCTTCCTGAGTAGCTGGGATTACAGGTGCCTGCCACCACATCCAGCTAAGTTTTGTATTTTTAGTAGAGACAGGGTTTCTCCATGTTGGCCAGGCTGGTCTCGAACTCATGGCTGCAGGTGATCTGCCCATCTTGGCCCCGCAAAGTGCTGCGATTACAGGCATGAGCCACTACACCCAGCTGATCAGAAAAAAAGCAAAATAGGCCGGGCGCAGTGGCTCACACCTGTAATCTCAGCACTTTGGGAGGCCAAGGCAGGTGGATCACTTGAGGTCAGGAGTTCCAGACCAGCCTGACCAACATGGTGAAACCCTGTCTCCACTAAAAATACAAAAATTAGCTAGTGAAGTTATGGGCAGGTTGCATTTTTGTGAACACACATTTTCTCTTGGTTTCCTATGATTATGTAAAGCTGCTCCCATGTTTCATAAGCCAGGCTGCTGCCCTGGATGTTTTTGGGTTGGGAGCAAACCCCCAGGCAGTGGGAGCTTGATGGTGCCTCTCCTGTCCTTGCTTTGCTATCCACATAAAACTTAGGGCAACGCCATCCTGATGTGCTCCTGCACGTTCACTGAGCAGGCACTGATGAGGCATGAATGGGCCCTGGGCAGCTGCATTCCTGAGTGACAGCACTGGACATTGCTTTGGCAGGGCTGGGCCCACATGTGTGCTCCTGGGGCATGCCTGGGCCAGCCTCTGGGAGCCCCAAATCAGCACAGGGCTTGCAATGGAGCCAACATCCAGCTCTGGGTCCTCAGGACACTGTTTTTGACTCATATCCAAGGCTGGCCACCTTCAGGGGCCTGGGAGGAGTCCTCGTGGAGTGAGTGTCCAGCTCGTGCCCTCCTGTGCCGAGTAGACAGCCTTGCTCCTGAGTACCCAAAAGAGGCATGTAGGTTGACTGAGTTTTAATACATTTATCTCTCCTCCCAATGCCTGAAATTTCCTTTGGGAGGCATTTTTGGGGAAATGCCTCTTTCGATAATGTAGCTCCCATTTGAGAACACAAATGTTTCAACTCATTCACAGAATGTCTCAGTTCTCTTGTACTCAATTTATTCTTGTTTTTTAAAAACATTCAATTTCTTCTTCTTCTTCTTCCTCTTCCTCTTCCTCTTCCTCTTCTTCTTCTTCTTCTTCTCCTTCTCCTTCTTCTCCTTCTTCCCTCTTCCCTCTTCCTCCTCCTCCTCCTTCTTTTTTTGAGACAGAGTCTAGCTCCGTCCTCCAGGCTAGAGTGTAGTGGCACAATCTCAGCTCACTGTAACCTCCGCCTCCCGGGTTCAAGCGATTTTTGTGCTTCAGTCTCCTGAGTAGCTGGGCCTACAGGCATGTGCCACTGGGCCCAGCTATTTTTTTTTTTTTTTTTTTTGAGACAGAGTCTCGCTCTGTCACCTAGGCTGGAGTGCAGTGGCACGATTTCAGCTCACTGCAACCTCAGCCTCCCAGGTTCAAGCAATTCTCCTGCCTCAGCCTCCCGAGTAGCTGGGATTACAGGCACACACCACCGTGCCCAGCTAATTTTTGTATTTTTAGTAGAGACAGGGTTTCACTATGTTAGCCAGGCTGGTCTGGAACTCCTGACCTCATGATCTGCCCGCCTGGGCCTCCCAAAGCACTGAGATTACAGGCATACACCACTGTGGCCAGCCTATTTCTGTATTTTTAGTAAAGATGGGATTTTGCCCTGTTGGCCAGGCTGATCTTGAACTCCTGACCTCAGGTGATCCACCAGCCTTGGCCTCCCAAAGTGCTGGGATTACAGGTGTGAGCCACTGTGCCCGGCCTAAAAACACTCAATTTCTGATTATCGAAGTAAAACATAGTCATCGGAAAAACTTTAAAAGTACAGAATTTTTTTTTTTTTTTCTGACTGGGTCTTGCTTTTGCCTAGGCTGGAGTACAGTGGCACAATCTTGGCTCACTGCAACCTCTGTCTCCTGGGCTCAAAGGGATTCTCCCACCTCAGCCTCCTGAGTAGCTGAGACTATAGGCATGCACCATCATGCCTGACTAATTTTTAGTATTTTTGGTAGAGATGGGGTTTTGCCATGTTGCCCAGGCTGGTTTCGAACTCCTGGGCTCAAGCGACCCACCCACCTCAATTTCCCAAAGTGCTGGGATTACGGGCGTGAGCCACCATACTTGGCCCAGAAAATTTCAAAGTAAACTAAAATCATGGACTATTCCACTCAAAGGGGACTACTGTTAAAGTTGCTTGCTCATTTGACAAATATTGATTTATTATATATAATTGTTATGAAGAAAATAGGCCGGGCACAGTGACTCACACACACCTGTAGCACATTGGGAGGCTAAGGCAGGAAGATTGCTTGAGTCCAGGAGCATGAGACAAGCCTGCACAACATGGTGATACCCTGTCTCTACAAACTAAAAATTTAAAAATTAGGCTGAGCACGGTGGCTCACGTCTGTAATCCCAGCACTTTGGGAGGCCGAGGCGGGCAGATCACCTGAGGTCAGGAGTTCCAGACCAGCCCGGCTAACATGGTGAAACCCCATCTCTACTAAAAATACAAAAATTAGCTGGGTGTGGTGGTGCACACCTGTAGTCCCAGCTACTCAGGAGGCTGAGGCAGGAGAATTGCTTGAACCCAGGAGGCAGAGGTTGCAGTGAGCCTAGATCGTGCCCCTGCACTCCAGCCTAGGCAACAGGGCGAGACTCCATTTAAAAAAAAAAAAAATTAAAAATTAGCCGGGCATGGTGGCCTGTACCTGTAGTCCCAGCTACTCAGGAAGCTGAGGTGGGAGGCTTGTTTAAGCCCAGGAGTTCGAGGCTGCAGTGAGCCATGATTGAGCCAGTGCATTCTAGCCTTGGTGACAGAGCCAGATCTTGTCTCAAAAGTAAATAAATAAATACAATAGGGTCAGGGTCAGGGGTCAGGGGCTGGATATACACTTCAGGTTGTCAGGCAAGGCTGAAGACAGTCATTGCTCAGTATGTTTGCTATTGTGAATTCCTTGTTTTAAAAAATACATTGTCGGCTAGATGCAGTGGCTCATGCCTATAATCCCAGCACTTTGGGAGGCTGAGGTGGACGGATCATCTGAGGTCAGGAGTTTGAGACCAGCCTGGCCAACATGGCGAAACCCCATCTCTACTAAAAAATACAAAAATTAGTTGGGTGTGGTGGGGGGCGCCTGTAATCCCAGCTACTCAGGAAGCTGTGCGTGTGCCTGTAATCCCAGCTACTCGGCAGGCTGAGGCAGGAGAATTGCTTGAACCTGGCGGGTGGAAGTTGCAGCGAGCCGAGATCGCGCCACTTCGCTCCAGCCTGGGCGAAAGAGTGAAACTCCGTCACAAAAAAAAAAAAAAAAAAAAAAATCCATTGTCAGGATCATGTAAAACCATTTTCCCCCTATATTTTCTCATTAGCATTTCAAAATGCTTCGAAGAAATCATTTTTACTAGCTGTGCATTGTCCCATCATAGGGCCGTGTCCTCATCTATTAACCATCCCTTAGGGCTGAACGCTCAGACCCCTTCCAGCTGTTAATCATTGGGTATTGCCCTGCAGTTAACATTTTCGTGCCTAAATCTTGTCCTCCTGGTGAGTTATTTCCTGAACCAGAGTCCTCAGCAGGTGTTGAGAGGAAGGTGGCAGTTTTGCCAGAGATCTGGGTACATATTTGGCTGAGGGCTGGCCAGAAAGCCTGGTTCTGCCACTCATCACCTTTGCTTCCAATTGGCAAGGTCCCATTGTGGGATTGACAGAGTGAGAGGAGAGAGGGAGCCCGAAACCTGCATGGCCTTCAGTGGAGCCCTTTCTCCAGTCCTGTTTCTCACATCTGTAAGAGAGGCTTATTCTTGCTACATGCAGAGGTTGAATTCTCCCCTTGTGCCAGGCCCTGTGTGCCGAGTCAGAGCCCCTTGGGGCCATTTTCTGTCTGGGAAAAGCAGATCCAGCTAGGTTTAGTAGGGCTGGAAGACTTCTGATAGTTTTCAGGTCATAGACCCATAAACTTTTCTGGGCAATTACGTGTAGGGGGTGGGAGTGTATTGGACCCCTCTGGCCAGTAGCAAAGGGAAGTGCAATGAGAGGAGAGAATTCTGAGATGAGTTTTGCAAATCACTTTCACCACGATGTCCGCAAACTCCAGGGTCCTGGGACTGGGCAAGAGCCCCATGAGAGGGAGACAAAGGGGAGGAAAGGGAGTCTGGAGACAGGAGAAAAACGCACCAGCTCCTCGACTTTGCTGGGAGCCAGCCCACCCAAGTACACATGACTTTCCCCTCTTTTTCCTTTCACATTTATTGCCTCTCTCTGTCTCTCTCTCTCTCTCTTTTTTTTTTTTTTTTTGAGACAGGGTCTTACTCTGTTGTCTAAGCTGGAGTGCAGTGGCACAATCTCAGCTCATTGCAACCTCCACCTCCCGGGTTCAAGTGATCCTCCTACCTCAGCCTCCCGAGTAGCTGGGACCACAGGTGTGTGCCATCATGCCCTACTAATTATTTTGTAGAGATGGGGTTTTGCTGTGTTGCCCAGGCTGGTCCCAAACTCCTGGGTTCAAGCAATCCACCCACCTCGGACTCCCAAAGTGCTGGGATTATAGGTATGAGCCACTGTACCTAGCCTCTTTTTTTTTTTTCTTAATCACATTTTTTATCTCATTTTGAGATAAAATGAACACACCGTGAAATCTACCCTCCCTTAAAAGTGTATAATTCAATGATTTTTGGTGTTGAGGGATAGAGAAAATAAATTAATTTTTTTTTTTTAATTCTCATATAGTCACTACAACACAGAACACTTCTGTGGTCCCTGGTCACCAAAATATGTGAGGATTTCTCCCCATCAAGCAATCCTGCAGTGGACACCAGCTGTGTGTCCTCTAATTCAACTCAATTCTGACACTATCTGGAGATAGTGTCAGATCCCACAGACTGAGGGCTCAGGTCCGTAAGACTGTCCCCTACTTCAGATGCCAATCACAGGTCTTGGCCTCTGCAACTTCTGAGGAACTTACTATAAATTGAGGTTCCCAAGATCCCGTCCCTGGTTCAATTAACTTGCTAGAGTGGCTCACAGAACTCAGGGAAACATTTTACTTATAATGACCCGTTTATTATAAAGGATATTACAAAGGAATCAGAGAAATAGCCAGATGAAGAGACAGATAGGGTGAGGTATGCGGGGAGAGGGAGCTGAAAGTTCCAGACCTCTAATCCTCTAATTACTTGGTCTTTCTGGTGACTGCCCCATCCCGAGCCTATCTAGAGGCCTCACCCCAAGTCACTGTGTTAGCATAAACGCAGGTGTGATCAAAGAGTGGCTTATGAGTAACAAAAGACATGCCTTCTGCTAAGCAAATTCCAAGGGTTTTCAGCCCTGTGACAGGAACTAGGGACAAATACTAAATATATTTCATCAAGATATGGAAGCAGGCTGGGTGTAGTGGCTCATGCCTGTAATCCCAGCACTTTGGGAGGCAGAGGCAGGCAGATCACTTGAGGCCAGGAGTTCAAGACCAGCCTGGCCAACATGGCAAAAACCCATCTCTACTAAAAATATAAAAATTAGTTGAGTGTGGTGGCGCGTGCCTGTAATCCCAGCTACTCGGGAGGCTGAGGCATGAGAATCGCTTAAGCCTGGGAGGCAGAGGTTGCAGTGAGCCAAGATCGTGCCACTGCATTCCAGCCTGGGTGACAGAGCAAGACTTTCTCTCAAAAAAAGGAAAAAAAAAAAAAAAGATATGGAAGTAACCTAAGCATCCACCAAAGGATGAAAGGATAAAGAAAATTTGGGCTGGGCATGGTGGCTTATGCCTGTAATCCCATTACTCTGGAGGCCGAGGCGGGCAGATCATGAGGTCAGGAGTTCGAGACTAGCCTGGCCAACATAGTGAAACCCTGTCTCTACTAAAAACACAAAAAGTAGCCAGGCGTGATGGCACACGCCTGTAGTCCCAGCTACTCAGGAGGCTGAGGTGGGAGAATTGCTTGAATCCGGGAGGCAGAGGTTGCAGTGAGCCGAGACCATACCATTGCACTCCAGCCTGGGTGACAGAGCGAGACTCCGTCTCAAAAAAAAAAAAAAAAAAAAAAAAAATTAGCCAAGTGTCTACTCCAGGGGCTGAGGTGGGAGAATTGCTTGAGCCCAGTAGTTCGAGGCTGCAATGAGCTATGATTGTGCCACTGCACTCTAGCTTGGGTGACAGATCAAGATTCTGTCTCTTAAAAAATAATAATTAGGCCGGGCGTGGTGGCTCACACCTCTAATCCCAGCACTTTGGGAGGTTGAGGCAGGCAGATTGCCTGAGCCGAGGAGTTCAAGACCAGCCTGGGCAACATGGTGAAACCCTGTCTCTACTAAAAATACGAAAAAAATTAGCCGGGTGTGGCAGTGCGTGCTCCTGTAGTCCCAGCTACTTGGGAGGCTGAGGCAGGAGAATCACTTGAACCCGGGAGGCGGAGGTTGCAGTGAGCCGAGATCACGCCACTGCACTCCAGCCTGGGCGACAGAGCAAGACTCCGTCTCCAAAAATATATATATATAAAATAAAAATAAAAAATCTTTAAAAATTAAACAAATCTAAAAAGACCAAATATATTTTGTATTATACCATAGGTATATTCACAGATTGTGCAGCTTGTGCACTTCTAAGCACTACCTAATTTTAGAACTTATTCTTTTTTTTTTTTTTTTGAGACAGGGTCTCTCTGTTGCCCAGGCTGGAGTACAGTGACTCACCATAGCCTTGACCTCCTGGGCTTAAACCATCCTCCCACCTCAGCCTCCAGAGTTGCTGACAGCAAAGGTGTGAGCCACCATGCCCAGCCAGTTTTTTTTATTATTTGTAGAAACAGGGTGTCCCTATGTTGCCCAGACTTGACTTGAACTCCTGCACTCAAGTGATTCTTTGGCCTCAGCCTCTCAAAATGCTTGGATTACAGATGTAAGCCACCACACCTGGCCTAGTTTTAGAACATTTTTACCACCCAGAAAAAGAGACCTGTACTCATTGATAGTTCCCTATTTTTCCCTCTTCCTCATTCCAGGCAACCAGGAATCTACTTGTGGTCTCTATGGATTTGCCTATTCTGGATATTTCATATAAATGGCACCATTGCAATTTGTGATCTTTGTGTCTGACTTCTTTCACTCAGTGTGATGTTTTCAAGGTTCATCCGCCTTGTCGCTTGTATTAGTACTTTATTCCTTTTGTTGATAAATAATTTTCCATCCTGTGGATATGCCACAATATTCCTACCCATTCATCAGTTCACGGACATTTGGTTTTTTTCCACTTCTTTGCTATTATGAATAATGCTGCTTTGAATGGTGATATAAACATTTTTTTGTGGACCTGTGTTTTCAGTTATCTTGGGTATATGCACAGGAATGGAATTGCTGGGTCATACAGCAATTCTACAAACGGTCATCTAACCATTTGAGGAACTGCCAAACTATTTTCCAAAGTGGCCCCACCATTTTACAGTTTCACCAGTGATGAATGAGGGTTCCAGTTTCTCCATGACTTTGTCTACAGTTGTTGTTGTATTTTTTTTTTTTTTTTTTGAGATGGAGCCTTGCTCTGTAACCCAGGCTGGAGTGCAGTGGCGCAATCTTGGCTCACTGCAACCTCTGCCTCCTGGGTTCAAGCGATTCTCCTGCCTCAGCCTCCTGAGAGTAGCTGGGACTATAGGCACCCACCACCATGCCCAGCTAATTTTTTTGTATTTTTAGTGGAGACAGGGTTTCACCATATTGGCCAGACTGGTCTCAAGCTCCTGACCTTGTGATCTGCCCGCCTCAGCCTTCCAAAGTTCTGGAATTATAAGCGTGAGCACCACGTCCGGCCTGTTGTTGTATCTTTTTTACCTGAAGCATCCTAGTGGGTGCAAAGTGTTACCTCATTACGGTGGTTTTGTCACTTATTGCTTTTTAAAAAATATTATACAAGTAACACATATTCCATGTAGAAAATTTGGAAATTTAACAAAAATACTGTGATGGTCAGTTTTATGTGTCAATTTGGCTAGACTAGTACCCAGTTATTCAATCACACACTAACCTAGGTGTTTCTTTTATTTATTTATTTAGAGGCGGAGTCTCGCTCAGTCACCAAGGCCAGAGTGCAGTGGTGCAATCTCGGCTCATTGCAACCTCCGCCTTCTGTGTTCAAGTGATTCTCCTGCCTCAGCCTCCCAGTAGCTGGGATTACAGGTGCCCACCACCACGCCCGGCTAATTTTTTTGAATTTTTAATAGAGACGGAGTTTCACCATGTTGGCCAGGCTGGTCTCAAACTCCTGACCTCGTGATCCACCCACCTTGGCCTCCCAAAGTGCGTGGATGACAGGCGTGAGCCATTGCGCCTGGCCCAATATTTTATTTTACTCATTTTTTTTTTGGAGTTGGAGTCTCACTCTGTCACCCAAGCTGGAGTGTAGGGGCGCAATCTCGGCTCACTGCACAAACTCTGCATCCCAGGTTCAAGTGATTCTCCTGTCTCAGCCTTTCAAGTAGCTGGTACACAGGCGTGTGCCACCATACCTGGCTAATTTTTGTATTTTTAGTATAGACGGGTTTTTGTCATGTTGGCCAGGCTGATCTTGAACTCCTGACCTCAGGTGATCCGCCTGTCTGCATCAATATTTTAAATAAAGATGTTAATGCTCCACAGGTTGTGCGTCTTTCCCCACGTGAGTCCACATTCTTTTCTACCCTAGGATTACTACTGGCACAGAGGAAGTTGAACCACTGTCCCCCTTTGGTTGGATGTTTGCAATACTTCTGCTTTTATACTGCAACAAACAATACTTGTGCTTTCCCTCCATCTAGCACTGTGCCTCCAGGAGAGAGGGTTTTTTTCTGGTCGCCCCTGCAGACATGACCCTGCTTGTCCCTGGCCAATCCCAGGGCCAGACTGGATTGTTGGCCCTCTGACTCACCCTAGAAGGCCTGGGGCTGGAGAGGCCTGGAACTCCTCGGAGGTAAGTGCCAGTGTGAGGCCAGCCAAGCCCTGCCGGGCCTGCTTTCCTTGTGCATAAAGAAAACATGCCGAGTCATTGTGACTTGCACTTTTTGACTAGTGCGGTCAGGCTCTGTGTGGCACTGCCGTAGGCCTGGGTACCTCCTAGTGTGAGGAGCAGGAGCTGCTTTCCAGCAACGCCCTACAGCCCCTGTCAACTCCTGCCCAGGGGCGCTGGACAGGCTGGGCTGGGCAGGGGCGGTGCTGGTGACAGACAGGACACTCTTAGGGGCTCCTCCTGCACAGTCTGCAGGACGCAGTAGGGAGAGATCTTCATCCTTGTCCCCTTTTCTGGTACCTCTTGGGTTTCCCTGAGCAAGGCTGGGGTGGTGGAAGGAGCTATTTTGTTCCAGTGGGTATTAAATATTAAAGCTTTTGTTTTGTGTCGTGGGGAGGTTAAGTGGATTTTCTCCTGGGCTGGTTGTTGAACAGCTGAGAGTGAAACTGGCTTCTTAGAGTAGGACTAAAAAGCTCCAGAGAGTGGCTCACAGAGGGGTTGCTTAACCACTGTGAGCCACAGCTCCTCCTGGAAAACCTGAAACCATCAGGAGCACTTCCCTTGTAAGGTCACCTGAGAAAGTGAGTGAGGAGATATCTCACTTCCCAAACCAGGGTTCTTTGGCCCCCAGACACATGACTTTTACTCTCTCTCTTCCCATCCTTGCCTCCAGAATTAGCAAGGGCACCCAGTCAGCCATCCTGTTCTAGTGACTTGGACAAGGCATCAGAAAAGCATTTGTTAGGCCAGGTGCGGTGGCTCACGCCTGTAATTCCAGCACTTTGGGAGGCCGAGGTGTGCGGATCACAAGGTCAGGAGTTCGAGACCAGTCTGGCCAATATGGTGAAACCCCGTCTCTACTAAAAATACAAAAATTAGCTGGGCGTGGTAGTGGGTGCCTGTAGTTCCAGTTACTTGGGAGGCTGAGACAGGAGAATCGCTTGAACCTGGGAGGTGGAGGTTGCAGTGAGCCAAGATGGCGCCACTGCACTCCAGCCTGGGCAACAGAGCAAGACTCCATCACCAAAAAAAAAAAAAGCGTTTGTTCCATGCTACTGTGCAAAAAGAAAAGTGCTGCTGCTGGCTATCTGGTCAGGGCAGGGAAGTGGTTTTGCCATCACTGGTCCTCTGATTTCACTCAACACTTCATTTACCAGGGTCTATGTGTTGGGCACAGGTGCTGGATGCCCCAGCAGCACGTGTTTATACCGCACTGTCCAGTGATTTGTACAAACAATTGCCTGCTGAGGTTGTTGATCTGGGAAGGCGCCAAGGAGGGGGTGACAGCCAGTTTTGAAATAACAGAATTTTCTGCAACAAAACTGTGTCTGTGTCTAGCTGGCATGGGTGAAGAGGGGATTGAGGAAATACATTCATTTCAATATGTATTCTTTTTATGTTAATTTAATTTTATTTTTGTAGAGACAAGCTTTCACCATGTGGGCCAGGCTGGTCTCAAACTCATGACCTCAAGTGATCCGCCTGCCTCAGCCTCCCAAAGTGCTGGGATTACCGGCGTGAGCCACCGCGCCTGGCCGACTCTTTTTTTTTTTCGAGACCCAAGCTGGAGTGCAGTGGTGTGAACACAGATCACTGCAGCCTTGACCTCCTGGGCTTAAGTGATCCTCCCACCTCAGCCTCCCGAGTAGCTGGGACTATACGTGCATGCCACCACATCTGGCTTTGTGTGTGTGTGTGTGTGTGTGTGTGTGTGTGTGTGTGTGTGTATGTTTGGTAGAGATGGGTTTTGCCATGTTGCCCAGGCTGGTCTTAAACTCCTGAGCTCAAGTGATTCACCCACCTCTGCCTCCCAAAGTGCTGGGATTACAGGCGTGAGCCACTGTGGCTGGCTCCTCCACAGATGTTATGTGGGAGAGTAGCATGCTTTTCAGCGATGTATGGAGAGGTTTCAGAGGGAAGACCGGAGGTCCTCTATGGGGTATTTTGGGAATTTGTGTACCTGTGTACCTGTGCCCAAGCATTTCCATATTAAAACAGAGTCTTTCTATGCTGCCCATGCTAGACTTGAACTTTTGGGCTCAAGCAATCCTCCTGCCTCAGCCTCCTGAGTAGCTGGGACTACAGGTGTGCCCCATACATATTTAATATGAAACATTTCATTATTAACGTTTCTCCTTTATATTACAATTAGAGAATATTATTTTAAAATTGTGTGTACAAAAAATCATTTCAAAAATTCTTTTTTTTTTTTTTTTTTTTTTGAGACAGAGTCTTGTTCTGTCACCCAGGCTGGAATGCAGTAGTATGATCTTGGCTCACTGCAACCTCTGCCTCCTGGGTTCAAGCAATTCTTTTTCCTCAGCCTCCCTAGTAGCTGGGATTACAGGCGCCCACCACTAAGCCCAGCTAATTTTTGTATTTTTAGTCGAGATGGGGTTTCACCATGTTGGCCAGGCTGGTCTCAAACTCCTGACCTCAGGTGATCCACCGGCCTTGGCCTCCCAAAGTGCTGGGATTACAGGCGTGAGCCACCCTGCCTGGCCAAGCCTTTTTATTTTTACTTTGCTCTGTTGCCCAGGCTGGAGTGCAGTGGGCTCAAGTGATCCTCCCCTCTCGGCCTCCTGAAGTACTGGGATTGTAGGCATGAGCCACCATGGCTGACTGTTTTGTTTTTTGTAAAGAAAAAAAAAATGAAAGGAAAAAAATAGAAGCTCCTTCTTACAAAAGATCTGTTTTACAAAAGAAGAAATTGTGTGTATAGCCATAAGTTATATTATCTATGAATTCCAGGTTAAGATAGCAAAGAAGGATTTATAAAATATTTTTTAAAAAGAGTGGAGGTGTCCAGTGGAGCTGAGGCCTCTTGTGCAGGACCCACATTAAATGGGAGCGATGGTCCGCACACCATGGCCAGGGTCCCCTTCCCATCTGAGGGCCGGGCTGGAGGGCGTCAGACAGAAGTTAGGGAAGCCTCTCAGTGCCAGCGAGATGGGGAGAGCATGCTAGAAAGCTCTATTCAGGGAAGGACACCTGGCCTGGAAGGGGCAGACTCTGAGGGGCAGGGACACGTCAGAGACACAGCAAAATGGGGCTTGTGTAGCAAAACTGTGTAGGGGCCCAGACTTTGCACCTGCTTCAGAAGCCAGAGCTCCACTGCCGACTCAGAGACACCACAGAAGATGGGAAGCGGCCTGCAGAGGGTGCCTCCTAGAGCTTCCCTGGGACTCAGGCAAGGCCAGAACCACCGTTCTGGGGTGACTGGGACCTGGTAGGAAAACAGCTGCCCTGTGGATCATGGCGACCTTCCCGGCTCCACATTCTGGGCCTGGGGCCATCTGGGGCCCCTTCAGACTAAAGGACTGACATCCGTCCTGCCACAACCAATGCTCCTGTCCCTTCCTGGGGTGACAGGAAGTTGGTGTTGTGTGTGTGTGCACGTGTGCACAGGTGTGCACTGTGGCCCTTCTGGGAGGCTACACTCGGAATAAGCTCTGCCTCTCGGGGGAGGCATCAATGAGAATGTACTGACTTAGTCTGTGTTGCTATAAAGGAACACCTGAGGCTGGGGAATTAATAAACAAGAGGGGCTTGTTGGACTCACAGTTCTGCAGACTGTGCCAGAAGCATGGAGCCAGCATCTGCTTCCGGCAAGGACCTCAGGAAGCTTCCACTCATGGCAGAAGGGGAAGGGGAGCTGGTGGTCCGTGCAGATCGCAGGGTAAGGGGGAGGCAAGAGAGAGGAGAGGAGGTGCCAGGCTCCTTTTAACAACCAATTCTCGGCCCGGTACAGTGGCTCACACCTGTAATCCCAGCACTTTGGGAGGCCAAGGTGGATGGATTGCTTGAGGTCAGAAGTTTGAAACCGGTGTGGCCAACATGATGTAAATCCGTCTCTACTAAAAATACAAAAATCAGCCTGGCATGGTGGTGTGCACCTGTAATTCCAGCTACTTGAGAGGCTGAGGCAGGAGAATTGCTTGAACCTGGGAGGTATGGTTGCAGTGAACCGAGATCGCGCCACTGCACTCCAGCCTGGGCAACAGAGTGAGGCTCTGTCTCAAACAAAACAAAACAAAACAAAAACAAAAACAAAAACAAAAAGCAAAAAACCCCAAAAAACAAAACAAAAAAAACCAAACCAAAAAACCTATCAATTCTCCTGAGAACTAACAGTAAGGACTCACTCACTGCCACGAGAAAGGCAGGAAGCCATTCATGTGGGATCCACTCCTGGGGTCCAAACACCTCCCACCAGGACCCACCTCCAACATCAAGATCACATTTCAACATCAGATTTGGAGGGGACAAACATGACAAATGTCAGCTTATGATTTCTTGTGGAATTGCACTTCAAATTTATTCAGACTCATCTGAAATAAATGTTGGTTGAACATGATGTGACTGTCACATTGACTTTGCATCACCTCTCCCCCAGCCATTCCATCTCTGCTGGTTATAAGAAATCTCTTACTAGCAGTCGTTTAATTGTTGTTTACTTTAAAAGTCGCTTACTTTAAAAGTCGTTTACTTTATCTTAGTTTATTTTTTAGAGATAGAGTCTTGCTCTGTTGCCCAGGCTGGAGTGCAGTGGCACAATCGTAGCTCACTGCAGCTCCTAGGCTCAAGTGATCCTCCCACCTCAGTGTCTAGAGTAGGTGAGACCACAGGCACATACCACCCACACCTGGCTGATTTTTAAATTTATTTTGTATAAGGGGTGGGGATGTTGCAATATTGCCCAGGTCAATCTTGAACCCCTGGGGTCAAATGATCCTCTCACCTTCGCCTCCCAAAGTGCTAGGATTACAGGTGTGAGCCACCTGTGTCCAGCCTAGCTGTCTTTACTTTTGGCTAATGTAGCCTGGTGAACCTGAAGAGACATGCAAGGTGCATAAGGCTCTCATGGGCTGGGAGCCCCATGGCATAGGCTCAGCATGGGTTCCTTATACCTCTGTGTGAGTGTGGCAGCTATCTTCTTACCTAAAACTCCATTCAGCAAACTCTAAGAGGTTTAGAATCTTGAATTGATCTAAGCCCTTTAGAAAGCTCTTAGGACTCTTCATATTACATGTAATAGGTAGCCAGTTCATACTGCGTCAAACATGGAAGTGGAGGGTGAGCTTCAAGCTTGGTTTGATTCTGTGACTGGGTATTTCTTGCTGTTGCTTCCTTCTGTCTTCATCTGATGGTGGGCTTCCTGCTCATCGACAGCCTGGCTGCACCACTTCCCGCCTCTCCTCTGGTGAGAGAGACTGTCTGGGTCCTGACAGCTGAGACAAACATTACTTTTCAGAAGACTCAACGAGCTGTTATTCATACACTTCTTATTGAAAGATCAGATTTTTTATAGCAACACCTAATCTATGAACAAGGACCCATAAACAGTGAGGGAAAATGTCTTTAGAGACAACCAAGAAATCTCAAACCCATCTGTTCAATTTAAAGAGGAAACTCTACAGCTCTTATTCAGGACCTGTTGACTTAAGCTTTTCACAAAATTCCAATGAACTTGGTTACCTGGCTTCCTAGAACTTGACAGGTGAAAAGCAGCAGGTGAGAAGCTTTTAATAAACAGCAGTAACGTGAATGACCTCAGACACTATGAAAAGCCTCAAGGATAATTTATCACTTAGGCAACGGAGTCAAGAAAGGAATTCCGGCCGGGCGCAGTGGCTCTCGCCTGTAATTCCAGCACTTTCGGAGACCGAGGCGGGTGGATTACCTGAGGACAGGAGTTCAAGACCAGTCTGGCCAACATGGTGAAACCCTGTCTCTACTAAAAATTAAAAAAAAAAAAAAAAAAAGTAGCCAGGCATGGTGGCATGTGCTTGTAGTCCCAGCTACGTGGGCGGCTGAGGCAGAATTGCTTGAATCTGGGAGATGGAGGTTGCAGTGAGCCGAGATCGCACCACTGCACTCCAGCCTGGGTGACAGAGTGAGACTCTCTCTCTCAAAAAAAAAGAGAATTCTAGAGTACCTCTCCAGGCTGCTTAGTTCAGGTCCTTGACCACCTCTGCTTAATATGCAACCTTTGGCACAGACTCAGACTCAGTCACTCTCAGCTTCAATGTCCTTCTCCTAACATGGGTTATTGTGAAGATCAGGAAAATAATCAACAGCAATTCTTTAATATTTTTTTTTTTGAGATGGAGTTTCACTCTTGTTGCCCAGGCTGGAGTGCAATGGCGCGACCTTGGCTCACCGCAACCTCCACCTCCCAGGTTCAAGTGATTCTTCTGCCTCAGCCTCCCGAGTAGCTGGGATTACAGGCTTGCGCCACCACACCTGGTTAATTTTGTATTTTTAGTAGAGACAGGGTTTCTCCATGTTGGTCAGGCTGGTTGCGAACTCCCAACCTCAGGTGATCCGCCTGCCTTGGCGTCCCAAAGTGCTGGGATTATAGGCGGGAGCCACTGTGCTCGGCCATGCTAAAAAAAATTTTTTTCCCCCTAGCTACTGGGGAGGCTGAGGCACGAGAATCACTTGAGCCCGAGAAGTGAAGATTGCAGTGATCAGAAACCACGCCACTGCACTCCAGTCTGGGCGACAGAGCTAAAAAAAAAATGAGGCAGGGTCTGGCTCTGTCACCCAGGCTGGAGTGCAGTGGCGCGATCTCGGCTTACTGCAACCTCTGCCTCTCAGGTTCAAGCAGTCGTCCCTCCTCAGCATCACAAGTAGCTGGGACCACAGGCGCCCATCACCACACCCAGCTAATTTTTTGTATTTTTTTGTAGAGACAGGGTTTTGCTATGTTGCCTAGGCTGGTCTTGAACTCCTGGGCCCGACCAATCCACCTGCCTCAACCTCCCAAAGTGCTGGGATTACAGGCATGAGCCAGTGGAGTAGAATGGCACAATCTCGGGTCACTACAACCTCCAACTCCCAGGTTCAAGTGATTCTCCTGCCTCAGCCTCCCAAGTAGCTGGGATTACAGGCATGTGCCACCACGCCTGGCTAATTTTTTGTATTTTTAGTAGAGACGGGGTTTCACCATGTTGGCCAGGCTGGTCTCGAACTCCTGACCTTAGGTGATCCATCCGCCTCAGCCTCCCAAAGTGCTGGGATTACAGGTGTGAGCCACCACACCCACCTGGACAGCAATTCTTATAAAGTGTTGAATGAATGAGCATGCAGCATTAATGATGACTGAGGGGGGTGTGTGTGTAACAGTCATACAGCAAGAGTTAGCTCAAAGACAGGCAAATACAGCAAACATTTTAGGGAGAATTTATACTAAATTGTCACCAATGATTACACTATTATATGATAACTATTATTAGAGAGATGTCTGATTAAACCTTTTTTTTTTTTTTTGCTGGGCAGGGTGGCTCATGCCTGTAATCTCAGCACTTTAGGAGGCCAAGGTGGGCAGATTGCTTAAGCCCAGGAGTTCAAGATCAGCCTGGGCAACAGAACCAGACCTTGTCTCTGCTAAAAATAAGGCTGCAGTAAGCCAGGATTGCATCTTTGCACTCCAGCCTGGGTGAGAGAGTGAGACCCTGAGACCCTCACTCAACAAACAAACAAACAAACACAAAAACCAAACCAGAAAAACAAAAAACCCACCTTTTTTCATTTAAACTTTTCTCTATTTTCTATAATAATTATGCTTTACTTCCCTCCGTCCCTCCCCTCTTCTTTTCTTCATTATCATCCTAGATGCCCAGCACATCATAAGAGCTTAAGACACATGAATTGATTGAATCTGGGAAATGATTCAGGCTGTAAAGTCTCCTATAATAAGTGTTTTTGGCCATGAATAGAATTACGCCCTGTATCTGGGAAAACTTAAGAGTTCTTTTTTTTTTTTTTCTTTTTTCTTTTTGAGACAAAGTCTTGCTCTGTCGCCCAGGCTGGAGTGCAGTGGTGCGATCTTGGCTCACTGCAATCTCTGCCTCCCGGGTTCAAGTGATTCTCCTGCCTCAGCCTCCTGAGTAGAGTAGCTGGGATTACAGGAGTGCGCCAGCACACCCGGCTAATTTTTGTATTTTTAGTAGAGACGGGGTTTCACCATTTTGGCCAGGCTGGTCTCGAACTCCTGACCTCAAGTGATCTGCCCACCTCGGCCTCCCAAAGTGCTGGGATTACAGGCATGAGCGACTGTACCCTGCCACCTGAGAGTTCTTTAGCAGTCTACCCATATGAGGCCGGGCGGTGGATCACGCCTGTAATTCCAGCACTTTGGGAGGCCAAGGCGGGTGGATCACTTGAGGTCAGGAGTTTGAGACCAGCCTGGCCAACATGGTGAAACCCCGTCGCTACTATAAGTACAAAAAAAGTCAGCCGGGCGTGGTGGCGAATGCCTGTAGTCCCAGCTACTGGAGAGGCTGAGGCACGAGAATCGCTTGAACCCAGGAGGTGGAGGTTGCAGTGAGCCAAGATCGTGCCACTGCACTCCAGCCTGGGTGACAGAGTGAGACTCTGTCTGAAAAAAAAAAAAAAAAAAAGAAGTCTACCCGTATGAGTTACAATGTGTGGCTACTAGGAAGGAAGTATTTAATAGGTACCAGGACTCAGAAGCTTCAGTTCTAATAATCCATATGGCCTGTGATCCAGCTGCCTGGGAATGGGCTGTGATGGTTAATCGTATGTGTCAACCTGACTGAGCCACAGGATGCCTACATAGGTGGTTCAACATGATTTCTGGGTATGCATGCCTTCAAGGGTGTTTCTGGGAGACATTAGCCTTTGAATGGGTGAACTGAGCAAAGCAGACCTGCCCTCAGCAGTGCGGTTGAGCACCTTGCAATCTGTTGAAGACCTGAACGTTAGTGTGAACCCTGGAAATTTGAGTCAGGTCTCAGTTAATTTAGAAAGTTTATTTTGCCAAGGTTGAGGAACACGTGCCTGTGACACAGCCTCAGGAAGTCCTGGACATGTGTCCAAGGTGGTCAGCGCACAGCTTGGTTTTATACATTTTAGGGAGACATGAGACATCAATCAATGTATGTAAGAAGTACAGTATGCGTGGCTGGGCGTGATGGCTCACGCCTGTAATCCCAGCACTTTGGGAGGCCGAGGTGGACGGATCACGAGGTCAGGAGTTCAAGACCAGCCTGGCCAATATGGTGAAACCCCATCTCTACTAAATGTACAAAAATTGGCGTGGTGGTGCATGCCTGTAGTCCCAGCTACTTAGGAGGCTGAGGCAGAAGAATTGCTTGAACCTGGGAGGCAGAGGTTGCAGTGAGCTGAGATTGCCTGGGCGACAGAGTAAGACTCCATCTCAAAAAAAAAAAAAAAAAAAAGAAGTACATTGGTTCTGTCCAGAAAGCAGGGGACAACTCGAAGCAAGGAGAGGGCTTCTAGGTCATAGGTAGGTGAGAGAAAAATGGTTGCATTGAGTTTCTGATAAGCCTTTCCAAAGGAGGCAATCAGAATATGCTTCTATCTCAGTGAGCAGAGGGATGACTTTGAATAGAATGGGAGGCAGGTTTGTCCTTAGCAGTTCCCAGGAGGATCCCCTGAGTTCCTCCAGCCTGGGCAACGTAGTGAGACCCCATCTCTAATAAATAAATAAATAAATAAATAAATAAATAAATAAGAATGCATTAACTCTGCCTGACCACCTGAGCTGAGACATCCATCTTTTGCCTTCAGTGCTCCTGGTTCTCAGGCCTTCAGACCTGGTCTGGAATCTAGACCACTGAATTTCCTGGTCTCCAGCTTGCAGACAGCAGACAGTGGGAATTCTCAGCCTGTGTAACCATGTGAGCCAATATCTTTTTTTTTTTTTTTTTTTTTGAGATGGAGTTTCACTTTTGTTGCCCAGGCTAGAGTGCAACGGTGTGATCTCGGCTCACTGCAACCTCTGCCTCCCAGGTTCAAGCGATTCTCCTGCCTCAGCCTCTCAAGTAGCTGGGATTACAGGTGCCTGCCACCATGCCTGGCTGATTTTTTTCTGTATTTTTACTAGACACAGGGTTTCACCACGTTGGCCAGGCTGGTCTCAAACTCCTGACTTCAGGTGATCCACCTACCTCGGCCTCCCAAAGTGCTGGAATTACAGGTGTGAGCCACTGTGCCTGGCCGAGCCATTATCTTATAATAAATATCTTCCTCTATACAGTACTCCCCCCTTATCTGCCAGGGGACATGTTCCAAGACCCCCAGTGGATGCCTTAAACTTTGGGCAGTACCAAACCCTACATATGCTATGTTTTTCCTACACATACATACCGACGATAAAGTTTAATTTATAAATTAGACACAGGAAGAGATTAATAATAAATAAAACAATTATGACAATATACTATAATAAGTGATGTAAATGTGGTTTCTCTCTCTTAAAATATCTTTTTTTTTTTTTTTGAGATGGAGTTTCACTCCTGTTGCCCAGGCTGGAGTGCAATGGTGTGATCTTGGCTCACTGCAACCTCCACCTCCCAGGTTCAAGTGATTCTTCTACTTCAGCCTCCGGAGTAGCTGGGATTACAAGCATGCACCACCATGCCTGGCTAATTTTTGTATTTTTAGTAGAGATGGGGTATCACCATGTTGGTCAGGCTGATCTTGAACTCCTGACCTCAGGTGATCCACCCGCCTCGGCCTCCCAAAGTGCTAGGATTACAGGCGTGAGCCACCATGCCTGGCTCTTAAAATATCTTATTGTAGGCCGGGCATGGTGGCTCATGCCTATAATCCCAGCACTTTGGGAGGCTGAGGCAGGCAGATCACCTGAGGTCAGGAGTTTGAGACCAGCCAGGCTAATGTGGCAAAACCCTGTCTCTACTAAAAAATAAAAAAATTAGCTGGGCATGGTGGTACAGACCTGTAGTCCCAGCTACTTGGGAGGCTGAGGCACGAGAATCACTGGAATCTGGAAGAGGGTGGAGGTTGCAGTGAGCTGAGATCACGCTACTGCACTCCAGCCTGGACAGACTGTGCCTCAAAAACAAAACAAAAAGCCATCTATCTATCTATCTATCTATCTATCTATCTATCTATCTATCTATCATCTATCTATATCATCTACCATGTATCTTATTGTATTTTACTCACCCTTTTTTATGACGATGTGAGATGGTACAATGCCTACATGATGAGAAGTGAGGTGATGGCGTAGGCATTGTGATATAGCATTAGGCTACTGTTGACCTTCTGTATTCCTGAAATCTGTGTAACCATCCCTTTCTTGCAGTAAATGGCTTGGTGTCCCCATTTCAAGAGATCTTTTAGGTCTTTGTATAGGCTCAATGCTTTTTGGTGCAACATACTGTCAATCAGAACACGTTTTCTGTTCATGTCTTCCACGAGATTTAATGCTTTTTCCATCTTCTGTTTTGAGACAGGGTCTTGGGCACCCAGGCTGGAGTGCACTGGCACAATCATGGCTCACTGCAGCCTCCACCTCCTGGGCTAAAGTGATCCTCCCACTTTAGCCTCCTGAGTAGTTGGGACTATAGGCACAAGCCACCATGCCCAAGTAATTTTTAATTTTTTTGTAGAGATAGGGTCTTGCTCTGTTGCCCAGGCTAGTCTTGAACTCCTGGGCTTAAGTGATCCTCCCTCCTCAGCCTCCCGAAGTGCTGGGTGTACAGGTGTGAGCCACCGCACCCAGCCACCTTTTCCATCTTATCACACACCATGGCTATAACTTGCAGTTTAAAGTGCAACAGCAGGCCAGGCATGGTGGTTCACACCTGAAATCCCAGCACTTCGGGAGGCTGAGGTAGGCAGATCCCTTGAGGTCAGGAGTTCAAGACCAGCCTGGCCAACATGGCAAACGCCTGTCTCTACAAAAAATGCAAAAATTAGCCCGGTGTGCAGCGCATGCCTGTAGTCCCAGCTACTCGGGAGGCTGAGGCACGAGAATTGCTTGAACCCAGGAGGCAGAGGTTGCAGTGAGCCAAGATCACGCCACTGCACTCCAGCCTGGGCGACAGAGAATCTGTGTCAAAAAAAAAAAAAAAAAAAAAAAAAAAGCAACGGCAAAACTAGAGCAAAGTTTTTATTCAAAAGTTTATGGATGGAAAGTTCATTTTTATGTTGACCTCAGCAACCTCAGATGTGACTTTTCTTTTTTTTTTTTTTTTTTGAGATGGAGTTTTCCTCTTATTGCCCAGGCCGGAGTGCAATAGCATGATCTCGGCTCACTGCAACCTCTGCCTCCCGGGCTCAAGCAATTCTCCTGCCTCAGCCTCCCCAGTAGCTGGGATTACAGGCACGACACCACATCGGCTAATTTTGTATTTTTAGTAGAGATGGGGTTTCTCCATGTTGGTCAGGCTGGTCTCGAACTCCCAACCTCAGGTGATCCTCCCGCCTTGGCCTCCCAAAGTGCTGGGATTATGGGTGTGAGCAACTGCACCCAGCCAGATGTGATTTTTTTTTCCTTAAAAGGTTGAGAACTTTCACTTTTCCCTTAAAGGAAGCAGTTTATGGCCTCTCTTAGGCATACCTGACTTGCCACATCACTACTCTTGCGCTTTGGGGCCATTATTAAATAAGGGTTTCTTCAACACAAGCACTGCAATACCCCGACAGTTGGTCTGATAACTGAGATGGCTACTAAGTGGTTAACTGGTGGGCAGCATATATAGCGTGGATTTGCTGGGCAAAGGATGATTCACAGCCCAGGTGGGATGGCGAATGATCTCATCATGCTTCTCAGAACGGCATCGAACTTAAAATGGTTTATTTCTGGAATTTTGTATTTAATATTTTCAGACCTGGGTTGACTGTGGGCAACTGAAACCTAGATGGCATAGCCTACTACACACCTATGTTACATGCATGGTACAGCCCATGGCTCCTACGCTGCAAACTTGTACAGCATGTGACTGTACGAATACTGTAGGCAACTGTAACACAAGGATAAGTATATGTGTATCTAAACACAGAAAAGGTCGGGTAAAAATAGGGTTGTAATTCTATGGGGCCACTGTCATAAATGTGGTCTGTTGTTGACTGAAATATCACATGGTACATAACTCTATCTTCTCTCAGGTCTGTTTCTCTGGAGAACCCTGACTATACAGGCTGGAAACAGGTAGATAACAGTTTTCTTTTTTCTCTGTGTCAGACAGGTAATATGCCGACATTGTAGCAATGTTTCAGGATGGCCCATCTCACACCTGTGTGTGAACACCTAATCCTTATGCTTAAGAAGTACAAAAGGATCTGATAACAGTTTTGTCGGTTCTGTTTTTTTGCCTCATCCCATTTCACCAGTATGGCACTCTGCAAAAGTGCAACTCATTCAAAAGTCCCTATTTCTACAAATTAAATAAAAACACAATTAAATTTTAGTAGGTGCTAAAACTTGGTTTTGAAATTTTATTAAAAAAATATATTTGCAAACATATAAAATTTAAGATGAAAAACGCTCATTTTAAAACATGTAATAACTTAATATTTGCAAACATACACAGATGCTATAAAATCCATACCATTAAAAATGTTAATGATACAGTATTGCGCTCATGGAACAAAAATCTTGCTGTAATTCCAGAGCTTCTCGTCCCCATGTTTCAGGGAGCTGAGAATCTGGTACAATGAAAGTCATGAGAGCCACATGGCCAAAGCAGTAATACAGAATAAAAAACCATTTAGAACACATATTTTAAAAACATGTTTCTTAAGGAATCACACAGATAAAAAGGAAACACAATTCTGCATTTTCCCCACTTTGAAGTGAATGATATTGCATCTTAGCATTTTAAATGAAGGTGTCAAATACAAAACGGAGGGAATCACTGCACACATCTGTTGAATTTGCTGAAAAACAGGCTCCTCAAGGCCCTGGTCCACTCGGAAATGTTCTCAAGCACAGCTGTAAAAAAGCCTAGTGTAAGCTGCTTGACTTTGCTCAGATCTTAGCATTTTAGAGACTTGAGAACACAGGGCACTATTGGTTCCAGAAGATACACTGAACGCAACTGAAGAAAACTGAAGGGAGGCAAGAAAGAAAAACATACTCTGCAGCAAACGTGCAGCCAGGATGCAGGATGCGCACCCTAGGATTCCTCAGTTCTCCTCACTCACACGGGCTGAGCCCACTCGTGCCTGTGCCACCTCTCATTCCTCTCAGAGTTACAGTATGATGGCTGATTTTGTTTTTTGAGCAGTTAGGCACCTTCAATTTCATGTTGCATTATTAGTAATACAATGGCAGTTAGGGCCTCTACTATGGAAATGAGAAAATTTCAAACTACATTCTTTGGGGGAGGAGAGTAATAAAGCTGCATGGTTTAAAAATTTACCTAGTAGTGGATTTGATAGGGTTTATATAATTTCTACAAGAAAACATAAGCCAGGAAAAGGACAAATGCTTGACATGCAAAATCTGGTTAGACATATACTAAACTAAGCCTGTGTGTCCCCCTGTAGAGAGGGGCCCAGCGTGACTTTTTTTTTTTTTTTTTTTTTTTTTTTTTTGAGGTGGAGTCTCACTGTCGCCCAGGCTAGAGTGCAGTGGTGTGATCTTGGCTCACTGCAACCTCTGCCTCCCGGGTTCAAGTGATTCTCCTGCCTCAGCCTCCTAAGTAGCTGGGAGTATAGGCGCGTGCCACCACGCCCGGCTAATTTTTGTATTTTTAGTAGAGATGGGGTTTCACCATGTTGGTCAGGCTGGGACTTGGGTTCTTAATAAAATACCACTCTCTGTGATGGCTACATCTAAGCCTTTGAAGGTGAGCTGTGGACATACCACATGTGGACAGCATGAAATGCTTCTTCTGACACTGAGAGTCACTTGAAAAACTTGAATTCAAAGTCAAGCAGGCCAAATCTCACACCTCATGAATCCCAGGAGGTACACAATGAAGAAGAGCTTCTGCCTTAAAGGAACAAGGCTGTCTGGGAGGCCTGAGAGTCCATTAAAAGACACCGCATTAACTACAACAAAAAGAAGAGCAGCACCACCCACCAGTGGTGCCCCAGACACACCTCTCCTCCAAGCTCTGGGCTGCTCCTCTTGGAGTCTACACTTAGACCCTGGGGGTGGGGGTGGGCACACAAATGGACAGAGTGGTCTAAATGCAGGTCTCCTGGGGTTCTGCGAAATCTAGCCAGAAGCATCTCCATCTCGGTGTCCATTTCGATCCAACTAAGCTTCCAGTAAAGACACTGCAGCAATGTAAACATGCAACCTAAGCTAGCATGAGGTTCTAGATAGTAAGCCTGAACTAGGAATAAGGCAACTGAACTGTGACTTTCGGGCCAGGGTCATCCAGCTGCAATTATCCAGGCTTGGCCTGGCTTCTCTAGGGATTCATTCTGGCCTGAACTTCCTGGTAATCATGACATGAACTTCTGGCTTCTGAATTTTAAGTAAATACTTTGAATATATAAATTTGGGAGGTGAAACAGGTTTACCCTTTTCAAGTCTCCATGACTTGGGCACTTAAGTTTACTTTCACACTAAGGAAGCCTTATCATAGATGCTCTTTACTGTCTATCATATCCATTCCTAGCATTAAAGGTGAAAATTAGTATGATCACAGACTCTCTTTAGGATATTCTCTCTTAACTCTCTCATAATATTACATACTCAAAAGCATAATTTCGATTCAAGAATCCCTTGATTCGTCTGTTCACCGAAGCCCACTGAGACTACACTTGAGGTGCAATCACACCTACTGGTGCGTCCACTTTATGGAAGTCACGTGGCTCCCTGGACACCATCTCCCGGTGTCAGCAACACTCTGTATCCCACTATAGCTTTCTCGTTCCCAGATGATGCATAAGGAATTCATTTTTGGTTGCTTAATTTACATACTATCTGTGAAAACAAACTATTCACAATTGAGCATGAAAACTTATAAGCTTCCCTGAATTCTGCACAATTCACACATAATTAGGTAGACAGCAATAGAAGACACTAAAATGAGAAGCAGAAACCCTGTCCAGGAAGCATGTTTAGATCAACAAAAGCCAATCATTCTTTATGCTAAAAACTAAGACCAAACTAAAACAAGTATGTAATTCACAAGTAATTTTCTAAAATTTTAGCTAGAAAAAAATAATCTATGGACTTATGATTGAGTTACCATTAAAGCTTAAATGATTGTTCCTAAGGAACCATCATATCTGTCAGCATTATTCACAGCTAATCCTTATGCTAGCTGGTTGAGCCAATTGGGTTTTTACCCCATCATTAAATAGTGCTCAGAAAAGTAAGCAGTGCATCTTAATTGGTTAAATACTACAAAATGACCTGTATCATAGAAACGAAGACACTTTCATTCAAAGAATATCTTAAAATTACTATTGCTGAAATAAATCAAAATCTACATTAAAATATTACTAAACACCATTACATGCCATAAAAGAATAAATAGAAATCATGGCAGATCAATAGCAGCATAACAAAGCTTCTTTACATATTTTCACACTTTGGGCCGGGAAAGTACTCACAGCCTAGGAATACATTGGTAGAGTTCGGAATCACATTTTCTTTTAACTCCATAATTCTACAACAAAATAAGGGCAGTGTGAATAACAGCTCCCTTTTCTGCATAGCTTTAAAACTATTCTCAGTACACTCAAGGAAAGGAACCAGAATGGCTTTGTCAGATTGGTCCACTGGTCCTTTTGTCAAAGTGTTAAGGAAAACAATCAACAATGACAGAAAAGGAAAATAAGGCTGTGCTTCACACACAAACTTAGCATTTTCAGAACCAATGGAGAGTTTAACCTAAAATGAAGATTTGATAGGATGTGGGCATTCCCAGCCCCAGCCTTTCCTTCAAAGGTATGACATGCCTGTGTCCACACCACCAGAGCCTGACAGTGCCCTATTCAAATGGTAATGCTGCACTGGGGGCCTGCTGCAGGGCAGGACTGGGGCACTTAAAAACAAAATGCTATTAAGAAATTTCACAACTTTTAAGGCCCAAATGGGGCATTCATATAAAATATACTTCACTTGAGGAAATAATTCCTAATTTGCCGGCTTAAATTCTGGTCCTAAAAACTAGAAGCTACTTTGCAGAGCTGCCTTCTACTCTGTTCAAAACTTGACTTGTCAGCCCAAAGCCCGTTTCTATGGGGTAGGCTGGGGGAAGCGGTGGGGGCCGGGCTGAACTTCTGCTGTGAGGCTGGTGACTACTCCTCTGTAAGTCCTTGAAAGTGAAAGCAAGCTGAGAATCTGACTCCTTATTCCACAGCCTTGCTCCTAGCTGATGAAAACACCCACATAACTTAACACAATGATCGCTCTCTTTTTTTTTTTTTTTTTTTTTTTTTTTGTCAAAACAAGGATCTGCTGGTGATGCTTCACAGTGAAACCTCCATTATCACTGAGAATGTCACTTGGAAAACATTCTTAAGAAATGAGTCTCTTTCTCATAGGCTCAATTTCAGGATTCTCAAACTCAATGTTCTGCTCAGAAGTTTCCATGATGAAGCCTATTTGTCTCTGAGGCTGGGGCTCTGCCTTTAGACTTATTCTGCTCCAGTCATAGGTTGTGGTTGTCTTTGTTCTTGGTCAGAACCTGCAAGTAGACTTCATGAAGTGTACTGAGGAAGCTGGAATCATTCTAGAAGAGATGGTAAAGGTTAAGGATACGAATGCCACATTTACCTCATCAGATTTTACTTCCTTGGTAACAGCTTAGGAAAAAAATTGTATAAATGATTTGTATAACTGATAATCCCACCACCCAGAGACAATCATGATTAATATTTTGAGTTCATGCAGATATTTCTCCACCAGGACTGTATGCTTAAAAAAAGAGAAACAGTACTCCCAGCTAGTCTGTTTTTGTTTTTTTTTTGCCTGCCTTGGCCTCCCATAGTGCTGGGATTACAGGTGTGAGCCACTTTGCCTGGCCTCCAGCTAGTCTTTTGAATTTACTTTATGAACTGATTCTGTAAGAGGAATTTATAAAATTTCTTTCATTAAATAATGAAAAATCAAAGATAAAATTGGTATCCTACATACCTTTATTAGATGTATTAATGTATCCTGGAGCTGAGACTTGCTGAGAATAATGGAAGGCTTTCTCTGACTTTCTGGCGTTCCAATAGTTAGAGGAGAAGGGGAGCTGGCTTTCCTCTCAAGGTCCGAAGATCTTGTAACTGTCTGCTGGAAAACACTTGGGGCCAGCAGGACTGAAGACACTGCAGTGGTCGTTGCAGTAACCAGTGGGGCGCCTGCAACCTGGAGAGTGACAATGGTCATTTTGTACCGAAGTGCAGAAGCCAGTAGCCAGGCCCAGAATAGGGACCATGTGGAAACAGGCATAAGCAGCAGAAGAGTGGAGCACAGAGACAGACTATTTTGAGTTCAGGTAAACATTCAGTAGGAACATGTGAACATCTGACATCTGGTTATAAACTTCCATTAGCTAAAGGATGACCAGCCCATTTATGTAAGAATGTCCTAGAATCATTACGGGAAGCCAAGTCCAACCACCACAGTAGGTAAGAGAAGTAACAGTATAGAATGCACAGTAAGAAAAATCCTATGATAAATTTAAAATGTAAAGGCTTTTTGGGAGGAGAGTTGGGGAAATGACTGAAGAGGACATGAGGGAACTTTCTGGAGTGACAAAATGTTACATATTGATTGGGTTGCCCAAGGGATATTACATACATGTGTCAAAAACTCATTTAAAAATCTGCATGTTTTGGCTGGGCGCAGTGGTTCATGCCTATAATCCCAGCACTCTGGGAGGCCGAGGTGGGGTTCGAGACCAGCCTGGCCAACATGGTGAAACCCCGTCTGTACTAAAAATACAAAAATTAGCTGGGCATGGTGGCGTGTGCCTGTAATCCCAGACTCAGGAGGCTAAGGCATGAGAATCGCTTGAACCCAGGAGGTGGAGGTTGCAGTGAGCCGAGACTGCACCATTGCACTCCAGCCTGGGTGACAGAGAAAGACTCCATCTCGTCTTTTTTTTTTTAAGGCAGGGTCTCATTCTGTCACCCAGGTGGGAGTGCAGTGGTGCAGTCACCACTCACTGCAGCTTCAACTTCCTGGGCTCAAGCAATCCTCCCCCCATTTTTGATTTTTTTGTAAAGACGAGGTCTCACTAATGTTGCCCAGGATGGTCTTGAACTCCTGGGCTTAAGTGATCCTCCCACCTAGGCCTCCCAAAGTGCTGGGGTTACAGGCATGAGCCACCACACCTGGCCTCTAAAAATCTGCATTTCAGTTTATGTAAATCACATTGCAATAAAGAAGAATTTAAAAATCCAATTATGGCCGGGAGTGGTGGCTCATGCCTGTAATCCTAGCACTTTGGGAGGCCTAGGTGGGAGGATCACTTGAGGTCAGGAGTTCAAGACCAGCCTGATCAACATGGTGAAACCCCATCTCTACTAAAAATACAAAAACGTAGTGGAGTGTGGTGATGGGAGCCTGTAATCCCAGCTACTTGGGACGCTGAAGCAGGAGAATCATTTGAACCCAGAAGGTGGGGGTTGCAGTGAGCTGAGATAGTGCCACTGCACTCCAGCCTGGGCAACAAAGCAAGACTCTGCTTCCAAAAAAAAAAAAAAATCCAGTTATGTTCAATCTATTTTTTTATACTATTATAGATAGCAATGAGAAAATTTCTTAAAATAAAGCTAACATCTACCTCTCTCCTCCATTTAGATGTGCTTCTAGGCTAATTCCAGCTAATTATCTGAATACATTAAACCAGTAATAATCAGTATTTTCAGTATTTGTCAGATTTGATACAATCAACAGAGATCTGCATTTCTTTCTCTTATATGTCACCTCCTCATTTACAAAGAGCACAGAGCGGGCCACAGTTTCAACGGTATGGTTTTTGGCATCTGAGCTATTTACCTTTTATTTATTTATTTTTGGTGCAAAAGCAGGCTGAGATAGATCACCATGCAGAAGGACAAGACACATAGAAAAGAGGCTCGTTTCCAAGACCAGTCAGGTGCTGGCTCCCATTTAAACTCCAAGATGTAAGACCAGTCAGAAGCTGGTTCCCATTTAAACTCCAAGACTCAAGGAGGGTACAAAGGCTCAAAGGAAAACAGAAATGACTTTAGGGAGCTAAAAAAAAACCTGTGTGCATTGCAAGGTTAGTGGGTGATGGAGAGTAGGGACAACAAAAAATGAAGCAAGGGAGGACAAATGGGACAGAAGACACAGGCCTGGGAGGCTTTGTTCTCAGAGCAATGGGAAATGAGAGGACTATAGCAGGATAGTGGCTCTGCCACCTGGGACATCACAGCTCTTCCAGGGCAGTATTTCCTACTTATAGAAGCCAGGCTACCACACTCTTAGCAGTCACCCATTCACAAATACCGAGTAAGGGCCCACCGTGCCCTCTACACACACAGTCAGGGAAGATATCCATGCAGACGCCTCGAGATCCACAGAAGCCACAGCAATGGACTCTGCCAGGACGGGGTGGGAGAGGACCTGGCCTAGGAAAGGCATCTAAGATGTGCTGGGCTCCATAGCTAACTCTTTTCACTAAGCTGACAACCTTTTACTTCACATCCAGCAGAACTTAAAAATAATGTGTTCTTCAGAAAGAGGGAGTCCTGGCTGGTCCAAAGGGAGTGAATTATCTCACCTGACTGTTCACAGCCAGTTACAGACCAAATTCCTTGTTCTACTCTTTCTACTTTCTCACTATGGCACCCGACTAGTCTTAAAAAAAAAAAAAAAAAAAAAAAAAAAAAGCGAGTCCTTACCGGGATGGCACTGGATAACACCTTAGGCTGCACAAATACTTCAGGATCCTGGTTCTGCTGCATAGACTGAAATGTTTATGAAGAAAAGACAGACGGATATAAGAAGTTTCAATTAAGAAGACTTCCTAGTCTTAATTGAAAAAGACTTTCCCAGTGGAAAATCTAGGTTAGTAACAGAAAATGGTTCAGATATTAACTAGTTCCTAGATTCCCAAGGGAAGAGTCTGACAGGAACCTGTAACCATGCAGCCAACAATTCAACTGCACTAGAGCTCTGCGACAGCCTCTCCTCTTTAGCTCCTGAGGGAAGGGGTGTGTGCAGAGCCTTTCAGGTATCTTTAAAGAAAAACCTGAAACCTGTGTCTCTTATAAAAGCCAGAGACAGCCCAGGAATATATATAATTTTTAATTTTTGTGGGTATATAGGTGTATGTATTTATGAGGTATATGAAATGTTTTGATACAGGCATGCGATGCATAATAATCACATCATGGAAAACGGGGCATCCATCCCCTCACGAATTTTTCCTTTGTGTTACAATCTAATTATACCCTTTTCATTATTTTAAAATATATACTTAAATTATTATGGACTATAATCACCCTGTTGTGTTATTAAATACAGGTCTTATTCATTCTATTTTTTTTTTTTTGTATGCATTCACCATCCCCACCTCCCCCCACCTTCCCACTACCCTTCCCAGCCTCTGGTAACCATCCTTCTATTCTCTATCTCCATGAGTTCAAATAAAGTAAGAACATGTGATATCTGTCCTTCAGCCTGGGCATATTTTTGCTGCTGAGTCTGTAGAGATAAGAGATCTAGGCAGCATGGCACCTCTTTATAAGGTGATGTAAATATGGGCAGTTGAAAAAATCAGCTTTATTTGACCTCATACCTTCGAGTCTAGGATGCTCTTATGGCACCTCTAGGGTACTTGGCACAAGGTAGGCACTCTAGGAGACTGCCGTGGGAGATAGGGAGTTAAGCTTTGGAATAATTTGGTCCTCAGTCAAATGAGGACTCCTGGAACTGCTGGGCAAAAGCAAAACAAACATACAACCCCCACTAAAGTGAATATCCCGATAGGAAAATATAAATTACTTGGTTGTTCATGATAGGGCTTCTTACCTCACCTGTCTCCGAGCCTCTGACATACTTTAAAGGGACAACTCTAAAAATTGTCATGTCATGACAGTTAAAACCAAGGTCTCTGTAGTTTCATCCCATCCAGTTACAGTTACCCACTCTGCCCACCCCCACCCTCCTGCCATTACCTGAAGGGGAGCAAGCACCATGTTGCTCAGGGAGGCTGAGGCCGCCACTCTTGCTGCTGCTGTCTTAGAGGGAGGCTCTATGAAGCTCTCAGGTGTGGCTAGCTGACCAGCTGCCGGAGAAAAGCTGGCTACCATTGCACCTTTCCCAAGTGGTTGTGTCTGTATTTGGTCATGCTGTGGGGTCAACCTGAGTTTCTGGAGAAGATCAACGCTTGGGAGGGATGTGCCAGCTGTGTTCGTCACGTTCAATGGGGCCCTGAAGGGGCTCTGGTTGGCAATCAGACTGGCATGGCTTAGCTCAGGGACTGGCTGGTTCAGGAGTGGAGACCTCTGTCTAGGCGTGGTCTTCACTGCCTGCATCATGGTGCTGTTTCGAGGTAAGCTGGGGGGAACCTGTGCAGTAGGAGCTTCAGCTGGCAGAGTGGGACTGAGAACAGGGCTCAACGGGATTGTGTAGGTTGGAGCATGCTTTTCATTGGACTGTGTGATGGAGGCTGGAGTGATTAGCACCGGGGTGGTGATTTCAGGCTGGACTGAATGGTGGGCAGCAGAAGGGACACCCAGGGTTTCTGATTGAGGGGCTCCTCCTAACTGCTCAAAGGGAAATGGTAGGAATGAATTGGGCTCTTTCTGGGAGGCATCTCCTGGCAACCTCTCCATTTCTTCTGAATCCAGACCCACAACTGCTGGTTGTTCCTTTGGCAAAGAGGTTCCAAATAACTCTTCTACCGTCAGATGCTTGTGTCCAGATGGAGCAGACTGAAAAACAAATGAAACCACCCAGTCAAAGAGGTCTGTTATAAATCAGCATAACCAAACTTCTTTTCCAGAAGCCAAAGATTTTGCAGAATCAAGGATGGATGGAGTATCAAAATAAGGAACGGAAAAAACTGAAGATATACTAAGGATTAAGGCCCAGGTTCATCTAGTGTCCCCAGGTTGGTGGATGGAAATTTGCATTGGTAATATAATTCAAATTTTTAGGGTCTCTGGGTAGCAGGATCAGAATTCACCATTCTTTTTCTTGGCAAAGCTGACTGTGCCCAATTGCCTCATGTCAACAACACACAGGGAAATGACACTAGAGGAGACACAGGGACCAAATGCTAATCAGGTGATTCTACCTTTACTTTCACTGTTCTCAATGAAACGCTAGGCACTGGACCTCAGAGACTGGGTCTCAAATATCAGAAAATAAATCTAGCCATTTAATAGTGGGCCATCCCCAACTCCCACTGCCTTAGTCCCTAGTCACAGAATTCTTCAGAAAAAGCATGTAAGCCTGACAATTTAAAATTTATATATATTTTAGTAAGTTGGCTTATTGATACCATAATCGTTCAAAGGAAAAACATTCGTGTTTTCCTGTACTTTTAAGCAGTATTTCCATAGTCAATAACCTTTATTTCCTGAGTACTCACAGGGTGCCAGGTCTTGCTCTAACCTGGGCCCACGCGATGCAGCAAGGGAGTAACAACAGTTCTCACAGAGCTTACATTTTAGTGGGAGACACACCTAAGCACTTTGAAAACACAGACAGCCTCAACTTTTTATTCCTAAAATGAGTGAATTAGTTGTTTAGATCTGTTTATACTGAAAAAATTAGTTCACTGAAACACATGATTCTCAAGGCTTCAGAAAGTCTGTAAGGCCCCAAAGTACACTGCAAATTAGTATAATATCAATATTATAAGACTATGGTATGATCACATTTCTACAGGAAAACAAACCCAGTTTTGTCCAGGCAAATGTTTCATCCATTTGATAAAAATTCTTGAATTTATCAGGTGCCAGGCATTGTGCTGTGACTGTGATGTGAAAAAAGAGGCCAGGACAACTGGTAAGGGCCCCCCCACCGGACCCCCGCACACACACACACAAGGCAGAGTTGCAGAGCTCAGTGGGAAGGAAGGCACTAGGAAGAGGAGTGAAACTGGGGAGGGATGAGGCGAGCTGGCTGGGGAGCACAGCCACTGAGAGCCACACGTGCTTCAGCACAGCTGGATCAGAGGCTGGGTAGGAGGGTGACAGGGAAAGAGAGAAGAAGCGGGCAGACTGCAGAGTATCTGAGACACGTTAGAGGATCTGGACTTTATCCACAGGGCAATGGCAACATGTCCAGGGGATGAGCCATCAGGCTTTATATTTTAGAACGTGCACTTGGTCGGCCACATAAAGGACAAATTGTAGGGGTGAGATTGAGGAGAGTCTGGACTAAGATACTGGCAGAGAAGAGGATGAGAACTGGAGTTGGAATGGAAGGAGTTGGTGGCTGGTCAGGTAGGAGCAGGGAGCCTAGAGGACACCCTGGTATCTGGGTATTGGGTGGTGGTATCACTGCCTGGGCAGGCCAGCCCAGCCCAGGAAGAGCACCTAGGGTTAGGGAGAGGGGGAAGCTGAAGTTAGTTGTGAACATGTCTGGAGGTCTCTGTGGGACATCTAGAACCTGGAGGTACTGACTTAGAACACAAAACGGTAATTTCATTTTGGGTTATTAAAACACAAAGATGGTAATACAAGTCAAGGGAGCAAAGGCATCCCCTCAGGAGGCTGCAGCGACACAGCTGTGATGTCCTATCAACCACCCACAGGCAGGGCCTGAAGATGACTGCCGCTGCCTGGCTCTGCTCCTTTCCAGCTGTGTGGCCTGAGGAGTGCTGTCCACTTCTCTGAGTCTCAGGCCTCTATAAAGTAGGGAGGTCTGGTGGGAGGCTGAAATGTATGGAACCCAGCACACAGGAAGTGTGTGTTTAATGTCAGCACTCCTAACAACATGGAAAGCGAATTTGCCAAGGCAGGGGCTCTCTTTCTCATGTATTCCCCAATCCTTGCCTTTCTTGCTCTTGGACTTGCCTACCCAAGTAATGGCACCACCACCCAGGACCACAGATCCCATCAGTACATGGCAGACACTCAACAGTGCTCTCTTCCAAAGTTCTTTCGGGGAGTAGGGGGAAGTCAGTATGAGGAGAGGGAGCTTAAGGCAAGAGATCCTGTGTCAGGAGGGGCTCCTGTCAGACAACAGAGAAAGAGGGCCAGCAGCGATGAGCATGCAGGCAAGTTTGCATGTGAAGGACAGAAAGTTAAGGGAGTGCCATTCTGTCTTCTCTCCCTGGTATGAGGACAGCATCATCTGCTAGGTGAGAGGGACAGGGCAGGTCTGAAAAAATGTAGTCAGTAAAAAGTAACTGTTGTGGAGGAAGAGGCAAGAACCTCCCACAGTTGTAAAAAAGTTGTAGCTTCATACCAAACCATTTCACCTTTAAAAATATTCAATAAAGAGATTCTACTAATGTTAGACTCTCACTTCAAATATAAGGCAGCATCAGTATCTAATTTTAGACCATGGATACAAAAAAATACTAAAGATCTTATATGGTTCAATTTCTTCATATTTTTACTTCTGAAAAAAACTGTAGAGTTTAGGGTCTGAAATAAAAGATACCTCAGCTGTTAACTGGGAAAATTACATCATCTTTCTTTTTCTTTCTCTTTTTTTTGAGACAGGGTCTCATTCAGTCAGACTGGAGTGCAGTGGTGTGATCACAGCTCATGCAGCCTTGACCTTCCAGACTCAAACAATCCTTTCATGTAGCTGGGACCACAGGTGCATGCCACCATGATCAGTTTATTTTTAAATTTTTTGTAGTGAGCCATTGAGCCCAGCATAATCCTTCTAATTTAGTTCCTTATCTGAAAAGCGAGGACATTGTGACAATGATCTCAGAACACTGTTGTGAAAATTAAATTCTCAATATAATGTCTGGTGCCCAAAAAGCATTAAATTGAAGTTGGCTTAAACTATAATCACATAAACACCATGTGGTCTTTTTTTTTTTTTTGAGACACAGTCTAGCCCTATCGCCCAGGCTCAAGTGCGGTGGCGTGACCTCGGCTCACTGTAACCTCCTCCTCCCAGGTTCAAGCGATTCTTATGCCTCAGCCTCCTGAGCAGCTGGGATTATAGGCGTGCGTCACCACATCCAGCTAATTTTTGTATTTTTTGTAGAGACAGGATTCACCATGTTGCCCGGGCTGGTCTCAAACTTCTTCTGACCTCAGGTGATCTGCGTGCCGCGGCCTCCCAAAGTGCTGGGATTACAGGCATGAGCCACCGCGCCCGGCCCACCATGTGGTCTTAATAGCAAGCATGGAGTACCAAACAAAAATTCATTAAATGCTCCTGGAATATCATATCCCACAATGCAAGACAACAACAAAACACCTGGTAAGATAACCAAGGCTAGGCTATTATAAACCTCCTGGTCACTCCCAATGCAAAGAATCATCAAGGACACAGCTGTCTGGTAATATTTCAAACCCATTCCATCTAGGTCAAAATAGACAACAAATTCTCCCTTGGGACAGACTTCTCTGTCCAGGCCACATAGCTGCAGACATGTTCACAGGTTCCATTTACTACACTGAACACTGTGACTTAGTCACTTGTGAATTCATGGCATCATAAATGTCTACTGACAGCACAATAGACATTTATCTCCCTATTTTAAAAAACTGTAGTAAAATATACATAAAACTTACCATTTTAACCATATTTAAGTGTAAAATTCAGTGGCCTTTAGTATATTCATGTTGTTGTTTTTAAGGTTCATCCGTGTTCCAACATGTATCAGAACTTCACTTATTTTTATGGCCGAATAATGTTCCAATGCATGTATATATGACATTTATTTATCCATTCATCCATTAATGGACACTGGAGTTCTTGAGATGTTTCCACCTTCTAGCTAGTGCAAATACTGCTGCTATAAAGACTGGTGTGGAAGTATCTGTTTGAATGTCTGTTTTCAATTCTTTTGGGTATATACCCAGGAGCAGAATTGCTGGGTCATATAGTAATTCCAAGTTTAACTTTTTGAGGAATCACCGAACTGTTTTTTTCCATAGTGCCTGAACCATTTTACATTATCACCAGCAATCCAACATGGTTGCCAGTATACAGCAGTATATGAGGTAACAGAGTATATGGAGCATTTTCCATATACTCTCCAACACTTGTGATGTTCCATTTTAATGATATTAGCCATCCTAATGAGTATGAAGTGATACTTCAGTGTGGTTTGAATTTGCATGTCCCTAATGACTAATGATGTGGAGCATCTTTTCATGTGCTTATTGGCCATTTGTATACCTTATATGGAGATTCCTATTAAAATCTTTTACCCAGTTTTGAATTGGGTTAATTCCTTTTTATACACATTATATGTTTAGAAAACAAATGGGTCAGGTTTCTTAGCAAAAAAAAGTATTGGAAAACAACACTAATTCTTTTTTTTTTTTTTTTAATTTTTGAGATGGAGTCTTGCTGTCACCCAGGCTGGAGTGCAGTGGTGTGATCACGGCTCACTGCAACCTCCACCTCCTGGGTTCAAGTGATAGTCCTGCCTCAACGTCCCAAGTAGCTGGGAATGCAGACATGCACCACCACGCTCAGTTAATTTTTGTATTTTTAGTAGAGATGGCATTTCACCATGTTGGCCAGGCTGTTCTTGAACTTCTGACCTCAGGTGATCTGTCTGCCTCGGCTCCCAAAGTGCTGGGATTACAGCCACCGTGCCTGGCCAACAAGACTAATTCTTATTAATGCAAATTAAACAGCTCATAACCACCCCATTCTATTACAGACATATGTATACAAACACACAAACCAATATTTAGGTATAAACTACTTTGAAAAACAGAGATCAGATTGGGTCTATGTTGCAGAAATTTAAGAAAAGGAATAATCAAATGGCAGGACATGGAGAAACCTCATCACAAAATACACCTGAGGCATAATCCAGACAGCAATTTTTCCTTGTCCAGTGAAACATAAATTAACTTTGAACAGCCAAAAATCTACTTTAAGTCAGGCAGAGTGCCTCATGCTTATAATCTCAGCACTTTGGCAGGCCTAGGCGGAAGCATTGCTTGAAGCCAGGAGTTTAAGATCAGCCTGGTCAACATATTGAGACCCTGCCTCTACAAAAAATTTAAAAATTAGCTGCACAAGGTGGTGTGCACCTGTGGTCCTGGCTGCTTGGGAGGCTGAGGCAGGAGGATTGTTTAAGCCCAAGAGTTTGAGGTTACAGTGAGCTATGATCAGGCCACTGCAATCTAGCCTGGGCAACAGAGTGAGACGTTGTCTCTACAAACACACACACCTACTTTAAATTAAAATATGAAACCACCATATGGTAGAACCCTGACCCCTGACTTTAAAAGCAGCAGAAAGTTTCTAGATTCTCTATGCTGCCTCCCTATAACTACTGCGAGGCCAGACAGATTCTCTAACTTTCTCTAGAATGGGGAGTATGGTAAAGCATTACAGTTTTGGAGGTTTTCTCATATAAGAGAGAATAAACGAATTTGTGATGGTAATAATGAATCATCATACACAGAATGCTTACTATGTGGGAGGCGATATGCTAAGCACTTTACATGTATTACTCTATTCATCTGCTAGAGTAGGTAAATTATTATTGCTACTTTATAGATGATGCCCAAATACAACAAAAGAACCAGACTCCAACTCAGTTCTAACAATACAGTCTACATTCTTAAGCAGTGTGCCACCATATGGAGATGTCAATTCAGCAAAGTATAGGTTACCTAATCACCTGGATGGTGATACTTACCTCCGGAAAACAGGTACAGCTAAGGTTTGAATAACTGAGGTGGCTACAGATCAAAATGCATCAACGTTTGGAAATACTATCATTTGGCACAAACCATGTTTTGGTCAATGATGGACTGCATATACAACAGTGGTCCCATAAGAATATAATATTGTGTTTTTACTAAACCTTTTCTATGGTTAAATATACAAATACCAGTGTGTTACAAGTGCCTATAATACGCAGTGCAGTAATGTGCTGCACAGGTCTGTAGCCTAGAAGCCATAGGCTATCCCATCGAGCCTAGGTGTTAGTAGGCAATGCCATCTTGGTTTCTTGGTTTGTGAAAGTATAAATACACTCTATGATGTTCGGAGAATGAAATCGCCTAATGACACATTTCTCAGAAAGTATTCCCATTGTTAAATGACACATGATTATACCTAACTGGTTGAATTTGTCATAGGAGCCTGGGTGAGCAGAATATTTCTCTTCACACAAATTCCCAAAAGTTTCACAGTCTCTGCATTCTTTTCTGTTTCTGATAAGAAAAACTGGTTGCCCTCCTCTAGTAGCTGGGCTTATTTATTCATGAATTAACCTTCCATCATCCACAGAAAAGGTAAAATGTTATTCTTTCCTCATGCTTGAACATGCTTCAAGTTAGGATTCTGAGTTTTTTAATACTTCATGTAGATCAAGTGTTAGTCTGACCGTTTAGCTCAGGAAATGGCATTCAGCGAGCAACAGCATGTACAGCACAGGACAAAATTATCATCTTCAGCATCAGGTTTAATATGGTTCACTCCTCATCCCACGGAGAATTGATGTTTAGAGAATTTTACATGTCTGTTTGGAGCTACTGGTCACTGCAGTGGGCACACTATAAGATAGGCACTATTCTTGAACATAGGAAACAAACAATAACAAAATACACTACAGAAACAATCCCAAGAAAAGTTTAAACAAGTGAATTATGCAACTGAAATGGAATGTAATACTATTAAGGCTTGACAGCAGTACTTGCTCCTCAGCACTAGATGGCAGTGTTACTAAACAAATGTAGTATCTGCCTGTGGCGGCTGATGATAAATTTAAACTAACTTTAGTCAATCACATGACTTCTGACAATATCCAGATCTCAGTATTTCATAAAATTTTGTCACTATAACCTAAATAATGGAGTCTTCCTCCCACCCCGAGATGGAGTCTTGCTCTGTCGCCCAGGCTGGAGTGTGGTGGCACGATCTTGGCTCACTGCAACCTCCCCCTCCTGGGTTCAAGCAATTCTCCTGCCTCTGCCTCCTGAGTAGCTGGGATTACAGGCGTATGCCATCACGCCCGGCTACTTTTTGTATTTTTAGTAGAGACAGGGTTTCACCATGTTGGCCAGGCTGGTCTCAAACTCCTGACCTCATGATCTGCCTGTCTCGGCCTCCCAAAGTGCAAAGTGCTGGGATTACAGGTGTGAGCCTCCATGCCCGACCAAACGTGAAGTTTTAAAAGTATATGAAAAATGACGGAATAACACATCAGCACTGTCTGTACCACTTGAGTTCTGTATGTCTACAGACGCAGTGCTATTGTTGAAAGGCTTAGCATCTATGGCTTGTCACACTCATTTTTCATCTTTCAATGGACAGTGCTTTATGACTTTTTTTTTTTTTTTGAGATGGAGTTTCACTCTTGTTGGCCAGGCTGGAGTGCAATGGCACAATCTCAGCTTACTGCAACCTCCGCCTCCCGGGTTCAAGCGATTCTCCTGCCTCAGCCTCTCAAGTAGCTGGGATTACAGGCATGTGCCACCACCCCTGGCTAATTTCTTTTCTATTTAGTAGAGATGGGGTTTCACCATGTTGGTCAGGCTGGTCTTGAACTCCTGACCTCAGGTGATCCACTTGCCTTGGCCTCCCAAAGTGCTAGGATTACAGGCGTGAGCCACTGTGCCTGGCTGATTCTTTTTTTTGTTGTTGGATTTTTGAAACAGGGTCTCCCTTGGTCGCCCAGGCTGGAGTGCAGTGGTGCGATCTTGGCTCACTATAACCTCCACCTCCTGGTTTCAAGTGATCCTCCCACTTTAGCCTCCTGAGTAGCTGTGATTACAGGCGTGCACCACCACACCCGGCTAATTTTTGTATTTTTATTAGAGACAGGGTTTCACCATGTTGGCCAGGCTGTTCTCAAACTCCTGGACTCAAGGGATCCGCCTGCCTCCACTTCCCAAAGTCCCGAGATTACAGGTGTGAGTCACCATGCCTGACCTTATAATTCTTAAGTCATTTTTTTCTGGTCCATTTCTTCCTTAGGGTCTCACAACAAATCTGCATTAGGCGGTACAATAATCCTTAACTTCATGATTCACAAAAGGAAGATGAAGTGATTCATGATTTAGAAAGGGGAAGTAGTAAGCCCACTGCACACTCCTGGATGATGATCCTAAATCCAGATACAGTAAAAATGGGGTATGGGAAGGTAGAATACAAAATTTGGTTTAAATTAATTATCTAAATATCTAAAAACATTTTTGGATACATTGTTGATGTGAATGTAAGACTGTACAGACTTCCTAGAAAACAGTTTGGTGGTTTCTTTCTTTTTTTTTTGAGACAGGGTTTTGCTCTTGTTGCCCAGGCTGGAGTGCAATGGCATGACCTCAGCTCACTGCAACCTTTGCCTCCCAGGTTCAAGCGATTCTCGTGCCTCAGCCTCCCGAATAGCTGGGATTCAGGTACCACCACCACCATGCCCGTCCAATTTTTGTATTTTTAGTAGAGACGGGGTTTCACCATGTTGGTCAGGCTAGTCTCGAACTCCTGACCTCAAGTGATCCACCCGCCTTGGCCTCCCAAGGCAGTTTCTTATTAAACTAAAACATGCAATACCAAATGACCTGACATTTGCACTCCTGGGCATTTATCTCAGAGAAATGAAGATTTATGTTCACATAAAAACCTGTACATAAATGTTCATAGGAGCTTTATTTGTAATAACCCAAAACTGAAAACAATCTAGATGTTCTTCAGTAAGTGAGTTGCCAAAAACAGTTAAACAAATTTTAGTACTTGCGTATCATGTAATACTCTCAGTAATAAAAGGAAACAAACTTGATACATGTAACAACTTCAGTGAAATGTTCAGGAATTATGCTGAGTGAAGAAAGACAATCTCAAGAGGTTATATATATGATTCCATTTATATAATATTCTTGAAATGACATTATAGAACTGGAAAATGGATTAATAGTTGCCAGGGCTAAACGATGGCGGGATCGGGGAGGCAGAGGTAGACGCAGAGGCAGAATAGGGTATGACAGGGAAGTCAGTGTGTTTATGAAAGGGCAAAACATCTTGGGGGTGATGAAAATATTTAGCATCTTGACTGTGGTAGTGGATATACAAAAAGCTATACATGAGATAAAATTACACAGAACTGAATATACACACAACAAAGGAAATCTGAACAACATGTGTGGATTGTGTTAATATCCTGGTTGTCATATCGTACTATATTTTGCAAAATGTTATCAATGGGCAAATGGGTAATGGGTACATAGGATCTTTCTGCATTATTTCTTACAACTGCATATAAATCTGTAATTATCTCAAAACAAAAAGTCTACTTAAAAACCTACGGATTTTATTTGATATCTGTTCTTTTATCAGACTATCAGTTATAAAGAGAACTAATTCAACAAATATTTACAGTGCTACATGCTAAGGATACAGCAATGAACAAGGCTCATAAAACTGCCCTTCTTTCCCGTAAGAGACAGCTTAAAAACAAAAAAACAAAACTGTTTTACATGGTGCTTATATTTTGGTGGGCAGGAGACAGACAAAAAACAAAAACAGAAACCATCTTAGCTGGTTAGAAACCTTAGTGAGAAAATAAAGTACAGTAAGAGGATGGAGGTGAGGAAGGGTTGTTTTATTTTATTTATTTACTTATTTATTTTGAGCCAGAGCCTTGCTCTGTCGCCTAGGCTGGAGTGCAGTGGCGCAATCACGGCTCACTGCAACCTCCACCTCCCGGGTTCAAGCAATTTCTCCTACCTCAGCTTCCCGAATAGCTGGGATTACTGGTGTCTATTACCACACCCGGCTAATTTTGTATTTTTAGTAGAAACGGGGTTTCGCCATGTTGGCCAGGCTGGTCTCGAACTCCTGACCTCAGGTGATCTGCCTGCCTTGGCCTCCTGAAGTGCTGGGATTACAGGCATGAGCCACTGCACCTGGGAGTTTTATTTTATTTTTAAATTAAATTAAATTAAATTAAATTTTTGAGACAGGGCCTTGCTCTGCTACCCAGGCTGGAGTGCAGTGGTGTGATCATGGCTCACTGCAATCTCAAACCTCCTGAGCTCAAGCGAGGCTCCTACCTCAGCCTCCCAATTAGCTGGGACCACAGGTGCATGACATCACGTCTGGCTAATTTTAAAATTTGTTTCTAGAGAAGGGGTCTCACTATGCTGCCCAGGCTGGTCTCTAACTCCTGGGCTCAAGTGATCCTCCTGCCTTGGCCTCCCAAAGAGCTGAGATTACAGACGAGAGCCACTGTGCCTGTCCAAGGGGTGTTACTGTTATTATTTTTTTCTTCCTTGAGACAGAGTCTTACTCTGTTGCTCAGACTGGAGTGCACTGGTGCAATCTCGGCTCACTGCAACCTCTGCCTCCAGGGTTCAAGCCATTCTGGTGCTGCAGCCTCCTGAGTAGCTGGCATTACAGGCACGTGCCACCACACCCAGCTAATTTTTGTATTTTTAGTAGAGACAGGGTTTCGTCAATTGGCCAGGCTGGTTTCAAACTCCTGGGCTCAAGCGATCTGCCTGCCTCAACCTTCCAAAGTGCTGGCGTTATAGGTGTGAGCCACTGTGCCTAGCCAAGGGTTATTTTAAATAGGGTAGTCAGAGAAGGCCTGACTTATGGAGGACATATGAGGCTTGAGGGAGTAAAGGGAGCAAGCCCTATCTGGGAGGAAAGTATTACAGGCCAAGGGAACAAGTGCAAAGGCCTGTCTCGAGGCAGGAACATATCTGGCACATTTGGGGAAAGACAAGAGAGCCAATGGGACTGGAGCCAGGTGAGCAATGCAGAGTGACAGATGAGGCCTGGGGTAGAGGGGCCAGATAAGGTAGGGCCTCGTGGGCCACTGTCATGATCCTGGCTATGATTTGAGTGAGCTCGGACACTGCTGGAGGGTTTTAAGCAGAGGAGTGCCATGATCTGACTTATGTTTTGCAAGGATTACTCTGGCTGTTGGGTTAAGAATAGGTAAGAAGCAACCAGGGAGCAAAAGATGGGAAACCAGGTAGCAGGCTACTGCAAAATCCAGATTAAACAGTTACTCGGATCATGACCTAGGAGGATGTCATTATGTTGCTGCACATTTGAACCTTGACACAACTGACAAATCAAACTTGCACTCATTAGAATCCTTACTGAATGTTACTCTTTGTTACTTAGGACAAAGCTAGAGCTTTAGCTGTACAAACCTTATCCTGTGACCCGGAGGGCATTTCTTCTAGAGTCTCGGTGCTTCCCAGATTGGAGAGCTGAGTGCTTGGCTGTAACCCAGGGCTGGAGATATTTGAGTCACCCATCTGATTCTTTAAAAAGTTAAAAGAAAAAAATATATCTTGTGAAAAAAATTTGCTATTATTTGGCTCACAAAACAGCATCTGAGGTTATCAAAAATGTTATTTTTTAAAAAGAAGAAGAAAAACCAACCTCAAAATGTTTGCTCTGTACTCCAATGTAAATAACATGCAATAAAATTTCTAGAACATTGAGCACCTAATTTTAGACAACAGTGTTGGCCACAACTGTTATTTTTATCACCTTTTTAAGAAAAAGATAATGGTATTACTTTATCACATATTCTTTTAATCTTATTTATTTGTTTTTCCAAGATGGAGTCTTGCTCTGTTGCCCAGGCTGGACTGCAGTGGCGCAATCTTGGCTCACTACAACCTCTGCCTCCTGGGTTCAAGCGATTCTCCTGCCTCAGCCTCCCGAGTAGCTGGGATTACAGGTGCAAGCCACCATGTCCAGCTGGTTTTTCTTTTTTTTTTTGTATTTTTAGTAGAGACAGGGTTTCAGCATGTTGGCCAGGCTGGTCTCAAACTCCTGACCTTGTGATCCATCCACCTCGGCCTCCCAAAGTGCTGGGATTATGGGTGTGAGCCACTGTGCCCAGCCTGATTTTATTTTCAAATAAAAGCTAACATATGGTGAAATGAATTTTTAAGGGGGTGTACAGTTCTATTTATGTCCCTATCAGCATAATCAGGATACAAAACAGTTCCATCATCCAAAAAAAAATTCCCTTGTGCTGTCCTGTTGCAGTCATGCCCTCCCTCCACTCCCGGCAACTAGGTCTATTCTCTCTCACTCTAGTTTCGTCTTTTCAAAGATGTCATATAAATGAAATATAAGTAGAATGCCAGCTTCTTGCACTTAGCATAATGCCTTTAAGGTACATCCAAGCTGTTGTATGGTATTAATAGTTCACTCCTTTTTATTGCTGAGTAGTATTACATTATATAAATACGTGAGTGTTTAACCATTCACTCACAGAAGCACATCTGTGTTGTTTCCGTTTTTTGGTAATTATGAATACAACATCTATAAACATTGATATAGGTTTTTAAGTGGACAAAAATTTTTTTTTCTTTTTTTTTTTTGAGACGGAGTCTCACTCTGTTGCCCAGCCTGGATTTTAGTGGCTTGATCTCAGCTTACTGTGCTCTCTGCCTCCCAGATTCAAGCAATTCTCTTGCCTCAGCCTCCTGAGTAGCTGGGATTACAGGCGCGCGCCACCACACCCAGCTAATTTTCATATTTTTAGTAGAGACGGGGTTTCACCATGTTGGCCAGGCTGGTCTCGAACTCCTGACTTCAGGTGATTCACCCTCCTCGGCCTCCCAAAGTGCTGGGGTTACAAGCGTGAGCCACATCGTGCCTGGCAAAATTTGTTTCTCTAGGGTAAATACCTAGGAGTGGTACTTCTTGGGTCATATGATAAATACATTTTTCTTCTAAAAGTTTTATAGTTTTATATTTTACATCGATGACACATTTTGAGTTGATTATTCTCTAAGATGTTATTAGGTTAGGTTTTTTTTGTCGCATATGGACATCTAATTGTACTAATATTATTAAGTTACCATTAATGTGCTCATGACATTAAAAATGAAAATAATCTTGTTCTTAAAAAGAATCCTCAAAAAATGATCAGACCAATAGATGGACATGGAATTATGGGTTATGAATTCTTGAATATTTGTGCTATCTGATCCGGCATCTGATGAACATCATCCATGCCAAAACCGACACCAAAAACAGTTCAGAAAATGCAAGATATGAGATTTTTTTAAAAAGCAGCCCTAAACTCAGTTCACAGACAGATTTTCTTGATACCATGCTACAGACAATTAATGCTTATCACAGGAGTAGGTACTCAAATATTAAATGGATGGCATGTGTTTTTTCCCACCCAAATGACTTAATCCTTATATTATTTCAGAACATCATTTACTCAGTGTTATCAATTTGAATAGCGGCGGAACATTTGGTGAAAGCCTATGAAATATCTCAATCTTTTAACATGCCTCTGTTTGCAACATCACTATCAACCATATCAACCCCATTATGTGGAATGCTTGGAACTGAATTATATTACAGAAAATATAAAGTTAAAATATTGTTCATAACAAGTTCTTAAAACAGAAGGTATAAATGTTCAGAAACATTAAAAAGTTGGGGCTGGAAGCAGTGGCTCCCAGCACTTCAGGAAGCTGAGGCAGGAAGATCACTTGAGACCAAGAGTTCAAGACCAGCCTGGGCAACATAGTGAGACCCCATCTCTACAAAAAATAAAAATAGAGACCATCCTGGCTAACACTGTGAAACCCTGTCTATACTAAAAGTACAAAAAATTAGCCAGGCGTGGTGGTGGGCGCCTGTAGTCCCAGCTACTCGGGAGGCTGAGGCAGGAGAATGGTGTGAACCCAAGAGGCAGAGCTTGCAGTGAGCCGAGATTGGGCCACTGCACTCCAGCCTGGGCAACAGTGCAAGACTCCGTCTCAAAAAAAAAAAAAAAAAAAAAGCCAGCCTGACCAACATGGTGGAGGCTGAGACAGGTGGATCACTTGAGCCCAAGAGTTTAAGGCTGCAGCAAGCTATGATTTTCTTTTGCTATTTTTTTGTAGAGATGGGACTTCACCAACCATGTTGCCCAGGCTGTTCTTTTTTTTTTTTTTTTTTTTTTGTGGACTGAGTCCTGCTCTGTCACCCAGGCTGGAGTGCAGTGGCGCAATCTTGGCTCACTGTAACCTTCGCCTCTTGGGTTCAAGTGATTCTCATGAACCTCAGCCTCCCTCAACCTCCCAAGTAGCTGGGACTATAGGCACATACCACCACACCCAGCTAATTTTTCTATTTTTAGTAGAGATGGGATTTCACCATGTTGGCCAGGCTGGTCTTGAACTCCTGACCTCAAGCAATCCACCCGCTTCAGCCTTCCAAAGTGTTGGGATTACAGGCGTGAGCCACCACACCCGGCCCCAGGCTGGTCTTAAACTCCTGGACTCAAGCAATCTATCTGCTTCAGCCTTCCAAAGTGCTGGAAGCCATATGCCACTGCCCCAAGCCCCAGATTTGTAATTTTTAGAGACAGGCTGGATAAGGTTGCAAAACCTTATCGGCAATAACTGAGAGCTGGGCTGTAAATGACCCTTTACATACGAACTAGCTCTCAACCTGCTTCAGTTCCACCCGGCCTGCTTTACTCACTACCATGGCTTCCCTGGCTCTTGGGGCATTTGATTTGCAATTCTTAAGTATAAGCAATAAAACTGGCTTATATTGTTAGGTTGTACTTTAATGAAAGTTCTCAAGAATTTAATGTATTTCTGATACTTGTGCAGGGCCTTTCTTGGAGATTTTGTGTTTGTTAATAACAGCATCCAGTGTTTGTAAAAATGAGGGAAAATGGGCAATCAGACAAACCTGCTGGAGGGTGATTTTATAATATTTGGTAAAAATCTTAAAAACATAAAAATGCTTTGATCTACCAATTCCATTTAAAGTAATTTATCCTAATAAAAAGTTAATGCTGTACATGAGGATTTTACAAGGATTTAGCTATAAGGATATATCGCCAAGTTCTTAATAGAATTAGAGAAGCCTAGGGTATCATTTATATAATGCACATAAGGAAAAATACACAGCTATAAATATCAGTTTTTTCAAAAACTTCATTCTACCAAAGGAAATCTCATAGGGATTCTCTGTGAGATGAATAGTTACTGTCAATAAAAAAGATAGTTATTTGGAACAAAACAGGTTACCAAAGAACATTAATAAATCTAATGTACACAAACATACCACTTACACTTGGACATATTTTTGCAAGGATACGTAACAAAGTATTAGCAGTGATTATTTCTAGGTGGTAGAACTATGATATTTTCTTCTTTTTGTTTACTGTAATTTTTGAATATAAAACGTTCTCTGTAAGCTGTTTTAAAAAAAGAAAAAACTTTTCTATAGTTTATACTGCTTACATAATAAGAAAAATAATGGTGTTCATGTTTATTTAGGTATTTATTTATTTTTATTGTTTTTTGAGACAGGGTCATGCTCTGTTGCCCAGGCTGGAGTGCAGTGGCAGAATAATAGCTCACTGTAACTTGGAGCTGTTGGGCTCGTGATCTTCCCACCTCAGCCTCCAAACAGCCAGGACCACAGGTGCACACCACCACACCTGGCTGATTTTTAAATTTTTTATAGAGATGGGATCTCATTATATGTTGACCAGGCCTGTCCTCAATCAATTCTCCTGCTCCAGCCTTCCAAAGCGCTGGGATTATAGACATAGCCACAGCGCCTGGCCTATCCTATTTTTTTCTTTTCTTTTTTCTTTTTAAGAAACAGAGTCTTGCTGTCACCTGAGCTGGAATGCAGCAGTTCAATCATGGCTCACTGCAGCCTCGAACTGCTGGGCTCAAGTGCTCCTCCCGCCTCAGCCTCCGGAGTAGCTGGGACTACAGGTGTGTGCCACCATGCCTAACTAATTAAAAAAAAATTTTTTTTTGGTAGAGACAAGGTCTTGCTATGTTGCCCAGGGTGGTCTGAAACTCGTGGATTCAAGCAATCCTCCCACCTCGGCCTCCCAAGGTGCTGGAATTATGGGCATGAGTCACTGTGTCTGGCCTCTATTTTTTAAGAACAAAAATACCCTGGACTTTAAAAAACTGTTTTGCAATTAAACTAAAACCAAACAAACAACCATCCGCACCCCCCTGACCAAAATCCAGGATTACATCCTATGGCTAGAAGCAACTCATAATGGGCCAAGTGTGGTTTCAACTATCTTTCTTTACATAAAAAATAAGAAAGTTGAGGCTAGGTACGGTGGCTCACGCCTGTAATCCCAGGACTTTGGGAGGCTGAGGCGGGCCAATCACGAGGTCAAGAGATTGAGACTATCCTGGCCAACATGGTGAAACCCTGTCTCTACTAAAAATACAAAAAATTAGCCGGTCATAGTGGTGCATGCCTGTAGTCCCAGCTACTCAGGAGGCTGAGGCAGGAGGATCACTTGAATCTGGGAGGTGGAGGTTGCAGTGAGTCGAGATCGCGCCACTGCACTGTAGCCTGGCAACAGAGCGAGACTCCATCTCAAAAAAAAAAAAAAAGGAAAGTTAATTAAAAGATATTATAGAAGTGCAATATCTTTCTTTTGAAGAAAATGCTTATTATACAGATTTTTAATTTTCAAACAGTCTCTAGGCTGGCCACAGTGTCTCACACCTATAATTCCAGCACTTTGGGAGGCCAAGGCGGGAGGACAGCTTGAGCCCAGGAGCTTGTCAAGATCAGCCAGGGCAACATAGTGAGACTCTATCTCTACAAAAAATAAACAAAATTATCCAAGCATGGTGATGCATGGCCTATAGTCGTGGCTAATTGGGAGGCTAAGATGGGAGAATGTCTTGAGCCTGGGAGGTAGAGGCTGCAGTGGGCCAAGATTGTGCCCCTGCACTCCAGCCTGGGCAACAGAGAGACCCTGTCTGAAAAAAGAAAAGAGTCTCATTATTACAAGTGCTCATTCAAAAGTCTGAAATTTCGTTCATTATATCATACTCAGCAGATAGCGGAGACTCAGAATCAGGATTAAATCCCAACACTGAGGCCTAGCTTGCACCCCTGCCCTTGATTGCCAATCTTCTGAGTCTTCACCTAAAGATAAACAAAGGGGCCGTCTGAAAAAATGTGGCAGCTGAAGGGAGCCCATCCAAACACCAAGACCCATGAATTCATGGGTCACTGCTTATACCAGCTCCATCTGATGAGATGATAGACAAATGCAGATAAGAGAACAAAACTCTAATTCAAAGAAGCTCCACCTATTGCAGACAGTTTTCAAAATCAGAAAGAACACATGATAAAGTAAATATCAAAGATTTAACCAAATCCCAAAGGGTTTCATTTTAATCTACCCATAGACGATATTTTATTCCATAGTGTGAAAGAAGTTTATTTAAAACAGAAACTATCATGCTATCTATATTCCTTTTGTAATATTGATATAATTCAAAATAATGTCAGATGTTTAGATTGCCCACCTGACCCTAGAGTTCCTTTAAAGTTTTGTGTTCAAAGCTAATGTCTTATTTCCTACTTTCTCGTTGTGGCTACTTAACCTCTCAGCCTGAGTAAGCCAGGCCACTTACTGGAGTATCTGCTTTAGTGCGCAGCACCTACAGTTTCTGTCCCGTGTGGTACCTTGATACAGTTATTACTCAGGATGAGTGACAGAGCCCTGGACTTACTAGGTACCTATGAGAACACTGAAAGGGCTCTACAAACAGAACAAAGTATGTACGTAGAAAATCCGCTTGTCATCAAGGGTAGAAGAGGGGAATGTAAGGTAACTTCTAAATCAGAAAGCCATTCTTGAAGTTAGTTCTCATTTGGTTTCCTAAGAATCGATTAATTTATTAGAGAGGTGACTGCTCCTCCAAATTTAACTTCCATAGATCCATTCATTCCTCCTAATTCTCTGTGAGACATTGAAGAATTTGGTACAAACTTGAAACTTCTCATGGGCTCTCATGTACATTTCTCCACCCTGGAGGTGGGACTTCCTTTGTTATCAGAATGTAGAAGGTCTATGTAGTTTATGGTGAACATGCCTATTTTTAGTCAGAAGAAACTATCTTTCAGAACACTTTTTTCAAACTTTTTCCTGAACTCCAAATTCTTGAGTTGTTAAAGGGCAGTATGCAAAAAATGGTCCTGCAGTCAAGTCAATCTGGGAATTGGTGTTATTGTTTTACTTATTGCAGGACCTCTCAGTTTTGAGCTCTGTAAAGTCCCAAGAGGATGGGAGGAGGAAGAGTCATGCTAACAACAGTACCTTAACTCGTTTTGCCAATTTGAAGCTTTTTTCAGGATCACTGATTAATAACTTAGTAGCTGGTATTATAGCAGAACTGTATGGGAAACAGGGTCTTTTGGACAGTGCTTTTTCACATTTTGTTCCTTGAAGTTCTGGTGAGGTGAAATAGGCATGAAAGGAAAGCACTTAATTCAATATTTAATGAAGAGTAAGGTGACAGTATAATTCTGCTAAAACAAAGTTCAGCAGTAGAGAGCTTGTCTCACTCCAGTGAAGTGTGGGGGCTTTGAGGTGCCAAGTAAAATTCCAGGAGAGTCATAACCATGAAATGCCCACTGCTTGCACATAGTAGATGGTTCATAAGCAGGTATTGAATAAATTAACGAAAGTACCACAATTGCCATTTTATTCAACTTTTGGGAGAAAATTTTATCAGCTAATTTATAAACTAAAATGCACAACAGAAGAGAAAGAAAACAGTGAATTTCAGAAAAGCCTCTCATTTGGGTAAAATTCCAAATGAAGCTTAATGAAGGTTGTGCATCTACCACCAATTACAGACCATGAGTGTATTTTTTAGTATTATGTGGTACAAACTATCAGAATACTTTTCAAAGCCTAAACAAATTCCTAGGACCACTGAGGATCCTAACAGAAACTGCAGTGGTGAAGAAGAGGCACGAAGCTTTACCAGAACTAGCTGCTGCGAGCTAACTTCTGCACTCCAAGACCATCTTCTCCCATAGTAATCTTATAGGAATAGAAAAAAGCATTGTAAATTTTCCTGCCAAAAACAAGTAATCTGGGGTAAGCAAGTTCTTTCCTTATGTTTTAGGTTTAAAATTGTAAGACACATCTGTTTTAAAAAAAAAAAAAGAGAGACACAGGGTCTCACTGTTGCCCAGACTAGAGTGGAGTGGCACAATCATAGCCCACTGCAGCCTCCAACTCCTGGAGTCAAGTGATCTTCCTTCCTCAGCCTGCCAAGTAGCTGGGACTGATTACAGGAGTGTGCTAACACGCTCTCTTTTTGAACTTATATTTCTGCCGTCCCTGGAGGCCAGCTTCCCTAGTAAAATAGTCTCCTGCAGACCTCCTCCTCCCGTTTTGGTCTTCCCTGGTCAGCACCCAAGTACCCAGAGAGCCTCACCCTCTCATACTCATCCTTGGCTCTGCTCAGCATCTCCAGGATGTCGATGGGCCTGTGGTCGCTGCAGCCATTGGCCTGGCTGGGACTCTGTTTGTCCCGAGCAGCTTGCTGGGATCGCCGTGTCTCCTCTTCTACCACACTAGAGGAGAAGAACAAGGTTTTAGAAAGGCCTCTTGAAACAAAATCTGACCCAAGATTTCTTTTGGTGTTCATCTTCCAAGGATACACTAAGAGTGTCACATGATGACATTCTTCTTTTTTTTTTTTTTTTTTGAGATGGAGTCTCGCACTGTCGCCCAGGCTGGAGTGCAGTGGTGTGATCTCGGCTCACTGCAAACTCCACCTCCTGGGTTCACACCATCCTCCTGCCTCAGCCTCCGGAGTAGCTGGGACTACAGCGCCCACCACCACACCCGGCTAATGTTTTGTATTTTTAGTAGAGATGGGGTTTCACCGTGTTAGCCAGGATGGTCTCAATCTCCTGACCTCGTGATCTGCCCTAGGCCTCCCCAAGTGCTGGGATTACAGGCCTGAGCCACCGCGCCCAGCCGATTACATTATTCTTGCAATATATAACACAGAACTTCAGTTACCTCATTTCAGAAATAAATGACTTACCATTTCACCGTCTCATTAACAGTGCCAATATTTACCCTTCAGAAGGATAAAAATACAGAATTCCTTCCTAGAGTTGGCAGAGATGCATTACAAACTCCACTAAGGTTTCTCCCTTTTTCCCTTGAAGTATTTCAAAATCAGTCAAACTAATTGCTAAAGTAAATATGAAAACTGACAGTTCCACCAAGACACAGGAAGGCTGCATAGTTGAACAAATCCTCTGTGGAAAGTTTGGATTGACACTGGGCTAGCAAGGACAAAGTCAGTTCTTGAAAATAGAGGTCTTGGTGAATCCTTAAAAGTTAGTAACACTATAAGCAAATAAAAGGTTTCCCTTATTCTCCCTTTTAAAAACCACCAACTTAGCCTGGGCAACTTGGCAAAACCCCGTCTCTACAAAAAATACAAAAATTAGCTGGGCGTAGTGGTACACGCCTGTAGTCCCAGCTATTTGGAAGGCTGAGGTGGGAGGACTGCTTGAGTCTGGGAGGTAGAGGCTGCAGTGAACTGAGATCACACTACTGCACTCCAGCCTGGGTAACAGAGTGAGACCTTGACTCCAAAAAAAAAAAAAAATCACTAAGTGGGCTTTCAGTTTTTAAGAACACCCCCTTCTCCCTTGTAAAGAAAGATCTGAAACAATTACAGCAAAATATTAGGAACTGAAAGCTGGGTGGTAAGCACATACATATTTTATTATTTCCTATATTTTTCTTCAAGCTTTCAAGCTTGAATAATAAATTTTAATAAAGCAACTTTTTTTGTTTTTTTTAAGATTCATTCAGGCCAGGCACAGTGCTCATGCCTATAATCCTAGCACTTTGTGAGGCTGAGGCAGGACGATCACTTGAGCCCAGGAGTTTGAGACCAGCCCAGGCAACATAGTGAAACCCTGTTTTAAAAAACAAAAAACCCAGCCTGCACAGGAGCTCTCATTAGAGTGTGGGGAAGAGGTGAACAGAGATGGCTTTTTTATTTAAAAATACTGGGTTAAACAATATTAAACCGACTTAAAAAAAAAGAAAAAACAGAATCCTTGAGTTTTATTATTATTTTTGTAGAGATGGAGTTTGATATGTTGCCCTGGCTGGTCCCAAAACTCCTAGTCTCAAGTGATCCTCCTGCCTCAGCCTCCCAAAATACTGGGATTAAAGGCATGAATTACCACAACCCACCCATTGAATTTTTGTTTGTTTGTTTTATTTATTTTTTTATTGTACAGACAAGGTCTCACCATGTTGCCCAGGCTGGTCTCAAACTCCTGGCCTCAAGCAATCCTCCCACCTCAGCCTCCCAAAGTGCCGGGATTATAGACATGAGCCACCACAACTGGCCAGTTGATTTTTAAGCATGCTAAAATTTATTGTGATTCTCCAAGAAGGGCAGGCCTATAGATTTTCTCAAATTTTATTTGACTATAGAATTTTACTCTGAGGTAGAATTCCTGTTTGGAAAATGTGGCTTTAAGGTAACATGTAGTTTTTCTATCTAGATTCATAATTATAGCTCTTAATAAGACTATTACTTCTAAAACAAATGTAGCATCATGAGCTTCATGGTAGACTGAAAGACTGGTATGGGATATGAGAATAAGACCAAACATGAATTGTTTATTTAATGCTCAAATATAGGCCACATCAGCCTGAATCCATCTTCATAAAGGATCTGTCACACGGCCTGTTTTCCACCTACCTCCTGACATGTTGCCTGACTTGGCCATGCTGGTATTTAACTCTTCCCTGACCCAGACTAGGATCTGTGATTCTGTGATTATTTTGGTTTAAGAGAAGAATATTTCTTTTCTTTTTCTTTTTTTTTTTTTTTTTTTTTTGAGACAGAGCCTTACTCTGTCACCCGGGCTAGAGTGCAGTGGTGCGATCTCGGCTTACTGCAACCTTCGACTCCCGGGTTCAAGCGATTCTCGTGCCTCAGCCTCCCTAGTAGCTGGGATTACAGGTATGCACTATCATGCCCGGCTAATTTTTGTATTTTTAATAAAGACAGGGTTTCACCATGTTGACTAGGCTGGTCTTGAACTCCTGACCTCAAGTGATCTGACCACCTCAGCCTCCCAAAGTGCTGGGATTACAGGCGTGAGCCACTGCGCCCAGCCAGAACAGGTAATTTTATAAAGCTCACCACTGCTGAAAGCAGAAGCTGTCGGGGGTGGTAATGGAAGGGACTCTCACATAAACGAGGCTTGGACTCTAAGGCCTCTTCTAATCCAAACTTTATGGATAGCACTCATGCCATTCTCCTTTCCTTTCAAACACCAAAACCTACCCCTAAGATGTCTGTAAGATCAGGAATAAAGCTTACTTCCATGAGTTCTCCAAAGTTTACATAGTCTATGTGGCCAAACCGTCAAACAACTTTTTATTGTTAAAAAGAGTTTCTGAGGCCGGGTGTGGTGGCTCACGCCTGTAATCCCAGCACTTTGGGAGGCCAAGGTGGGTGGATCATGAGGTCAGGAGTTCAAGGTCAGCCAGGTCAAGATGGTGAAACCCTGTCTCTACTAAAAATACAAAAATTAGCTGGGTGCAGTGGCAGGCACTTGTAATCCCAGCTACTCGGGAGGCTGAGGCAGGAGAACTGCTTGAACCCAGGAGGGCGGAGGTTACAGTGAACCCAGATCACGCCACCACATTCCTGGGTGACAGAGCAAGACTCTGTCTCAAAAAAAAAAAAAAAAAAAAAAAGAGTTTCTGGCAGACTGGATTTCCTCTTTAGGAGAGTCAACAGCTTCTAAGTTTAGTGGGTTTTCAACTCTGCCACCACTGACCAGAGAATATACAAATTTAGATGACATAGGGTCTAGAAGCTCACTCATTTTCCTACATAGTTTCTCGTTTTTATAAACATTGTTTGGAGTAAATCAGTTTGTTGTTTTTTTTTTTTGTTTTTTTTTTTTTTGAGACGGAGTCTCGCTCTGTCGCCCAGGCTGGAGTGCAGTGGCACGATCTTGGCTCACTGAAAGCTCCGCTTCCCGGGTTCACGCCATTCTTCTGCCTCAGCCTCCTGAGTAGCTGGGACTACAGGTGCCCGCCACCATGCCCCGCTAATTTTTTTGTATTTTTACTAGAGACGAGGTTTCACCATATTGGCCAGGATGGTCTCGATCTCCTGACCTCGTGATACGCCTGTCTTGGCCTCCCAAAGCGCTGGGATTACAGGCGTGAGCCACCGCGCCCAGCCTGGAGTAAATCAGTTTTTTTACTTGGAGGATCTTTATTATATTGTGGCTGTCAAATAGTGATGGGAAGAACTGTATTTAAAAGAATGGGCACTGATGGACACATTTATTTATATGTATAATATACTAACAAGAACTGTGCTAGTATTTTTGGATAGTAGAGGTGATATTCTCAAATATGTAGCAAACAACAACAACAAAAAGTAACAAACAGGTTTATGCAGGCAGATTTAGAACAAAGACAGATAGTCTTCTTTAGTTTTGGTGACCAGAGAGGCATTTATCACAAAGTTAATGGTAACATACAATATTCTCTTCAGCTATAAATAGGCCAGACACTTAAAACTCATTATCAACAGTTTCACCAGGGTATTCTCTAATCACTTTTTTTTTTTGAGATGGGATCTCACTATGTTGCCCAGATTGATCTTGAACTCCTGGGGCCCAAGTGATCTGCCCACCTGGGCCTCACAAGTATTATAGCTGAAATGACAGGTACACACCACTGTGCCTGGCTTCTCTAATCACTTTCTTTTCTTCTTCCCTTTTTTTTTTTTTTTTTTTTTTAATTAAACAGAGATGAGTCTTGCTATATCAGGCCAGGATGGTCTTGAACTCCTGGCCTTAAGCAATCCTCCCCGCCTTGACCTCCCAAAGTGCTGGGACTACAGGCATGAGCCACTGTGCCCAGGCTCAAATCACTTTTAATAACACATCTGTTTCTAGTCAAACAAGCTGAAAATTTAAGCAATTGTCCCTTTTCGGGCATTTCTGGTGAAAGAAGCCCCAATGCTCTTCTTTTCCCTTCCAGCTTTCCATTTCTACTCCTAATCCTATTTCTGGGTTCAATAAAATATTTTTAGATAGGCCTTCAGTCTTCAGCTTCATTTATCATTTGAAATCTTGCATTAGGGGTAACACTTGCCCTGATAGATAAACGGTTTTCTTTCAATAGTTGTTAGAGCTAAAAGAGCCAGATCATTTCACTCAAAGCCCACGTCCTCATTCTGCAGGAGAAAGTGTTTATATATTAATACATTCCAAAGTTTAGAAAAAATCTGGATTTCTGGATAACCATGAATCAACAACCCTGTGCCTTTTTGTTGTTGTTGTTGTTGTTTTTGTTTTTTTGAGACAAAGTTTCACTCTTGTTGCCCAGGCTGGAATGCAATGGCGCGATCTTGGCTCACCGCAACCTCCAGCTTCCGGGTTCAAGTGATTCTCTCGCCTCAGCCTCCCGAGTAGCTGGGATTACAGGCATGCACCACCATACCTGGCTAATTTTGTGTTTTTAGTACAGACAGGGTTTCTCCATGTTGGTCAGGCTGGTCTCGCACTTCCAATCTCAGGTGATCTGCCCGCCTTGGCCCACCAAAGTGCTAGGATTACAGGCGTGAGCCACCGCGCCCAGCCAACCCTGTGTCTTCTAGGTAACCACAAGTAAGCTGCCTTTGCTGTCACTTTCAAAGCTAAAACAAGTGATCATCTAATAAATGGCTATGTTGAAAAATGGTTTTAGCTGGGTATGGTGGCTTGTGCCTATAGTCCCAATTACTTGGGAGGCTAAGGCAGGAGGATCCCTTAAGCCCAGGAGTTTGAGACTAGCCTGGGCAATACGGCAACATCCTATCTCAAAAGAAAAAAATTAAATTAAAAAATGAAAAATAGTTTTATCTTTTTTAAGAGAAAAAGTGTTCTAAAAACAAAGCGTGGCTCTTTTTTCAAGCCAACATTTTTTCAAGTATAAGTGACTACAAGTTCATACAGAACGATGCCCTTGGGGTGTACACAAGTAATAAACATGGCCCTGCCCTGCAAGCTCACAGCCAGAACAGGCAACAAAGCAGGGGGCCGATAACTTCCGATCAGGACATGTTAGTAGTCTTAGATCACAACCTGGCCTTAGCCATGAACTGAGATTCTGGGTTAATTACTTATATATACTTTCATGAGTTTAAAATTAGGCTGTTGGCCTGGCATGGTGGCTCACGCCTATAATCCCAGCACTTTGGGAGGCCAAGGTGGGAGGAACGCTTGAGCCTAGGACTTCAAGACCAGTTTGGGAAACATAGTGAGACCCTATCTCTACCCACCCCCCAAAAAATTAGCTGATAGTGGTGGTGCATGCCTGTAGTCCCAGCTACTTGAGAGGCTGAGATGGGAGGATCACTTAAGCCCAGAAGTTTGAGGCTGCACTGAGCTGTGACTGCGCCACTGCACTCCAGACTGCGTGACAGAGCGAGACTCTGTCTAAAAAAAACCAAATAAAGTAAAATAAAATAAAAATAAAATAAGATTAGACTGTTAAAAAATTTAAGATTATTTTCTTTTAAACATGTGATTGAAAACTGTAAGAGAGCAAAAGGAATTTTGATTTGACAGATGGGGATGGTGGAGGGGGGAGAGAGGTCCACATTTCTGAGAAGATTCAGGCAAAAACTGAAAAAAAGCAGAGGTGCACCAGAATATACCGTCTACCTATTATAGCATTTTGCCCAGAGCTCTGTAGTCCCTCAGGCCCCCTGAAGCCCCGTGTAATGGGCTTCCAGAATCCAGAATGGCAGTCCAGCAATACGGATAGGTCACACAAGGGCTGGCTTCTACAGGCTAGCTTGAGAGAGGACAATGAACTGCCCTTTAGAACATTAATTCAAGGAAAATAATTTTCTAAATTTCAAGGTTCTGAGTCACAAAAAATCTTCTGGAACACAACCCATGAGTGGATTGGGGCCTGTTAAGCCTAGAGTCTGTGTCAAAAACAAGTTCACTTAAAAGAACTAAATACAGATGTGTGTATGAGTTCTCTATCAGGCTATCACATATGGTATCACTTGTTACAGTGGAAATCTGCACAGAACCTAAATCAGAGTTGCTGTATATGGTCAGGCTGTACACCTGATGCAGATATCCTCTGGAGCCGGGCAGTTTGGCAGCCTTAACCTACAGGTCCAACAGTAAAGTTCTGGTTAAATCATGATCTGTCTATAGAGCTGGATACAATGCAGCTGTCATAAATACTACAGAGAAAGATTTAATGCCCTGGAAAAATGCTGTTGATATGAAAAGCAGTATACATACAGTAGGATCCTATTTTTGTAAAAAAACAATCACACACATCTACTTAATATATACACAAAGAAGGAAGACTGGAAGGAAACTGAAATGCACACTGGGAGGAGTTAAGATAATAATTATATATATTTTAAAGCTTTTCAGCCTTTTCCAAGTTTTTGGCAGTAAAAAGAAATTGGGGAAATACATGAGTTGGCAGACTTTAGTAACAAAGAGAAGTGGGAGGGGATTATTTTTCATTTCTCACATATCATCAGTTAAATTTATGGAGTAATATACTTACTCAGCCATGAGTTTTGCTATGCGGTGACAGTCATTCTTGTCATAAAACCAGATACTATATATCGACACTTGAAAAACAAAGGGAAAAAAAGATAAGAAGAAATGAGGTTTCAACATTTGGGTGTATGTAAATAATATATTATCATCATGGAATTCACTAAATGTACCATCAGACCCTCAAATTGTTAATACTCTATCTAAAGAAAACAAGTATCTCCTCCCCAAATTCTGTTTAATAAAATCAGGACAGGTAAAACATTCAGATAAAGATTACACAAAATAGTTTTAGACATTATCACCAGATCTCAGTGAACCTAAGATGTTACTAAGTGTAAGATGCAACCATTATTTATGTACTATCAAGCTTTTAAGCAAAAGGCTCCCAATTAAACTAAGAATCATATTGATTCTAAGATGCATTCTAAATTGATATTAAAATTGTTGCCGGGCATGGTGGCTCACACCTGTAATCCCAGCACTTTGGGAGGCTGAGGTGGGCGGATCACTTGAGGTCAGGAGTTTAAGACCAGCCTGGCCAACATAGGTGAAACCCGTCTCTACTAAAAATACAAAAATTAGCCAGCTGTGGTGGCGTGCCTGTAATCCCAGCTACTTGGGAGGCTGAGGCAGGAGAATCGCTTGGGCCCGGGAGGCAGTGGTTGCAGTGAGCCGAGATCACGCCACTGCACTCCAGCCTAGGCAACAGAGTGAGACTCCATCTAAAAAAAAAAAAAAGATATTAAAATTGTTACAATACAAAGCTTTCAAAACAAACCCCAGCTCTATATCCATCCTATGACTGACTGTTTACATGTGAAATGGACTGAGCTCAGTCTATGGCATTTCTTATCCCATTCTTTTTATTCCCAATATGGTGCTCAGTTCAAAGAAAGCCCTAAACAAACTTGCTGCAAGATAAATGAACTTTATTAAAGATTATAATATATTAAAGCTACTATAACTGCTTTTTGGATAAGGTAGAGTAGAATACTGAACATACAAGCTGAAACAGACACACGGATGGATAAGACCCATTGCTACCATGTGGGCCCATATGATGACACACCTCAGCATACCTTGTACCTCCTTAAATACTTACAATGATTCCCTAGCACAGAAATGGCAGGTATCATTATGCTTTTTTTAAGAAAACATTAAAACTTTTTATTTTGAAATAATTGTACCTTCAAATGCAACTGTAAAGAACAGACAGATCTTGGTGCCCTATAAATTGTTTCCTCCAATGGTAACATTTTACAAAATTATGGTATACTATCACAGCCAGGATACTGACATCAGTCGAGATACAGAAATTTCCATGGCCACCAGGATACCTGGTGCCCTTTTATAGCCCAAATCCACCTTGCTCTGGCCCCTCCCGTCCCTGACTCTTGGCAAATAGGAACCTGTTCTCTATTTCTACAATGTTGTAATTTCAAGAGTATTATATTACATAAATGAAACCACAGAAGTCATAGAAGACTGCTGTCCATTCCAAGCTGGTTGTAATGAGATCCTCTTTGCTATTCCTGCTCCACTGACTTCATGGAAGGGAGACGCAGAAGTCCCCTGGCGGCCAATTATTATTAGTGGGGCTTCCAATCCTTGCCAGTTTTGCTGGGCTGGCCCAGTATTGCTGGCAGGACTCTCATTCAGTCTAGGAGAGGAATGAGCCTACCCGGGCCACCTTCTGTTGCTAGGTTGAAGGTCAAGAAACATCAGGCCCAGGCCCCCTTCTTATGTTGGGTGGGGGTTTGTAAGACACTTTGCTGCTGCTGTTCTGCCAGTTCTGGGTTCCTGACCAGATCATCCTCTTTCTATCTTTCAGAGTTCTCCAGATTGTCTGTTGTGTCATTTCCAGGTTTTATAGTTGCAAGTGGCAGGGAGAGACAAGTCTATGCTACTCGGTTTAATTGGAACTTTCATTTTGCATTTTTATGGATGGGAATAGGGGTTAACGGAGAGACTAAGTAACTTATTAACAAATTAGAGAAAAAAATCAGTCTCAGAGCTATAAGTAAAACTTGGGTCAGGCTGGGCATGGTGGCTCACGCCTGTAATCCCAACACTTTGGGAGGCCAAGATGGGCGGAGCACCTGAGGTCAGGAGTTTGAGACCAGCCTGGCCAACATGGTGAAACCCCGTCTCTACTAAAAATACAAAATTAGCCGGGCATGGTAGCGCATGCCCGTAATCCCAGCTACTCAGGAAGCGGAGACAGGAGAATTGCTTGAATCCAGGAGGTGGAGGTTGCAGTGAGTCGAGATTGCACCACTGCACTGCAGCCTGGGCAACAAGAGCGAAACTCCGTCTCAAAACAAACAAAAAAACCCAAAAAACAAACTTGGGTCTTCTCACTCCTAGACCAGTTATCTTGTCACTACATTTTCATTGCTTACATCTCATTACATTGAAATAACATTACAATTTTTTATAGAAACAAAAAGTTAGTGAGCTTCAGTTATGCTCGATGATTAAAGTGACACATAAAAGAAGAAAGCCTATACATAATTAAGTTAAAAGGCACATTAAGAGGGTGCCATACAATATAGGAAATAGAAGTGCTAGCACAAGAGATTTTAAATAAATCAAAAAATCATTTTTATAACTATTATTTGAATTCTATAATTATCAATATATACCAATTTAGAAAACCACCGCTTTAAAAGTTATTTTAATGCTCAATTATTTGTTTCACCCTGAATTAAGCCCATTATTCCACAAAAGACTTCATGGCAAATCTTAACTTTAAAAGTTTCCTTCTCGGCTGGGCACGGTGGCTCATGCCTGTAATCCTGGCACCCTGGAAGGCCAAGGCGGGTGGATCACCTGAGGTCAGGAGTTCGAGACCACCCTGGCCAACACGATGAAACCCGTCTCTACTAAAAATACAAAAAGTAGCCAGGCGTGGTGGTGGATGCCTGTAATTCCAGCTACTCGGGAGGCTGAGGCAGGAGACTCTCTTGAACTGGGAGGTGGAGGTTGCAGTGAGCCGAGATCACGCCACTGCACTCCAGCCTGGGCAACAAGAGTGAAACTCTGTCTCAGAAAAAAAAAAAAATTATATATATATATATGTATGTTCCCTTCTCAACAGAAATATAATTTTGAGTCTTTCTATTGTTATTGTAGAGTTAATGAAAATATTATTGATACACACAGCAAGTGAACGGCTTCATTTTAATGAATGAAGATCATGAACAAGAATTTTTTTTCCTACCCTGTTTACAAAGGGCTTCTCAGGCAGGGAAAAACCTCTAATTACACTAAAACTGCTCTAAATCTATGGAGCCCGTGTATGGCCATGTGTCCCACAAGTGGTGCACTACCTGAAGGAAGTCCAGGCTCACTAGTCTCTGAGCCTTCAACCAGCTGGGAAGAGTTTCCCATGTTTGTTTGTTTGTTTGCTTTTTTTTTTTTTTTTGAGAGATGGAGTCTCACTGTCACCCAGGCTGGAGTGCAGTGGCACGATCTTGGCTCATTGCAAGCTCTGCCTCCCGTGTTCACGCCATTCTCCTCAGCCGCCCGAGTAGCTGGGATTACAGGCGCCCGGGGATTACAGGCGCCCGTCACCACACCCGGCTAACTTTTTGTATTTTTAGTAGAGATGGGGTTTAACCATGTTAGCCAGTATGGTCTCGATCTCCTGACCTCGTGATCCGCCCACCTCGGCCTCCCAAAGTGCTGGGATTACAGGCGTGAGCCACCGCGCCCGGCCGAGTTTCCCATGTTTGGAATCCATTTTCACAGTGCCTCTTTTCTTCACAGAGTTGAGTGCTCCAAACAGAATCAAACTCCAATGAATAACAAGTAATTTTGGAATGTTTTACATCATGGTAAGTCAACAAATTCACTCAGCTTTAACATCTCAATGGAAGGAGCACAGAAGCAGCCTTGTTACAGAGATAATTATTAAGCATTATCTACTGCAGGTTCTTAGTTACGCTCTTAGCGGCTAAGGCTTGCTCTAACTACAGTAAATCAGATCAGGGCTTTAAAAAGACTCCATATATGGCAATTACATAGGACTACCTTTCTTGAAATATGCTTCTTCCAAGCTTGGCTAATGAACACCCCAAACACTGAAGTCCAAATACAAAAATTCGTTTTCCTTCAATAAGCTATATTAATCTGGACATACCAAAACAATACACAGTGATAAGAAAAGTTTATGATATGCGGCCGGGTGCAGTGGCTCATGCCTGTAATCCCAGAATTTTGGGAGGCTGAGGTGGGTGGATCACCTGAGGTGAGGAGACCAGCCTGGCCAACATGGTGAAATCCCGTCTCTACTAAAAATACAAAAATTAGCTGGGCGTGGTGATGCATGTTTATAATCCCAGCTACTCGGGAGGCTAAGGAAGGGGAATTGCTTAAACCCGGGAGGCAGAGGTTGCAGTGAGCCGAGATCGCACCACTGCACTCCAGTCTGGGTGACAGAACAAGACTCTGTCTCAAAAAAAAAAAAAAAAAAAAAGTTTATGATATGCAACACATCAGGCTTAGAGAGGAACACACAATTTTTTCTGTGCTAAACAGAAGCAATTAAGTGTATTTTCACAGGGACTTCTAAACCGAACTCTTAGGAAAGAACTACTTATCAATAATCAAAGTAAGTCCATCAAAGCTGTCAACTTATTTTGAAAAACCTTCATTTAAGATGTCCTCTTTTCCTTTGAAAAAATACAATATAATTTAGAAATAAGACACATGCCTTCTGCTTTTGTATATTATCAAACTGCCTAAAAAGAGCCAAACACTTTCAAAGGCATGTTTGCAGAAGAAATAAAGATAAGAAAGCCATAATGATAGCTTAATGGGTAAGGGATAAGAGTCACACTCGATTCTGCCAAAAGCAGACCTGTAGAGGTTCAGACACGCATCCAAGAATCAGCTCTGTCTGCCAACATATCAAACGGTCAGTGCGTGCAACTGGCAAGAAAGCCCAGGGAGCTGCCACGGAGCCTGTCACTGTCACTCATGAGGAAAGACAGACAAGTTCACCAGATAGCTAAAACTGCAGAGGACCTCCCCTTTAAACCAAAGCTAAGCATTCTTCCCTCTAGAGAACTTACACTCTAAGGCCCAACACATTCTGCCAACAATTCACTTGCTGAAATAAATTTCTCTGATTAACTATCCTACAGAGAATTCAGGCTTTTGGCAATACAGTATTGCCTTGCTATGGCAAATGATGGCACACTGTTTTACAAATGGCCTTTCTCAAGATGAAAGAAACTACTTACTTAATGGATACCTACCACACATTGTGACTGCTAACAGCTATCCTAAGTCAGTCATGTTGCATAGGATAGACAAGTCATTGAAAAGTTGGCTGGGTGTGGTGGCTCATGCCTCTAATCCCAACACTTTGGGAGGCTGAGGCAGGAGGTTCACTTGAGCCCAGGAGTTCAAGACCAGCCTGGGCAACACAGTGGGACCTTGTTTATTTTTTAAAAATTTGTTAACTAAAAAAAAAAAAGAAAAAAGTTAGGAGGTGTGATAGGACATTTCATTGCCTTCCACAAAAAATATCCAGATCCATCTAAGAATATCAAACATTAAATGTTTCCTTTGCTTTTCAAATGAAGGCCCCTTTCTTTTGAAAATGTAAAAAAAAATACAAATTACAAAAATTAAAGGTATTTGAACTATTTTGTATTGAGAAATTTTAAGAAGTGGAGTTTTGAGTAAGAGTTTTCTATTTCCTTAGACCCGTTTAAAGATATAGCAACCTATTATGATTTCATATAAAATATTTCACTGTTTCTCATCTTGAGAGAGGTACATGGCTCACACAAGATCAAGAAAAGCCAAATTAATTTGGTATCTTCGTAAAATCCCTTGAGACTTCTAGAGATGCTGTGAAATGTCACAGAAACAGAGCTGGGAATCACTCTCATACATATGTTGTCTTTGTGATTCATTTATTATTTAGATCTAACCTACTTTCTAGAAGGATCTGAGGAGGCTGGAGATTTTCTCAGTATGGTGCCAAGCAAAAAGGTGGTTTAATAAAAAGCTTTTTGGTGGTGATGTTAAGAGTTATAAAATTTCTTTTTCCTGAAACTCTGTGCTTGAGAAAATAAATAAAGAGAAAAAAAGTTATGCAATTTCTAAAGATGATACTGACAAAGATCTCTTACACCAGGAAACAAAAACAAGAAAACGGGCTTTGGGTATAGACAAATACATTTTTTATATAGAAAAATGGAATAGGTATATAAACATAAGTCAGGCCTGGCAAGTGAAAAGGCAAATACCTCTGCCTCAGCAGATCATTTCCTTTAAGACAAGAATAAGCATGGAGGCTCTCTAAGAACATCAAAGGGTTAGGAAAGAGTGAGAAGACAAGAAAGGCTCTAGGATAGAGGGGCAGAAAACACACACACAGGAAAAAGGATATGGAGCCTAAGACTGACTGACGTGGGATCATAACAGATTTTGGCATGTTACAAACACTTAGGTAGATGAGATGTTGTATATCCGCAAGAAACTCTGGAAAATGTCATTCAATTATCTTTGCAGCTTAACCCTTTTGGCCAAAAAACCCACTCATTTCAGACCACCACTGAACACTAATATGGTAGAGAAAGAGTCCAACTTCTAAAATTTAAATTGTAATATCTACTTATTGAATATTGAACAATGATTAAAAGACTTAGGACAGGTAATTTTAAAATGCTACTCTTCAAGGTCTTCAGTTTATCATTTAAAAATTTGGTGCCTCTGTCTAAATTAAATCAAATCTGAATATATTAACCCGAAATACTCCTTCCACAATCCCATTAACATTATAATCTCAGTACAGAATTTAGACACATGAAATGACCATTGAACTTCTTTAGGAATTAGGAAAATAAACCCAACAATATCACAACTGATTACTCCCACTTGCAAAAGTTTTATTCTTAAACAATGGGCAACCCTAAGTAAAACAGTGAATTGCACTAGGGTTTTGCCTTTGCTGTTAGGATGTATATCTGCTACTGCCACACAGTACCCATAGCTCCTTAAAATACAGCTTCCAAAGTGTGGTGTAAATCAGGGGTCCCCAACCTCAGGGTCACGGATTGGTACTGGTCTGTGGCCTGTTAGGAACCAGGCTGCACAGCAGAAGGTGAGTGGCAGACAACAGAGCATTACTGCCTGAGCTCTGCTTCTTGTCAGATCAGCTGTGGCAATAGATTCTCATAGGAGCTCCAGCCCTACTGTGAACTGCACATACGAGGGATCTAGATTGTGGCTCCTTATGAGAATCTAATGCCTGATGATCTGTCATTGTCTTCCATCACCTCCAGATGGAACTGCTGTTTAGATGCAGGAAAACAAGCTCCAGGCTCCCACTGATTCTACATGATGGTGAGTTGCATAATTATTTCATTATTTATTACAACACCTATAGAAATAAAGTACACAATAAATGTAATGTGTTTGAATCATCCTGAAACAATCCCCCAATCCCCGTCCATTGAAAAATGGTCTTCCACAAAGCCGGTCCCTGGTGCCAAAAAGGTTGGGGAATGCTGGTGTAAATGATTACGGTTCTGCCAAATGTTGGACATGTCCAACCCCCCCCCCCCAACTGGTATTCTAGTCGCTCTAGTATCCCACACAAATATCATCTTTATGTATCATAAGGGAGAGACAAAGGCAGGGGGAAGCATGGCCCCTGACCTCCATGGATTTGAATTCCCATTTCCTAGGCTTCCAAAAATCTATAGTTAGGGATCTGGGAAATAGGTCAGATGGGGTGTAAAAAAGGGGGGGAACTTCTTTTCTCTACTTTCCCTAACTTCTACTCTCCTACACATTTTTCTACCAATTTACTAATCGATCATCCACAGCAGGGTTGTAAGCACAAATACCTCACGGACTATAAGAGACCTCAGGGTGTGGTGAGATCAGTGATGAAAATGTCTTACCTACAATTCTGGCTGACTGCAGTACTTGCAGGAATCCAAGTGCTGTGTGGTCACACACGTCATTTTATCACAAGAAAAATCAGAAATCCAGGTTAAGGATGTATAAAATATGGTAATTTTTAAATGTTGGTAGCAAATGCTTAGCCTGTGCTTTCCTTTTATTAAAAAGAAAAAGCTGGCCGGGTGCGGTGGCTCACGCTTGTAATCCCAGCACTTTGGGAGGCCAAGGTGGGTGGATCACTTGAGGCCAGGAGTTCAAGACCAGCCTGGCCAACATAGTAAAACCCCATCTCTACTAAAAATACAAAAAATTAGCCAGGCATGGTGGCATGTGCCTGTAATCCCAGCTACTGGTGAGGCCGAGGCAGAAGAATTGCTTGAGCCTGGGAGGCAGAGGTTGCGGTGAGCTGAGATTGTGCCAGTGCACTCCAGTCTGGGCAACAGAGCAAGATTCCACCTCAAAAAAACAAAACAAAACAACAACAAAAAAACAACAACAACAAAAACAAAGGCCGGGCGTGGTGGCTCACGTCTGTAATCCCAGCACTTTGGGAGGCCGAGGCAGGTGGATCACCTGAAGTCAGGAGTTCAAGACCAGCCTGGCCAACATGGTGAAATCCCATTTCTACTAACAATACAAAAATTAGCCGGGCATGGTGGCGTGTGCCTGTAATCCCAGCTCAGGAGGCTGAGGCAGAAGAATCACTTGAACCTGGGTGGTGGAGGTTGCAGTGAGCCGAGATTGCGCCACTGTACTCCAGCCTGGGTGACAAGAGCAAAACTCCGTCTCAGGAAAAAAAAAAAAGAAAAGAAAAAGCAGAAGCTGAGCATGCCTGGAAGCAGTGACTTTGTAAGTGACTCAGACCTGCCTGGATCCTCCAGCACACTGAACCTGAAGGGCCCAGTCTGGAGGTTTATTCTGCACACTCCAGAGGAGCTTCGCTTAGACTAGCGGTTACTCTGTTTCAATTTTTACCTACACAGATAACTTCATTGTGTAAACAGAAGGTGAAAACCTACATATTACATGTTAACATATTTCTGTCACTTAAGTACAAACAATGATTTCCTTTGTGAGTTCTCAAAAGAAAAAACATTTGAAGTATTGAATATTTAACATAATTATCTAAAAGATAAATGATACAGGCATGGTTAACTTTACAAATCTTTACAATTTAGATAACACCACAATAAAAAAAAAAAGATAAAAAGTGCTTTTATCTGACAACACTACCTGAGGAGGAAAAAGCCAGTAATTAGTGAATCATAATGAAAAGAATCTGCTTTGGAAATTCTGAAATGTTCATGGATTTACAAAGTTACCAAGAAGGCACTTGGTAAAGGCTCTACCAGAATACTAAGCAGCGCCTACAATGAGCCAGAAAGCAATATATGTATTTTTAAAACATTTGAACTAACAGTGTCACTGAGTCAGACTCAGCCACTGAGCCTTAAGTCCCTCTATGTTTTCGTGGTGATTTTACCTCTTCAATCTACAAATGTGGCAACAGCAAGGCTCTTTCCTTATCTTGGTCCAGAAGGCCAGACTAATGCAGTTGCCACAGACCCTTTCTCCTTCACTGATTACAGAATCATACCAAGCACAGCGGTGCCGCAACTGATGGTGGAAGACTGCCTTTCTTCAGGCTAAGAAAGAAGTACTGCACTGAATTCAAAGATATCAAAGAATGAATCACGGAAATTTTCTTGTTGTTTATGAATTCCTCTTTCAGTGTGGAGGGAGAACTCACATTTTTGGATTGGACAAATTGTAAACTTATCTTGTAAGGAAATTTCTTGCGCTGTGCTTTAAAAGTCTGAAGATTTGCTCCAAATGCCAACAGCCACCTACCATCTCTACTGTTCTGAGACTTGCCCTTGAACTGAGAAAGGACAAGCAGAGAGACAAAAAAAGCACACACTACAGCATTTCTTCTACTAAAACTTTCCATTTGGCAGTGGCATTTTCAACACTATGGAAATGAACCTCCCTACTTTTTCTAGTGATCTAATTTTCATTAAAAGCACTATGTATCAAGAGATCGATGCCCGATATAAAGGAAAAGTGATAAGTGAAGCAGAAACGAAGGGGTACTTCTCTCTGGCTTTTGGAGGTAAGTTCTTAAAAATATTAAATAGCAATAATATTTAACATTTTAAATTATACTTAAGAGGTAATTGTCTTTTTCGGTTAAGCAAGCTAAAGAGCAACATATTAGACTAGTAGATATATGACATTAACTCCTTTTTAAGAAAATTTCAGATCAGATTTTACTCACATAGGATCACTTTGAAAGTGTTTCATACAAACCACAAACTTGTAATTGTTTAAACCTGTCAAGGTAAAATAAAATTCGGGAAATGTCTGTGTTCTTTTGAAAAACTCAAAAGGGCTTTGTCCATTTTCCCAAAACTGCTTTTGGTTTTACAGAAAACATTAAAAAATACAAAAAGTGGCATTAAGTGGGAGATACATGCCTTAGGGTGTTACATGAAGGAAACATGAAAAAGTTGTCCTTATAAATGATAAACTTCCAGTAAAAAGATGCCGTATCTAACATGCACATAAAGTAAAACAATCATTGTTTTTGGTTAAAACTACCATTACACACTGGTCTATGGTGAGAATAAGGTTAGGTCTGAGAAGAGAAAATCAAGACCATATACTCTTTCCCAACAATGGGTGAGTACTGCTGCTGAAAATGACCAAGAAAAAATATGTACATACCCTTACTGTCTCTCTGGTAGATCAGACTGTCACTGTTACTAGCCCAGTCATTCAAATTTACAAGCAATAACTCTCAAATCACAGACCTTAAATCATTAATTTTTATCATTAATCTACAGGGAGTTGTTTTAAGAATAAACATGCATAGCTTTGGGCTTACTGTAGTAGCACATTTCATTAAGAATCCTGACCCAGCGGGGTGCAGTGGCTATAGTGTAATCCTAGCACTTTGGGAGGCTGAGGTGGGAAGATCGCTTGAGGCCAGGAGTTGGAGACCAGGTTGGTCAACACAGCAAGACCCTATCACTACAAAAAATTTGCAGAGACCCTATCTCTATTTAAAAGAAAAAAATTTAGCTGGTGTAGTAGCTCACACCTATAGTCCTAGCTACTCAGGGCAGTGGCTGAGGATGGAGGATCATTTGGACACTATAGCCTGGGCAACAGAGTGAGACCTTGTCTCAGAAAAAAAAAAAAAAGAATCTTCACCCTTACCAAGAAGGCAGAGTTTTGACATAGAAAGTTCTAACGCAGTTTAGTAACTTCAGCTTATAATTTTCTAAGAAAATATAATAGAACCTAAGGACTAAAAATATAAACAAAATTCTTTATAAGCGCACAGTAGTTTTAATCTATATGGTATAGCAGCTGGTAAAGTGCTTGGCAAATGACATATTCAATAAATGTCACTGAATTAAGGTATGTATCCGAGTTAATCACGTTGGTTAAAAACAAGGTAAAACACAATATATACACATATATATATATTTTTTTTTTTTTTGAGATGGAGTATATGTAATTTTTTTTTTTTTTTTTTTGAGATGGAGTCTCGCTCTGTTGCCCAGGCTGGAGTGCAATGGTGCGATCTTGGCTAACTGCAACCTCTGCCTCCCAGGTTCAAGTGATTCTCCTGCCTCAGCCTCCTAAGTAGCTGGGACTGCAGGTGCGTGCCGCCATGCCCGGCTAATTTTTGTATTTTTAGTAGCAATGGGGTTTTACCATGTTGGTCAGGCTGGTCTCAAACTCCTGACCTCGTGATCCGCCTGGCTTGGCCTCCCAAAGTGCTGGGATTATAGGCATGAGTCACTGCGCCTGGCCCAAAATGCAATATTGAAATAGTTTTTGCCAAAGAAAATCATTAAATGCCAGAATCAATTTTATAGAGCCTGATGGTACCACAAACCTATATTATTAATACTTTCAATTAACCAGGTTATACTGTAGACTGTCTAGCTGTAAGAAAGAGAAAAATCAGTTCTGTTTGCTTTTGCAAGTCACGTGCCACAAATGCTGCTTTGGTCAGTGACAGACTGCATACCTAACAGTGGTCTCTTAAGATTATAATACCACATTTTCACTGTACGTTTTCTCTTAAGATGTATTTAGATGTACAAATTCTTACCAATGTGCTATAACTGCCTCTCACATTCAGTACAGTAACATGCTGTACAGGTTTGTAGCCTCAAAGCAATACCATATATTCTAGGTGTGTAGGCTATGTCATTTAGGTTTGTGTAAGTACACTCTATGATGTGCATACAACAAAACTGCCTAATGGCGCCTTTAGGACATATCCCTGTTGTTAAGTGACATTAAGTGACTCATGACTGTACTTTATTATTGATTCACATGCCGGGTTTAGATTCTTAAAAAATTCCTCAGAACACACTTCACAGAATATTCTTGGGGCATTTTGTAATTAAGTGATAGGTAAGCACATAGATATTAAAAAAAGATTCCCCATTACTACTTTTATTCCTAAGAGGTGTCCACAGTGAAAATCAAAAGACCTCTGACACTGGTCTTGAGGAAAAACATCTTCTAAGAGAAGTATTACTCGGTGAGGTGTGCTGCTTGTAGCAGGTATGTACTGGGTTGGTGCAAAATATTTGTGTTTCTTGACATTAATTGCAAAAACCACAATTACTTTTGCACCAACCTAATAGTGAGGTATGTTGCTTGTAGCAGGTATGTATAATAGGGAGGTATGCTGCTCACCACCTTGCTGAGGGAATAGTGAATCACAGAAGCATGATTTCCTCATCACAGAAGAGTGGCCTTTGGAGACAAGTTTCCCTTGAAGATTAGACCAGAAGTGTATGAACCCCATAGCTACCTTTACAGAGGCTGGTCTCCACATGGAGAACTAACAGTCCTAGTGCCATTTACTGAATAGAACATTCCTCTCAGCATTTTCTTTAGAAGTGATGGGAGAGATTTTTAGTCTATTGGCCCAATTATTTTATTTATGAGTCCATTCAAATCTATTTATTCCTAAGTAATTTTTGTTAAACTATGTTTTCCTAGGAAACTGTCTTTATCATCCAAGTTTTAAATTTACAGGCAAAAGTTCTTCACAGTGGCTTCTTGTTTTTAAAAATGCATGTTCTCTTCCTTTAGTTGGAACACATTTATATTTTTATTCCTAATACTGCATATTGTACCTCCCCTTGTTCTTTTTATGGTTGTTGTTATAGTGGAGTTTTTTGTTTTGTTGATCTGCTCTATTCTATTGAAATTTCTAGGCCGGGCGCGGTGGCTCATGCCTGTAATCCCAGCACTTTGGGAGGCCAAGGCGGGTGGATCATGAGGTCAGGAGATCGAGACCATCCTGGCTAACACAGTGAAACCCCATCTTTACTAAAAATACCAAAAAATTAGCCGGGTGTGGTGGCGGGTGCCTGTAGTCCCAGCCACTCGGGAGGCTAAGGCAGGAGAATGGCGTGAACCCGGGTCGTGGAGCTTGCCTAGATCGCCCCACTGCACTCCAGCCTGGGTGACAAAGCAAGACTCCGTTTCAAAAAAAAAAAAAGAAATTTCTACTTTTTGCAATTAATTTCTACTCTTTATTTTCCTTCAACTTTACTCAGATTTCCCTATTTTCCTCCCTAAATTCTTTGGCTGAATGGCCTATATGTGGCAATTTTTATAAACCTCTAATATATACTTGAAAAAAATGTAAATTCTCTAATTGCTAAAAGTAGGATTTTTTTTTCTTTTTTCTCCTCAGACAGACTTTATCATAACTTAATGTCAGTAGCAGAACTAGACAAAATTTTCATCACTGACAGCAGCAGGGTTTTGGTTTTTTTTTTTTTTTTGAGATGGAGTCTCGCTCTGTTGCCCAGGCTGGAGTGCAGTAGTGTGATCTTGGCTCACTGCAACCTCTGCCTCCCGAATTTAGGCAATTCTCTGCCTCAGCCTCCTGAGTAGCTGGGATTACAGGCGCCTGCCACCATGCCTGGCTAATTTTTTTTTTGTATTTTTAGTAGAGACAAGTTTTCACCATCTTGGGCAGGCTGGTCTTGAACTCCTGACCTCGTGATCCACCCTCCTCGGCCTCCCAAAGTACTGGGATTATAGGCGTGAGCCACTGCGCCTGGCCAGCAGGGTTTTTTATATGTCCATCATATCAGGTTTGTTAACTGTATTGTTCAACTATCCAATAACTTTTATTGTCTGTGGCCAGATGTGGTGGGTCACACCTGTAATCCTAGCACTTTGGGAGGCCAAGGTGGGAGGATCACTTGTGGCCAGGAGGTCGAGACAGCCTGGGCAATAAAGCAAAACCCTAACTCTTAAAAAAAAAAAATTTGTCTGCTTTATCTGTCAATTACTAAAGTGGCTTATTAAAATCTGTCACTATAATTAGGGATTTTTAACATTCAGTTTGCAATTCTGACATATACTAAGTATATATCATTCAAAATTATTTTATCTTCTAGGTCACTTATTCCTTTCATCATTATGTGGTAACTTTTATCCCTAATGATGCTTTTTGCTTTACAGTTTACCGTGTATGACTCACACAGAGACACCAGCCTTTTTTGCTTGATAGCTGCCTGATAAATCTCATTCTATTGCTTACTTTCAACCTTTCCACGATCTTAGAGTTTTTAAAGTTTCTTGAAACCAGCATACAGGGCCAGTGCAGTGGCTCACACCTATAATCCAGCACTTTGGGAGGCCAAGACAGGAGGATTGCTTGAGCCCAGGAGTTTGAGACCAGCCTGGACAATATAGAGAGACCTTGTCTCTACAAAAAATAAAAACGTATTAGCTGGGAGTGGTGGCGTGCACTTGTGGTCCCAGCTACTTGGGAGGCTGAAATGGAAGGATCACTCAAGCCTCAGAGGTTGAGGCTGCAGAGAGCCATGATGGTGTGTTACTGCACTCCAGCCTGGGTGTCACAGCGAGACCTGTCTCTAAAAAATAAATAAATAGATAAAAATAATTAAAAATATTAAAACAGTATGTAGGCAAATTCTATATGTTTATCCAATCTGAGTCTTTTAACTGGCAAGTTTAGTTCACTTAACATTTGTTCTAAATTGATTGATTTCTGCCATTTTATTTTGGGCTTTCTTTTTCCCATGGTTTCTATTTACTTTTTTCCCACTTCCTGGTTTTTATTGGTTTGAAAGTTAAAATATCCTATTTATGTTCTGCGGTGGAATCTTTTGAATACACAAAACCTTATTAATCAATTTATCTGCCGTCATCACAATCTTGGAATGCTTAGGTTTGAACAGCTTCTAGTTTGTTACTGTTTTTTACAAAATAAAATCATTAAAAGCCAGAACCAATTTCATAGAGCTTGATGGTACCACAAGCCTGCATCTTAATATTTTCAATTAATCATGTTATACTGTGGAGCGTTTGGCTGTAAGAAAGAGAAAAACCAGTTGTCTGCTTTTACCCGTCACGCGCTGCAAATGCTCAATAGACACATGTGGCTACTGCACTGACAGCACTGCTGTGGGAGCTCCTACAGCAAGAATCTGGGGAGACAACTGCTGTTGTTTTTGTTGAAAAGTATCTTTATTTTGTTCTCTTCGATTACTGAATTATTGGTTTTTTTTTTTCTTCAGTCCTCTCAATATATTATTCTTTTGTCTTCTAAACTCAGTAGCTGCAACTATGGAATATGCTGTCAGTCTAACTGGTGTTCCTTTGTAAACACCCAATCTTGAGCAACCTTTGGTTGCTTCTGTCTCTGCCTTTGACATCTCATCAGAATGTGTCTGGGTGTGTGTGTGTGTGTGTGCACGCGCATGTGTATATATATATATTTTTTTTATTTTTATTTATTTATTTTTTGAGACAGAGTCTCACTCTGTCACCTAGGCTGGAGTGCAGTGGCATCATCCCGGCTCACTGCAACCTCCACCTCCCGGGTTCAAGCGATTTTCCTGCCTCAGCCTCCTGAGTAGCTGGAATTACAGGTGCCCGCCACCAGGCCCAGCTAATTTTTGTATTTTTAGTAGCGGTGGGGTTTCACCATGTTGGCCAGACTGGTCTCGAACTCCTGACCTCAAGTGATCCAGCCTGCCTAGGCCTCCCAAAGTGCTGGGATTACAGGCGTGAGCCATAGTGTCCGGCTAATATTTCTATGTTTTATGCTTGGAGCTCATTCTATTGTTTAAATCTGAGATTTATGTCTTTTATGGATTCTGGAAAATTCCCAGTCATCAACGCTTCAAATATTGCCTCTCTACAAATCTGCTTTATCATTCTGAAATTCTTATCCATCAAATGTTAGAGTTTATAATTCTAATCACTCTGTCATATTTCCATTTTGTCCTTTTTTTGGATACATTCTGGATTTCCTCAGATATATCTTCTAGCTCACCAATTCTCTTTTCAGCTATTACCAATTAACTGTTGAATCCAAGTAGAGAGTATCTTTCAATTAAAATTTTAATTTCTATTAGTTCTACTCAGCAATTTTTCAAATCTTCCTTTTTTTTAATAGCATTTAATTCTTTTTTATTCTTTTATTTTTTGAGACAGGGTCTCACTATCACCCAGGCTGGAGCGCAGTGGCGTGATCATGGCTCACTGCAGCCTCAACCTCGCGGGCTCAGGTGATTCTCTCACCTCAGCCTCCCAGGTCCACCCGGCTAATTTTTTGTATTTTTTATAGAGACAGGGTTTCGCCATGTTGCTCATGTTGGTCTTGAACTCCTGGGCTCAAGTGATCTGTTCGCCTTGGCCTCCCAAAGTGCTGAGATTACAAGTGTGAGCCACTGTGCCTGGCAGCATTTTATTCTTTTCTTTTTGAGATGGAGTTTAGCTCTTGTTGCCCAGGCTGGAGTGCAGTGGCATGATCTTGGCTCACTGCAACCTCTGCCTCCCGGGTTCAAACGATTCTTCTGACTCAGTCTCTCCCGAGTAGCTGGGATTACAGGTGTCTGCCACCACGCCAGGCTAATTTTTTCTATTTTTAGTAGAGATGGGGTTTCACCATGTTGGGCAGGCTGGTCTCGAACTCTTGACCTCAGGTGATCCACCTGCCTCGGCCTCCCAAAGTGTTGGGATTTCAGGCGTGAGCCACCGCACAGGGCCTTTATTCTTTTTTCACATTTGCTGTTCTTTTTACTTTATTTTATAATCTGTATCTGGTATTTACATCCATTAGAGTCTCTAGTTTCCATGAACTAAAGTCTTTGGGAAGGGTTGTATAATCCTGCTGTTTGTTATATGCTACCTTTCATTCACTGCAAAGTATTTCCTTGTATATTTAGTAATTTTAGACCATGAGACATGCCTGATATTCCTGGGCAACCTGGCTGGGCTAAGAATGTATCTTGCCAGAAGGGATCTACATTTGCTTCTGCCAGATGCCGTAGAGTAATCACCAGCTGATGATTAATTTTATGTTAATTTCTTGACCTGGGTAAGAAATGATACTAAATGAATGGTACAACTTGAACCTTAAATTTGTATGAGGGAAGTCCCATGGTTATTTTTTAGGAAGACATCTTCCTTCTAACCCAAAGCCCAGATTTATTTATTTATTTATTTATTTATTTATTTATTTATTTATTGAGATGGAGTCTTGCTCTGTCTCCCAGGCTGGAGTGCCAAGGGGCCATCTAGGCTCACTGCAACCTTCACTGCCTGGGTTCAAGCGATTCTCCTGCCTAGCCTCCCAAGTAGCTGGGACTACAGGCGTGCACCACCATGTCCGGCTAATTTTTTTGTATTTTTAGTAGAGATGGGGTTTCGCCGTGTTGGCCAGGCTGGTCTTGAACTCCTGACCGCAGGTGATCCACCCGCCTTGGCCTCCCAAAGTGCTGGGATACAGGCGTGAGCCACCATACCTGGCCAAGACTTCTCATTTTTAATATATATATTTTTCCAATGTATACCTCAGGCTTTCTAGTAATGGCCCCTACAACATTTGAAAATAATACTTGTAAAGAGACACAAAGAGCCTGCAGCTCATGCATGGTACTATCAGAAGGGATAGGAAGAAGCATATCACAGGCCTGTGTTATAAGAGAATCTGGATAGGCCAGGTGTGGATAACACTGATGTCCCTAGGATTCTTTCACTAATGAGATCATTTGTTGAGTCTAGAATGGAGACACAGTCTATGATATTTTGTATTTGTAAATGCCTAACAAAATACCTTACTTTCATGATGGCCTTTTAAGATAAATAGGTCAAATCAGTGGTTTAAATGATTTAGCCAAGGTTATAGTCAGTAAGGCAAAGCCCAGAATAGAATTCTTATCTGCAAACTAAATTCCATGCCAAAAGAATGTTACCATGGCAAAGCCACCCTCAGGGATATATTCTGCAGCTTTTGTATCTAGAAATCATTTGTAAGTTTCAAAAAGGAATGACTAAATAGGACGCATAAAAATCTAAGCCAAAGCTTCCCAAGTAGTTGTTTGATTCAGGTATGGCACAACAAAGAGCATGTTAGCACATGAGCTCATGCTGAGACTTCCACTGTCCAGTATGGCAGCTGCCAGCACATACAGCCATGTAAATTCTAATATATTAAATTAAATAAACTAAAAAGAAGTGTTCTTCATTTGCCCTAGCCACATTGCAGGCTACTATATGGGACAGTGCTGACACGGAACTATCATTTTCCCTAATTGCAAAGTTTTAGTGGATAGCACTACTCTAGAATATGGATTGATGAAGTAATTTTATTGTTACAGTAGAGTGGAAAGAACATTGGCCTTGAAGCCCGAAAGACCTACTCCCAAATTCTCCATCTGTCACTTATTACCTTTGCGAATCTCGAGCAGATTCCTAAACAGCTCTGAGCCTCTTGTTTTCTCAACCTGTAAGTTGAGGATCAGAAATAAGGTGCTAGAAATACCACTGCTACTCAATAACTCCAGAATTTATAACCTCCCCATAATTCATTGCAATCCCACTGGGGTCTTGTGACTGCCAAAAGGCCCTTGCACAGAATAAAAATACACTGTTCCCAAAAGATTCAAGAGGCTGGACATGGTGGCCCATGCTAGCACTTCGGGAGGCTGAGGCGGGAGAATTGCTTGAGCCCAGGAGTTCAAGACCAGCCTGGGCAACACAGTGAGACCTTGTCTTTTGAAAACAACCACCACCACCACCACCACTACCCCACAAAGATTTAAGAGAATCACCAAGCCTAAGCCCTTAGTCAGTGTAAGAATTTTCTCTTTAAGATTTTATCTTTTTCTTGAGGGGTGGGGTGGGTGTAGATGGGCATGTTTTATAAAGAAAAACTCTTGGCTGGGCGCGGTGGCTCACTCCTGTAATCCCAGCACTTTGGAAGGCCAAGGCAGGTGGATCACGAGGTCAGGAGATCGAGACCATCCTAGCTAACACGGTGAAACCCCGTCTCTACTAAAAATAGAAAAAATTAGCCGGGCGTGGTGGTGGGCGCCTGTAGTCCCAGCTACTCGGGAGGCTGAGGCAGGAGAATGGCGTGAACCTGGGAGGCAGAGCTTGCAGTGAGCCAAGATCATGCCACTGCACTCCAGCCTGGGTGACAGAGCAAGGCTCCGTCTCAAAAAAAAAAAAAAAGAAAAACTCTTAAAAATAAATAAAACAAATAACTTAGAACTGAAAAAAAGTTATGGTTCACTGTTCTAGTACATTAACTCCAAAAATTAATTTGAATGAAAGAAGTTGGATATGAAGGTGTCACTTGAGTTAAATGGGTCAGGTGTCTTGATGGTATTTCCCACAAGAGAATGGCAGAAGTGCAGCTATAGAATCAGGTATAATTACCTGTATGCATAATCAGATACTAACTTTTTATTTAAAGAACAAATCCCTAAACAACTTAATAGCTCGCTGACCTGACAAGACTATTTTCCACTTTTAAGACTATGTAGACAAAACACACACTCGAGAGGGCTTAACACTCACAAAATCATTTTCTGTTGTCTTATCACTTCTCCCCAATACAGCTATTCCTTTAAATACTTTCCCTAATGAAATGACCTGGTTAAGTGAGTTTTCTGTTCAACTAAGAAAACTTTTGTTTCAATCAGTTGAAAATTTTCTAAAGTAAAATGCATTAATGCACTTTCTCCCCAAGAATGTTCTAGTTAACATAATAAATACTCCTGATGATTTTAGGTCTCACTATAACAATTTAACCTATGATACTACAGTGGAGTTAAAGTTATAAAATATTGACATTTTAATGCCGACCCCAGGTTATTCTCTGGATATCTGCTTGATTTTCAGAAAATAAAACCTAGTATTAGCTTGTTTTCTTATAATTTGCCTTCATTTCTTCCACACACGAACTATAAAAATATTTCCAGACAACTGAAGCTCTAATTAGTTAGCTTCTGGTTACTCATGGTTCAATTACATTTGTGTTATGTCACACTTTCAATTTCACAGGACTTTTGCCTTGTGAAAAAAATATAATACAATTCATCTCAGGTTTATGCTAAATGGTAACTGGGTCCGGATAACTTTCCCTACTGACTACTTTAATAATCAAACCACTTAGGAGTGATGGCTAGATTAAGTTTCCAGGCAGTAAAGAACAGAATTAAGCCTATTTCACTTAAAAAAAAATTGGATCCATATTCATTTGCAGAATTTCTCCCACCCTCTTTTCATTTTTTGAGTCAGGGTCTCGCTTGTTGCCCAGGCTGGAGTGCAGTGGCGCAATCATGGCTCACTGCAGCCTGGACAGCCTCCTGGGTTCAAGCGACTTTCCCACCTCAGCCTCCTGGGTAGCTGGGACTACAAGTGTGTGACACCACACCTGGCTAATTTTTCTATTTTTTTGTGGAGTGGGGGTTTTGACATGTTGCCCAGGCTGGTCTCAAACTCCTGGGCTCAAGCAATCTGCTTGCCTCGGTCTCCCAAAATCGTGGGATTGCAGGTGTTGAGCCACTTTGCCCAGCCGAATTTTCCCTTTAATGGAATATTCAGTACAAAGAAAAGAGCAATCTGAAATAATTACATTGTTAACATTAGTTTAAATAAATCCATCTGAACTTACAGCTATTACAAAGCATGTCTAATATGTCCACAGAATTTAAAATCTGAGAGGTAATTACCTGGACAAATAGTTTACTGAGAAGTCAAAAGATAGAACCTATTTCACTTATACTTCAAAGTGTGCTACGGAAAAGAACTTGGGGGTTTCTAGCTTTAAAATAGGCCTTGTTACTTCTCATTCAGGGAATTAAGAGGTGTATAATTTTTAGTAACTTTTTCTATTTTATACTGAAGACATCCCCCAAGACCAATTACCCCCCCGCCAAGTGAAATTCAAACACATTAACTTTTACTTTTTAAGTTAGAAGCAACATTTCTCCAACTATATCCTTAGATGCCAATTAGAGCACAATCATTGTTACCATAACCAGTTTTCATATCCCTATAGTCAATGTCCAACAAACTGTCCTCAAACACCCATACCTTCAATATCCATACTAATACACTGGAATCAAGTATATTTTTTAGTACTGTAGTTTCTTGGAAGGGCCACTCTAGCTTTGCTGACTACATCCAATCGTTATTAGAGATTGTAAAAATGCCTGAAAGAACCCTGGACTAAAAAGCAGAAGAATAGTCATAATCCTAACTCTCCAACAGGGTAATAGTTATGCATCTCTGAGTCTCAGTTGACTTAACTGCCTGCTTACACCACATAGGTAACTGTATCGTTAACATTAAAGCACCACAGCTCTTGGCTCAGTGCTGGTAACCAGTAGACACTCAATTAAATAAACAGATAGAAAAACCTTACTTAGAAACATATTCAGACAAAATAAAGTAGAAAAAGTAATAAATATCTTAAAAAAAAAAACCCATCACCACTATTCTGGGCAAAAATAATATTTTCTGGCCGGGCGTGGTGGCTCATGCCTATAATCCCAGCATTTTGGGAGGCCGAGGCAGGCAGATCACAAGGTCAGGAGATCAAGACCATCCTGGCTAACACGGTGAAACCCCTTCTCTACCAAAAATACAAAAAAATTAGCCAGGCGTGGTGGCGGGTGCCTGTAGTCCCAGCTACTTGGGAGGCCGAGCCAGGAGAAGGGCATGAATCCGGGAGGCAGAGCTTGCATGAGCCTAGATCACACCACTGCACTCCAGCCTGGGCAACAGAGCAAGACTCCGTCTCAAAAAAAAGAAAATAATAATAGTAATAATAATACTTTCTTTGTGGAAAGAATTATCTGTATCTGTTCCCATCCTGTGTGTCCCAAACTAAGTTCTGTTGCTTAGGGACATGGGCAGCTGATAGTCCACAGCTGCAAAAAAACAAAGGCATAAACCTTATTTTAATAAACCGACAACAGAAATGTAGTGCTATTAAATGAAATAGTAAACTAAATTATATACAAAAGAATGTTTCCAGTTTCAGAGCCCAGTTTATTTATTTATTTTTTTGAGACACAGTCTCATTCTGTTGCCCAGGCTGGAGTACAGTGGCGCGATCTCAGCTCACTGCAACCTCCACCTCCCAGGTTCAAGTGATTACAGGCGCCTGCCACCAAGCCCGGCTAATTTTTTTCTGTATTTTTAGTAGATACGGGGTTTCACCATGTTGGCCTGGCTGGTCTCGAACTCCTGACCTCAAGTGATCTGCCCTCCTCGGCCTCCCAAAGTGCTGGGATTACAGGCATGAGCCACCACCTCTGGCCTCAGAGCCCAGTTTAAAAGGTTTGATCTTTCCAACAGACTCATTTATAATCATTAAGTAGAGACCATATTTTGTTTTGTAATTTGAAACTTCCTAAATAATGGATTGATAGAAACTAAAGTCACTCAATTTTAAATGTAATAACTATAATAAAACAGATATACTCACAGCTTGCATTTCTATACAGAAGAAATGGTTCATGGAGCTGAAATTCCAAATCTTTATTCACTGGTTCAACTAGATTGTGCATATTTAGTCGATTCACAATGGTAAAACCATGGTAAGGGGAAGCTGACCTTAGATTTAATAGAAGAAAAAAAAATATGTAGTTACCATTTAATCTGTAGAAATGTTATCTACTATGTACTTTATTTTCATTTCAAAAAAGAATGCATTAGAACATTATACAATATTATCAGCACTTACATCTGTAAACAAAAAATTTAAGTCAGATCATACTCCTCCTCTGACGAGAAGTCTCCAAAGACAGTCTCTCAGAGTAAAGGCCAAAGTCCTTACTGAGGCCACCAAGGCCCCACCTGATATACTCCCCACTCTGACTTCATTTCCTATGGCTCTTCTCCAGCTCCTACTCTCCAGCCACACCGGGCTCCTTGCCACTCTCTCTGCGTGTGTGCTTCTACCTAAAAACCTCTTCCTGGATTACTGCCCCAGAAGCTGCACAGCTATCTCATCTCCTCCAAGCCTTTGTTCAGATGTCACCTTTTTCATGAGGCCTACTTGAACTATCCTTTTTAATGCTCCCAAGCTCAATATCTCTAACCTTCCTCTTTTATCCATACCACTTATTTTTAGTATTTATTGTCCTCCCCCCACTAGGATGTAAGCCCCATGCAAATGGAGCTTTTGTCTTACTTTTTTCATACATATATCCCAAGATAGACACACAGTTGCTGAATGAAATATCATTCAATTGGATTGGCTATAATGGCTGCCCATCATTACAATAATGTTTTTCTTGCAACAAATAGATATTTACATAGCGCTCCTGAGTTAGACGGAAAATGCCTTGAATCCTACAATAGGAAACATCCTTGGTTCCCATATCAGAGGGATTCGGTACATGATCCTTTACTCTTCACATGTACCTAACACTTCACCGTTTTTCATTTGTTTCTCTACGATATACCCGGGGTGTTAACAGAACACTATTCTATAGATTAGGAGACAAGCTTTGAATGATAAGGCCTGTGCCTGAGGTCACACAAATAATGAGTTACAAATAATATAACTAGGATTCAGTTTCAGGTTTTTTGACTCCAAATCCAAGCTTCTACTATATGAAGTAATAGCTGCAAAGTGACAGTCTGACATCCTGGTATACCTTTATCCAAGGT